>NC_000010.11:130974069-131285549 GCF_000001405.40 Homo sapiens | reverse complement strand
TTTCTTTCTTTTCTTTTCTTTCTCTCTTTCTTTCTTTCTTTCTTTCTTTCTTTCTTTCTTTCTTTCTTTCTTTCTTTCTTTCTTCCCTTTCTCTCTCTTTCTTTGTTTCTCTTTCTCTCTTTCTCTCTCTCTCTCTTTCCTTCCTTCCTTTCTTTTCTTTCTTTCCTTTTTTTTTTTGACAGAGTCTTACTGTATTGCCCAGGCTAGAATGCAGGGCAATCTTAGGTCACTGCAACCTCCACCTCCCAGGTTCAAGTGATTCTCCTGCCTCAGCCTCCTGAGTAGCTGAGATTACAGGCATGAGCCACCACACCTGGCTAATTTTTGTATTTTTAGTAGAGACAGGGTTTTACCATGTTGGCCAGGCTGGTCTGGAACTCCTAACTTCAAGTGATCCACCTGCCTCGGCCTCCCACATTCCTGGGATTAAAGGTGTGAGCCACTGCGACTGGCTGCTTCATTTTCTTTTACTAGACTCACCTGGCTTTAGTGTGAAAGCTATACTGGATTCATAGAAGAAGCTGGGAAGTGGCTCCTCTTTTTTTAATGTTTTGGAAGAATTTTACAATGTTAGATTGGAATATTCCTTAAAAATAATTTGTAGAACTTTCCTCTTAAAATATAAGAACCTCATCTTTCCTATGTGGAAAGGTTTTTAACTACTGATACAATGTATTTAGTTGTTATATGACTATGCATGCTTTCTATTTCCTATTCTGGTAGGGTTCATAAGCTATATTTTTCTTCTAGAATTTATACTTGCATCTAAGTTTGCAAATTGCCTTTGGTATGAGATTGTTCTGTACCTACTTATCTTTTTAATATGCTATAATAATAGTTATCTTTTTTAATATATAGTTTTGCTTATTTGCACCTCCTCATTCAAAAAAAGTACTTGTTCATTTCCACTAGAGGTTTGTCCATTTTATTAGTTCTTCAAAGAAACAACTTTTAATCTTTAAAAACATTTTGGGTACATTTTTCAACTTGATTGAAATCTGCTCTTATCTCAATTTTCTTCCATTTTCTTCAGATGTGTTGTTTTTTTTTCTTCCCCTAAATCCTTAGGTTGTATATTTGCACATTAATTATGTCTTTATTTTCATAAAAGATTTAAGGCTATCCCTTTCTCTTTAATACAATTTTCACTGCTTTTTGTAAATTTTTTAATGTACTATTTTTGTTATCACTCAGTTTCATATTTAAATTTTAAATTTTCATTGTAGTTTTATATCCTATGATTTTTAAAGGAATTCCCATTCAATTAATTTCTAATGTATGCAGATTTAAAATTTTCTTTTTGTTATTCATTTGTAACTGAAGTAAACTGTGGGCTGTATACAACAATTCTTCTGAAATGTGTGGAGATTTGTTTTATGGCCTGATATCTCTCAGTTTTTCTTTTCTTTTTTTTTTTTTTTTTTGAGATGTGGTCTTGTTCTGTCGCCTAGGCTGGAGTGCAGTAGTTCGATCTTGGCTCACTGCAGCCTCGCCCCCTGGGTTCAAGTGATTCTCCTGCCTGCCTCAGCCTCCCAAGTAGCTGGGATTACAGGTGCCCACTGCAATGCCTGGCTAATTTTTGAATTTTTAGTAGAGACAGGGTTTCACAATGTTGGCCAGCCTGGTCTCGAACTCCTGACCTCAAGTGATCTGCCTGCCTCCGCCTCACAAAGTGATGGGAGCCACTGTGCCCAGCCAGTTTTTCTTTTATACTGTTTATCTCTTTGCTCTGTATGCTCATTCTAAGCAATCTCTTTAGCTGTGTTTTCCAGTTGCTAAGTCTCTCTTCATTTATGTCAAATATGCTGTTTCAACTTTCTATGAAGTTTTACATTTCAACAATTATTTTAATCTTTAGAAATTTCATCATCTTCGTTTTCCAGTTTTTCTTTATTCATTATAATGTCTAGGTCCTTGCTCCTCTTGAAAACATTTCATATACAATTAGTATATTTTATACATGAAAATTCTTATATCTCTAATTTTTGTGGGTCCAAATTTGTCTTTTGTTATTTTTGGCTCTCTGTATGGTGGTTTACTTCCTTTATCCGGTGTTCTTTAACTTTGAGCTTATCATTTCCTCTTAATACTTGGAACTTCAGTAAGCTCAGTTGGTTATGCTTTTCACTAAGGAAGCCTTACATTTGCATCTGCAGAACTAAGGGGCACCATCAACCCAGGAGCAGACCAGTCCCCCGTGAAGGCAAAGCTTCTGTTTCATTCTAAAATCCTGCGCTCAGCTTCCTTTGTCACTGCTGCCTGGTTCTCAGGGAGACCTAAGACAGGTTTCCTGGGAAATGGAAAGAAGTCGACTTCTTGGAGGCCTGATCAGCCTTTGGCAACTGTACCAATGCATCCCGTCTAAGGCCGTTCCTCACTGTAGCTGGAGAGCCTCTCAGAGAACCTTGCTCACGGCACCGTGGCAGACATGACTCACTTCAGCTTCTGTAGCCTACGTGCACTTAGCTCTAAAATTGTGTAATAAGAGATATTCTTCTAAGAGAAAATACATTTTTGTCTCAAATTATATACCCTCAAATTACGCAACTCAATAGATTCAATAGATTCCTACTGAATTACAGATATCACCTGAACTTTAATTTTCTTAGAAAGTTAGGGTCAAGACCCATAAGAAATGAACTTATGAGAAGTAATGTTATGATAAAAATTAAATATTCAGCTTACTTTACTTTTTTTTCCTTTAAAACTCTGGTAACATCATGCAGGTAAGAATGTACATTCCTGGAGGGCAGAAGCCCTCTGTGTCTGTCTCATTTTCTGCTGGTTCTCCAAAGCCTGACAAAGTGTCTGGTATAACAGAGGCTTGATAAATATCGATCAATTATCAATATCACAGATATGATTGAGTGCCTGTTCTGTAGCATGTACTGGTATATGTGCTGGGGGGATAGAGGTGTGAACAAAGCAGGGTTATTTTTAAAACCTGCTTCCACAGGTTTTTACAGTCATTTATTTTGTTAACATTTTAGTATATTAACTTGTATTAGTAAGTTAATCAACTTCTAGTGAAAAGTTTTCAGAGAGGGAGGTCTTGTCTTCCTGGTGCTATGGCTGAGGTTACTTTCGCTGGTTTCTGTAGGGAAGAATTAGTTCCCATCTGCCTGTTTGGTATCAGCAACCACTACACATTTTTGTAAAACAATTGCATCAGGACTCTTAAAAAAATAATGTCTGTTTCTAAAACACCATTCATGTCACCATCGTAATTCCTATAACACGGTTTTTTTGAATTCCTGAAAATGTGACTTCAATATAATTCTGAGACGTTTGAAAGCGTGGGGTCTAAATACCTAGCTATTGGATGTGCTTTCAGAGGTGAAGATTTGGGTAAATTCCTCCTAAGTGGCTTTGCAGAAGAAGGGTTTTCTTTTTTTTTTTTTTTTTTTTTTTTCTGAGATGGAGTCTTGCTCTTTCGCCCAGGCCAGACTGCAGTGGCGTGATCTCCGCTCACTGCAAGCTCCGCTTCCCGGGTTCACGCCATTCTCCTGCCTCAGCCTCCCGAGTAGCTGGGACTACAGGCGCCCGCCACCGCGCCTGGCTAATTTTTTGTATTTTTAGTAGAGATGGGGTTTCACCATGTTAGCCAGGATGGTCTCGATCTCCTGACCTCGTGATCCGCCAGCCTCGGCCTCCCAAAGTGCTGGGATTACAGGCGTGAGCCACCGCGCCCGGCCAGAAGGGTTTTCATTGGTCTCAGGCAGTCCTCACTTTTAGGTGTTGGAGGTGGTAAGCAGGGGGCGGATCAGGCTTTTTGGACCCTGACTGGTATACAAATTGTGATGGGTAGGGGTCCTTTTAAAGAACAAGAACACGAAATTCCCAATAGGGACTTTAGGACGGAGCGTCGGGAGAGTAGCCAGGGGGACTGTGGAGGTTCAGTTGCATTCTCTCTAGGGAGGGTTTGCCTTTGGGAAGAATAGAAACAGGCAGCTCCCAGTGGCCAAACTTTGTGTCTGGCTCTTTCCCTAAGGATCTGGGGGCTTGGGCTTCACTCAAAGTTTCCTTTTCCTTCCTGCATCAGCACAAATGCCTTTCATATGGACAAGGTGGTGCTCACTCTTGAGGAAAGTAAGCATTCATTTCAGGTAGCATTGTCTTTACTGCAATGGATTTTTTTTTTTTAATTTGGAGATGGACCTTGAATCTCCTTTGATCTAATTAGTCCATGTGCATTGGTGATCTGTGATACAGACAAAGCTGCACGGTGGACACGCTCAGAGGGCAGCACAGGGCGTGCAGGGCATTCCTCAGCATGCTCAGCTGCAAGGCCGCCGTGATAGACATGCAGGCAATGTCTGCTGGTTTCGTGAAAGGAAGATTGAATGTGATTTGGAATGCAGAGCGTGGTATTGTACAATTTGCAATAGAAGTGGGAAATTTAATGACTGTTGCTAGTAGATTATTGCCATTGAGATTATGAGAAAGAGGCATATAAACATTGATGCAGGCTTTGGATAAGAGAAAAAGAATTTTCACTGTGGACCACAGTGATAACTTGAATAATGCCTTTTAAAAATGACATTTTGTGATTGACTCTAAAAGGTCAAATGATGAATATTGAGTCAGAGGGGGAAGGTGCGGCCACAGGCTTGATCAGGTTCCATGGATAGCAAAATTTCTTCACTTTATACCTGACAGACGAAAAGGACAGTCGCTTGGGTTCCCAGGAGGGCCTGGCCTGGGGTGGTGGGGATGCTGGTGCAGGCTCAGAGCTGTCCACCCTGAGCCTGTCGGGTGCATCTCTGAGACTACCTGGGTATACATGTGGTTGTTTGCAGGAAGCACAACCACAGAGAACAGGTGTCTGTGTGTGTGTGTGTGTGCACATCTTAGGCAGGCACAGATGAGTCGTGTAGCTTCATATTGAAACGTGAAAGGAAAATAAATCTTGGGGCCCCCAAATTACCAAGCTAAAGGGAAAAGTCAAGCTGGGAACTGCTTAGGGCCAACCTGCGTCCCATTCTATTCAAAATCACCACTCAGCTCACTGAGATAAGTGCATCTCTGTATGCCTCCTTTGGAGAGGCTCATCAGGAACTGGAAAGAATGCAACCATTCCTCTCTCATCTACCTTTGACCTGGAAGCCCCTCCTGCTTCCAGTCTTCCCAACTTGGCTTTGGGTTGTCCCTCGTTTCCAGACCAAACCAAGGTTCATCTTGCATATGTTGATTGATTACCAAGCTAAAGGGAAAAGTCAAGCTGGGAATGGCTTAGGGCCAACCTGCCTCCCATTCTATTCAAAATCACCTCTGTGCTCACTGAGTTAAGTGCATGTCTGATTGCCTCCTTTGGAGAGGCTCATCAGGAACTCAAAGAATGCAACCATTCCTCTCTTATCTACCATGACCTGGAAGCCCCCTCCTGCTTCCAGTCTTCCCACCTTGGCTTTGAATGTATAGAATGTGTAAAACCAAACTGCTCTGACCACCCTGGGCACATGTCACCAGGACCTCCTGAGGCTGTGTCGCAGCCATGCATCCTCAAGCTTGGCAAAATACATTTTCTAAATTAACTGAGACCTCTCTCTGATTTTCGGGGCTCACGAAAGGGTGTAGGCTGGCTCTGCTGGGTCGCATTCCACATGGAGAAACTCTCACCTGTCACTCCTGTGGGATTTGCTGTTGAGAGGAGGGTGTGCCCCCGAGAGAGTAGCTGGACCTTTGCAGCGAAAGGCAGAGTGAGGAGCTATGGGTGGTTTTCACAGGGTTTGCTATGGGTGTCTCAGCATCCGTGAGTGTCACCCACCAAAGCCCGGAAGCGTTTCCCATCCCTACAGATGTTTAGGGGACATTTCCCTGGCTCAGTCAAGGGTTGCTGGAGGTGTGGCCATCCTCACCGGGCGGCTGGGTGGCCTGTGCTCCTCCAGATCCTTCTCAGCTTTCTCTCTCCTTTGTTTTTCTGGATTGCAGGCCAGCATGGCCCATGGTCTTCTCTTCATCTGGGCGCCTTGGATGGTGGGACAGGAGCTTGTCTCGCCAGATGTCACTGTTTCCAGGGTTCTGTCACTTGGCTCTTGATGAGGCTAGATTTTTTTGGCCCCTGCTGGGGCTTTAAGTCCTAGAGACTCCGGGCATGATGTGAAGCCTGGAATGGGCTCACTGGAAAAGACCCATCCACTGTCCTAAACAGTCATGAAGGTTAGCAGCATTGCTTACTGTCAATTGCAGGCAACGCATGGCACTGAGCGTCTTACACTCCTGCCCACCTGCCTGCCCAGGCCTTTTCCCTCTCCTCCCTCCCTCCTTCCTCCCCCTCTCACCTTTCCTCTGTCCCTTCGTAAAGTCAACCCATGTTTAGAGCGGCTTGGAATTGAAAGGAAAATGACTGATGAGTTGTGTGCCAGGCACTGTATCGGGGCCTTCCCTGTGGTCATCTCATCTAATCTAGGGCTCCCATGAACTAGGTAGCCCTGTCTCTGCCTGAGGGGCACACGCAGCTGTGAGGCTGGACTAGGCTCAGGAAGGAAAGAGCTGAACCCCATCAGGCAAGGTTTCCGGGCTTCTGGAGCTTTGGGGGCCTGTGAGGGAGACGGACTTTCTCAAACAGATGTGATTGGCACACACAGTGGCAGCAGAAGGGCCCGGAGGGAGGTGTGGGGTTGAAGGCCATGCAGGAGGATTGTGGGGGTCCAGCAGTCATCAGGGAGGACTTTCAGGGGACCCGAGGCCCCATGAGCCCAGGAGAGCTCCCATGGGAGGGAGGAGCACTTCCTCCTTGCAAAGCCCCAGCATGGGAGAGAGCAGGGGCCTTCAAGGGCCTGATGGTGACTCCTGGGCAGGCGAGGACACCAACAGCAAAGGGCACCCCCCAGGCCAGCCTTGGCAGGAAGTGACTCCGCGGCAGGGAAGAGACATGATCGTTCTCATGTCTTGAAAAGACGATGTGGGCTGGGTGCGGTGGCTCATGCCTGTAATCCCAGCACTTTGGGAGGCCGAGGCGGGTGGATCACCTGAGGTCAGGGGTTCGAGACCAAGCTGCCCAACATGGTGAAACCCTGTCTCTACTAACAATACAAAAAAAAAATTAGCTGGGCATCGTGGTGGGCACCTGTAATTCCAGCTACTTGGGAGGCGGAGGCAGGAGAATTGCTTGAACCCGGGAGGCAGAGGTTGCAGTGAGCTGAGATCAGGCCATTGCACTCTAGCCTGGGTGACGGAGCAAGACTCTGTCTCAAAAAAAAAAAAAAAAAGAAAAAAGAAAAGACGATGTAGCTCAAGGGGAGAGGACAGGAGGGGGGGCCTCGTCTCATCTTCACCAGTGAACTCTAGAAGCATCGCTGCCCCATTTTACAGGTGAGGAAACCGAGCAGGATCCAGGAGAGGATGCGACTCGGCCGGGGTCACGTGGCTCTGCCTGGGGTTTCAGAGTCAGGTGAAGGAGCCCCACCGGTGCTCAGATCAATCTGAGTTCTCCTGTTCCTGAGGCCAGTGGGCCCGGGGGGAGGCAGGAGCCGGGAGCCCCTGCCTCCCTCCGCTTCCATCTCCCACAGCCTGCTGGGTTTCCTCAGACTTTCCTCCCTCCAGAGCCCTGTTTTGGGGAGTGGCTGAAGCTCCCCACATGCGGAATGAAATCCAGAGCTCAGGATGGCCCCTGAGCCCCCTGCTCTGGTCACCTGGCCTTTTTCCCTCCCAAGTCGGTGGCTCTCCCGGCTCAGGAGGCACCTGCCACTGGCTCCTTTCCATTCTCCAGGCCTCTGCCTGGGGCCTGGGCAGTCACTGTGCCCTCCTCCGGGCACCTTTTGACCAGATGTCCTCAGGGCTCATCCCTGCTTCCTTGAGATCTGCGCTGAGACCTGACCTCAGAGGCCCATGCCTGCCTCTGTGTTTATCCTTCTGCCATGGGCACTGTCCTCTCCAACACTGACTTTGCACCCTCAAGCTTTCTGTTAGCTTGTCCCTGGTCTGCTCCCCAGACGAGAACCTGAGCCAGATGGGCAGGGCCGTCTGCTGGACAGTGCCTGCGTCTGGGAGGGTTCCAAAAACGTCATTAAGCAGCCAAGTTTGTGGACATGACTGTGGGCATCAGTGTGCTCGCCAGGAGGTGGGGAGCGGCCCTCTCTTGTGGCTCATGTCTAGGCCAGGCCACTATCTCCCCGGCGCAGGCCTGCGGGAGATTTCCTGGCTGTCCATCTGGGCAGCTGCAGTGACCGCTCCGGTTGTTAGAGCTTTGGGGTGGGCGTGCACTGTCAGGAATCTTCAGTGTCCAGGGGCTGGGTTCACATAATGAACTCACATCTCCTTTGTAAGTTCCAGAACCTCGCCAATCCACCTTCCAGCTTTAAGCCCTCTGTGACCTCCATGGTCACCATTCACTCGTGGGGTGGAGGAGCAGACAGTTCTGAGTGTGGCCCCGCCCTCCCAAGCCCGGTCTCTGCTCTTCCTCACAGCTCCTAGCTCAGTGGTGATGTTGTTTTCCTCAGTCCCCACCAATGCCTTGATTCTGTAATCTCAAACTCTCGTCTCGCTTAGGATAGCAGTTCTGCAAGGACAGGCATGATCGCGTCTTGCTATGTCATATTGACATGACAACTCAACAGCAGCTACATATGATGAGAAATGTTTTTCTGAGCATTTCTGTCTTAGCTTTTCCTTCTCCAATACTGCGCATATTCATTCTGGAGTTTGTAGGGAATCCTGGTCCAGTGGCTATTTCCTGGGAGAGTGTCTGGGTTTTGAGGAATAAAGTCATCAGTGTGGACACATTTATCCGCGATCCACTGAAGACCTGTCTACCGTCCCGGACAGTCATGGAAGGAAGCAGCATGCACTTACTTGGGAAGATTCAGGAACAGAACCCACCCTGGCAGGTGGTGTAGAGAAAAGCATATTTGGTATCTTGATGAGGCATTTAATCATCTTAATTTCATAACCAAGATAGACTCAGCAAAGCAGGAGAATCCCTGAAAATTGTCAGCTGGCTGATTGCATCGCTGTCTAAATGCATCTCCAAAGAGAGAGACATGGGCTGAGAATAATTTCCTGTGCTCTGTTACTGCCAAGGGATATGACGAGGCAGGTGAGAGGTGAGTGTAAATTGCGTGTGTGTTGAACATAATGAAGTGGTTTGAAAACAGCTGCCTGATGATAAACAGCGGAGTTTTGCTTAATGCATTAAAGAACCTCTTCACAAAACTTTTGTTGTTGTGCAAACAAATAGGCTTCTGTCCTCCTCTCAAGGTCAATGAAGCCTTGGGCTGCTGGTTGGGAATAGAATCTGCCTGCTGTAGCTTTCGTGATGTAAACACATATATTCTAGGGCAAAGGGTTAATCTTTTTAGCAACAGATGGACGCTCTGGACTGTACTTAGAGGGATGTTGCTGGATTCCCCCCATGGTAACCCCATATCAGGAGGACCCTTGGAAGTTGAGGAAGCTGTGGACCCTTTTAATTCATGAAAGCCACACATTGAATAGATCTTTCAGGAGGAGAATGCTGTCTAGCAGCCACCCAATTAACATGTATGTGTTAAGCACCTGCTGCATACACAGTATGGGCCTTGGAGCAGGATCCTGCCTGAGGAGTTTCTGTGTGTGTGGTGGAGGCAGGCATGTCTCAGATTCTGATAGAAAGTGAGTCTGGGGGAGGCAAAGGGATCTTCTGAGCCAACCTGGGGGTGCGTGCACGTTGTCATGCCCAGGCGTCCACGTCCAGACCTTGTGCTGGATCTCCAGTTCCAGAGAGCCTACTGCCATCTGCCCCACCAGCTGATGCTGGCACAGGGGGAAAGGCTGGGCTCCTGGTGCTCATTGGAAGTTACTTTAAAACCATCCATTCTTCCTTTTTAAAGATAATTTTTAATTTTTTTATTTCAGTAGTTTTTGGGGTATAGATGGGTGTTGGTTACGTGGGTAAGTTTTGAGGGGTGATTTCTGGAACCTGAGGGAACCCGTCCATTGTTTCTTAATGATGGAAACTGCTGCTTGCCTTTTCCCCCTCTCTCCCTCTCTGATCTGGTTCCTTAATCAGGACATTTACGTTACCAGGTATTCACAGCAATCTGTTCTCCTGGGTAGTGTCATTAATCTCTAGTTATAATAAAATGAATATTCAAATTATTGTGCAACAAATTACATGAAATCACAATAATAACAACGCATTAGTATCCCTAAACTGACGTACAAAGCTAAGTGAATTTTCTCCGTTCTTAGTGAGAGTACCACACTCTCGCCTTGTACCTGTCCATTTTGCTGAGGCAGGGAGAGTGATGTCCATGCTTGTAGACCTCCGGTGACTCGATTAGACATTCTGTCCAGTGTGTGGAGAGCAGGGCTGCTTGTTCATACCCATGCGGTGGGGCCCAGTGACATTTTGAGCTTACATCATCAGGGTCCTCCGTGGACATATGCCAAAGCTGCACCTCTTAGCTCCTTAGCTCTGTGGGAGGAGGCCCGGCTGCCAGGCACTGTGTCATGGGGTGGAGGGACAGGGTGAACCTTGGCTGCATCCCTTCAATGCTGAGAGCAGGGCAATGTGGGCACCTTTGAGTATGGATCAGGAGTCAGTGGCCCGAGATCAGGATCAGGAGTCAGCATCAGTCATATAATGTGGGGCCTAGGGGTCTTCCAGGTCTGTGCCCACAGCCTTAGGCTCCATTCTGAGATCTCGAGCCTGCCTGACTCCACCTGATGTGACAATCCAAACTGCAGAACTGGGATTGTGGATGGAGGCAGGCAGACTGGATGGGGCCATTTCCACATTTTTTATAGCTGCTAAGCGAAGCGGTGATGCCAAGGGACGGTGTCACACGGCCTGGGCTTAGCTCAGCTGGAAAAGCACAAGGGCAATGTGAGGGGTCAGGTGGGTCCTCCCCTCCTGGGGCCTGGGAGGAAGCTTGGGGAAAGTTGACGTCTGTGAGTACCTGTGCAGAGCCAGATCATGAACAAGCCATGCAGCAGCAATGCCTCGCGCTGGGGGAGCTGGGCCCTAAGGGGGTTTTAACGAAACAACCGGAGTGAAAGAAGCCCTTTGCAAAGCAGTCTTGGTGCACAGACCTGTGATGTCAGCAGAGGAGGGGCACGCAGATGAAATGAAAGGGATGTGCCTGGGAAAGTCACCTTCACACTTCCTTCAAGGATGGAGAGGCAGAAAGAGTCCTAAAGCCAAGACTCATACGTCGGCTGATCTCAGTTTTCATGGCCATAGGATGCTGAGCAAAACTGAACAAGTGCAGCTGGGAATGGCGTTGGCCCTGGCTGCCTTGAGCAGGTGCCGCTCTGGAGGACAGCGGCTGTGCAGGCACCATCCGCCACCCAAAGGCTGCGTTCTGCTTGCTAAATCTCATTTTGAAGAAACAGAATGATCGTTTTAGAATATGAAAATGTGGATATTTTCTGAAATGTAGTTTACGAGAATCTTTCCTTTCCCATGTCTATGGGATCAATGACCATGAGTTGTGTGCAAGACAGCAGAGCAGGAAAAGGAAGGACACTTTCCTCCTGGGCGCTGAGCAGACATTCGACGGCGGTGGTGCTTCCATCACACGCCCAGGCCCCGTTCCTCTCTCAACCAAACAGAAGAGAAGAAAACAGACCTGAGCAAGCAGTTTCATTTCTCCTGTGACATGTTCCCTGACAAATTATTTTCTTTCAATTTGGGAAGCTTTTCACGGGGGAATAGTTTCTCTCTCACTCCTGACTTTCACTTTGAGTAAATCCTGTTATTTCCATATTTCCTAGAGAAGTGGGGCTTCCCGGCATCCACTTGCCAGCACTCACCAGAGCTCCGTTTGGCTCCAAGAGCCTTTTTGGAAGCCCAGAGCCTGGCCCTGGGGCTTCCTGGAAGCACTCAGAGTGACCTCTGGAGACCTTGGGCCAGTGCCACCCACTGCGAAGATGGGGTAGGTGTGGGCAGCGTCTCCTCTGGGGGAAATGACGCCCTCCGCCCTGGAGCCTCCTCTCGGCAAATGAGGGAGCCTCGGTCAGCCCAGGGGCCTGGATGGAGGCGGGAAAGCTGAGGCCCACCATTGGGGTCAGCCCCCACCACTGCGTTTCACTTTGAGAGTCACCTTTTAAATGACAATTCCCAAAGCCTCATTCCTCAGAAACTTTTCCTTGGCGTTTTGTGGCAGAGATTCAGGCTCCACATTGAGTTTGTGGCAGCAAAGCCCGGGGCTTTGGCCAAGGGACTCTCCAGGAGGCAGGCGAGTGCTTTGGGAACCGGGTTCCTGGTGACTCCAGACCCACGGAGGAGGCCAGCTGGATGTGCCCGAGCCCCCAAAAGACACTGCCCGAGAATCACCACTGTGTGTGGTCACTGCTGGGGCCTCCATTCTGGCCATCCAGGCTATGTCCTGACAACCATGGGGGTCCCAGGCTGTCTACACGGGCAGCCCCTGGGAGTCCAGGACCCATTGCCATGGGGCAGGGACCCGACCTAGGCCAGGGTAATGGAAGGGATGCGGGGAGTGGAAGGTGGCGCTGCCTGAGTGAGGCGCCCCGGGCCTGAGGGTGAGGTCGGGCCCACTCCACTGTGGACCCCAACTCCCTGCTGCTCTGTCTGAAGAACAGTCTCCAAAGCCTCACTCCATGGACAGACCCTCCCCATCAGCAAAGGCGCCAGATCACCCTCAAATGACAGGGAAGCTACAGAGCTCCCGGCTGGGCACCTTGTCCATTTGGTCCTCTAAACAACACTCTCCCCACCCCACAGATGCAGAAACCGGGGTGAGGAGCCTCTGTGACCTCTAGGTCCCGTGGAAGCTGGTGTGTTGAGCCTGCTGAGGTGACGGCTCATGCCTCCACATCCCGGCAGGGTGGGCAGCACTGAGGGCCTGAGCTTCCCTGCTGTGGGGAGATTGCCAAGGGCTCTACCCCCATCCACGCTGGACGGCACAGTTCACAGACCAGGCTGTGGTGTGGGAGGATCAGGAAGGGTTGCCAAGGGTCATCTCTCCCACTGGCCAGGTGAGGCTCCACACAGACACTTCCTGAGCACTGGGGTCCCCAGGCACAGGGCTGGTAGGGAGGAAAGAATGGTGGGGGCCCTTGGGGACTCCACCACCCAGCAAGAGCCAGATACTCAAACACCTAACATGGCAAGGAGATGAAAGGGGCCCGTGGAGCTTGGACCATGATCCAGCCCAGTTTGTAGGATTATTTATTTGGCACATTCAAAACTTGCAACTATAGCAGGCATTGGATGCCTTTCAGAAAACAACCAGAACAACAAACACCAGAAATTGCAAATGCTGGCCACCTCATCCAACAGCAGTTCAAACGCACGTGTCCTGAATCTGCAGGGCGCCTCAGTCAGATATGCAAACACCTGGCGCTGGTCTTCCACAAGGAGCATAGTTAATTCCTGATGGATTTCCTGATTCTTGCAAGCTGTGTGTGGAGCTGTGTGTGGAGGCGCAAGACACGGTGTTCTCAGAGGACACGGAGGGAAGGACCTGTGCTGTTGACGGAGTCCCTGCACCAGCTCATTCCGCCGCTGCCCACCGTGTTGTCAGAGCCCCGTGTGCCTGCTGTGGACCCAGGCTTATCTCCCTGTGAAGCTTGCTGGGCCTGTCTTCTGTGCCTGAAGTCACTGTCCTGGTCAAAGAGTCATTTCTGCAGAAATGGTTACCCATTATTTCTGGTACAGTTGGTAGCTACAGCGCCTGAAGGATTTCCACTGGAGCTGAAATCAGTTGCTAAACAAGCATAATAAACTAATGGTTGTTTGTTTTCTTGAATGGGTTGCTCAGCACAGACAGCATGGCAGCTGGTGTTTGTCAGATTCAGTCTCCGGTCACAGGGACCCTCACCAGCCATCCTGGGCTTTGCCTAAAACCCTCTGCCCTCGGGGAGGCCTCCAGGCCTTCCCTCCACATGGGCATTCTCAGAGGCAGATCTGTCCTGGCCTTCCTCCTGATCTCTGGTGAAGATGCAGAAGGCAAATGCTTAGCATTTTATCTGTTCTGCATCCCACCGGCGGGCATAATTCCCAGCTTAGTCTTTGACAAGTCTTCCAAGCCTCAGGTCCCAGAGCCCATGACGCCAGCACGCTCCTTTTGGGTGAGCATCCCTTGGGCAGAGTGGTCAGATGCCTGGGCCAGGCAGGGAGGGTCTGGCTGGGGTCAGCAGGCCTCTCCAGCCACGTGCCTTCTGTGGGCACCTCCTCTGCAGAGTGCAGGGAGAGACGGAAGTCCTCTGGACTGAGGCTGGCTCCTACCTAGGGTTTGCCCAGAGAGGAAGAGAAAACCTGGAGAGCCGCCCAGCTGCGTGTGGGTGTGCTGAGCCGGCACAGTGGGGCTTGGCTCACTAGGCCTGATATTCTGGAGCCACCTGCCACTGCACCGGGCTCCCACCCTACTGTCCCTCTTCTTCACTGAGTCCCGGGAAAAGCCAAATCCAGCTGCTGGTTGGGTGCCAGGTTCTGGAGGCAGGTTCTGGAGGCAGGTTCTGGAAGCATCTCAACAGCTGGTCTGCCTCTGAGCAGAGAAGGCGGTGGCAGGGCTGCCCTCCTGGTATTGCTGAGGCCAGTGGGGTCTTCAGGAAGTCACGATGTGGAGCCCAGCCAAATGCCTCAGTGCACTCGGCCCCAGGGTGGGACCTAGTGAGGCCCAGGAGAGTCTCTGGGAAGCCCTGTTCCTCTCAGATGCGTCAGATGGATGAGGCACGACTTCAGCCAGTGTGGGGAGGGGGCCTGGCCCCAGCCTGGCAGGGTGGGATTCAGGCCAGATACACTGGAACAGGAACGTCGGCACCATCATCACCGCGGGCCTTTGTGCAGGTTCGACAAACCTCGCCAAGCCTGATATCTCCCACGACACACAGGGACAATGGACATTTGCCTGCATGTGGATATTAAAGGAAGTGTTTGAAAAAAAACATGCAACCAAAACTCTTTTGCAAGTTTGATAATCAGAGAAGAAGGTAGGAGTGGCAATAACAATGCAAACGCCAGCAACGGCAGCAGCCATGCGGGGCTGGGCATCAAGCACATGTGGGTTTTCTGGAGATGTTGGCTCCGCACCCTCTCCTCAACCTGCCCTCAAGGGAAGCACATGGTTAATTACTGTTTTGCTTAAAATATTGATTTTTATAAGCCATCCTTGTGGGATAGCATTTCTGGCTTATCTCTGAGCTGGCTTAGCAGTTTTCTTTGGCTGGACCTGTCTTATCTCACTGTTTATTTACTCAACTACGGGATTCCCTGTGGTCCTTTGGGGAAAGTTAGTTATGGTATTTATCCGTCCATGCAGTGTATTGAGTGCCTGCTGCTCTTCAAACTCAGCTCAGGAGGCGTCTCCGAGGGGAGCAGCTAGCGTCCCCAGGCTCTGGCTGGCTTTGCGCCCTTCCTGGCTTGTATCCTCAGGCAACTCCTACCCAAAGGCACTCTTCTGTTTGCCTGGGTGCCCACGTTATATCATCTTTCCAGTCCCAGAGCCAGGTGCCATCTGGCTTCATAAATGTCTGACTGTGGGGTGCAGAGAAGGACATAGGAAGGAAAACACAAAGCAACCCACACCTCTTCTTCCCAACACTGGGCTCCTTGTGTTACCGTTGCATGTTTATCAGTAAACGGATTTGGATATCCTCCTGAAGTGCGCTCCTCTTGCCTTTGTGATGTGCACGTGGGGTTGCCGTGCTCCGTGGGCTCTCTGTGGGTTGCGGGTTTGGTGCGAGGCTTCACCTGCCCAGTAGGCACAGGCACACTTCTCTTTATTGTGCGTCCCTTTCTTGTGCCTTGCTGATAGTGTGTTTTTACAAGTTGAAGGTTTGTGGCAACCCCAGGTGGGAACAAGTCTGTGGGTGCCGTTTTCCCAGCAGCGTGTGCTCACTTCATGTCTCTGTTACATTCTGGGAACTCTCAGTGTTTCAAAGTTTTTAAGTATTGTTACGTCTGTTGTGGTGATCTATGATCAGTGATAATCGATGCTACTATTGTGATTGTTTTGGGGAGCCACAAACTTCACCTGTATAAGATGGGGAGGTTAATCTATCAATGTCCTGTGTGTTCTAACTGCTCCACCAACCAGCCTTTCCCCATCCTTCTCCCTCTCCTTGGGCCTCCCTCTTCCCTGAGACATAGCAATATTGAAATTAGATCAATTGAGGCTGGGCTCAGTAGCTCATGCCTATAATCCCAGCACTTTGGGAGGTTGAGACGGGCAGATCACTTGAGGTCAGGAGTTTGAGAGCAGCCTAGCCAACATGGCAAAACCCTGTCTCTACTGAAAATACAAAAATGAGCCAGGCATGGTGGCAGGCACCTGTTATCCCAGCTACTCGGGAGTCTGAGGCAGGAGAATCACTTGAACCTGGGAGGCGGAGGTTGCAGTGAGCCGAGATCATGCCACTGCACTCCAACTTGGGTGACAGAGTGAGACTCCATATGAAAAAACAAACAAACAAACAAATAGAAATTGTATCAATTAATCCCTTACAATGGCGACTACATTTTCAAATGAAAAGAAGAGTGGCATGTTTCACTTTAAATCAAAAGCTAGCAATAATTAAGCTGAGTGAAGAAGGCGTGTTGAAAGCTATTATAGGCTGAAAACTAGGTGTCATGCACCAACAAGTTAGCTGAGTTGTGAATGCTAAGGAAAAGTTTTTGAAGGAAATCAAAAGTGCTACTCCAGTGAACAACAACAATAAAAAGATAAAGTGAAACAGCCTCACTGCTGATGTGGGGAAAATTTTAATGGTGTGGATGGAAGATCAAACCAGGCACAACATTCCATTAAGCCAAAGCCTAATCCAGAGCAAGCTCCTAACTGTCTTCAACTCTGTGAAGGCTGAGAGAGGTGAGGAAGCAGCAGAAGAAAAGTTTGAAGCTAACAGAGGTGATGCATGAGGTTTAAGGACAGAAACTGTCTCCATAACATAAAAGTGTAAGGTGAAGCAGCAAGTGCTGATGAAGAAGCTGCACCCAGTTATCCAGAAGACCTAGCTAAGAGCGTCGATGAAGGTGGCTACACTACAGAAGAGATTTGCAATGCAGATGAAACAGCCATCTATTGGAAGAAGATGCCGTCTAGGACTTTTATAGCTATAGAGGAGAAGTCAGTGATGGGCTTCAAAACTTCAAAGGACTGATGACTATCTGGTTAGGGGCCAGTGCAGCTTGTGACTTTAAGTTGAAGGCAAGACTAATTTACAATTCAAAAAATCCTAAGGCCCTCAAGAACGATGCTAAATCTACTCTGCCTGTGTGCTATAAATGGAACAGCAAAGCCTGGGTGACAGCACATCTGTTTCTAGCATGGTTTGCTGAGTATTTAAAGCCCATTATTGAGACCTACTGTTCAGAAAAAATAAAAATAAAAAAGATTCCTATCAAAATATTATGAATGGCAGCAGCAGTCCATCTAGAGTGGCTGCTTCCAAGATGCCAGCTGCAGCAGGGAGGTGCAGCTGGGTCTTCCACTCCACAGAGCAGGCAGGAGCCCAGCCCTCCCTGGGCACCACTGCAGCTGCTCAAGGCCGGCTATGGAGCAGGGCATTCCCGTGGTCTTAGGGGACTGGGAATCCCTCCCTGCCCCCCACAGGCTCAGAAGTGACTGCTCCCACTGCTGAGCCTGGCACTCCTGGCAGCTGGGCCCAGGGCCTGCAATTCGCTCCCAGAGGAGCCAACCCTGGCAGGGTTGTGAGCTGGGCAAAGGGGAGCCCTGGACCACCCCTGAGCACTAGGGCCCCCGGGGAACTTGTGGCAACATCACCCTTGCCCTCGACTCTGGCACGGGCCTGGCAAGGCCCTGGAGCCCCCACCGAAGTCTGCAAGGAGGTGGACAGGGCAGCAGGACTGGTGGTGGGAGCAGCAGTGGGGTTCCCTGTGCCCCATGTCCCCAAGGCAGCCAACTGTGCCACCTCCACCCTTGCATGGCTGGGCAGGACCTGCTCCGAGGCTTGGAGCCTCTGCCACAGCTTCAACCTCACACTCTGCCATGTCCTGGGAGCCCATAAGCACCCGGCCAAAGTTGCAGCCAGGACTCATGGGACCAGCCCCAGGAACATCGGGTTCACTTGTGCAAGGGCCACCACTGCGGCAGAGGGAGACGCAGAGAAGGGCACAGCCAGGTCTGCTCACTTTGCAGAGCTGGGACAGGCAGGAGCCATGACCCCCCTCAAGTTGGCAGTGTGGGAGCTGCCGAGGCTCAGTTGCAGCCACCCAGGTTGCAGCTGTGGGCCTGGGCCTCCCGATGCTCTCAGGGCTTAGGCTTGGGGGTATCTGCTCCTGCTGCCTGGCCTCTCCCTGCTTCCAGTGCTTACTCCGATCCTAGAGTAGGGTTGGGGCCAAGCCTGGGTGCTGTTGCAGTCCAGCCAGGTGTGTGCACACTCAGGGCAGTGCTCATGTGCAGTGCCCTGCTGCCTCAGATTCTCTGGACTTTGGGCACCAATGAGCGCAGGTGGGAGGCTGAGACGGGGCTGGTGGCAACTCAGCACTGGCCTGCGGGTACCCCTGGGTGCAAGCGGCCTGGGCATGATGAGTGGTGGCAGGAGGCAGACGGGCTCCTGGGTGTGAAGGAGTGGGTTCCAGATGAGGATGCACCTTCAGGCCAGGGAGGACCTGAAGGCTGGGGGCCGGTTGCCAGTCCTCTGGACTGGAGTAGGGACTTGTGCCTTTTCCAGGCCCTCTCATGGCCACCCATGGACCAATTGGAAGGCACTTCCTCCCCTCTGAGGCCCATAAAAGCCATAAAAGACTCAGCCAGAGCAGAGCAGAGGACAGAGAGGTGCCAGGATGACCAGCTGCAGAGAGGAGTTATCAGCTGCAGAGAGCAGCAGATGTAGGGACGACCAGCCACAGAGAGGAGCTACCCTCTCCAAGGCCTCCTCTCTGCTGAGAACTACAGATGTCCAGTTGACCAGCTGCAGCAGAAGCTACCCTCTCTGCTGAGAGCTGAACACTCATCAGGATGACCTGCCTGCAGAGAGGAGCCACCCATTCCAGGGCCTCCTCTCTGCTGAGAGCCTCTGAGCTGTTCTAACACTTAATAAAGCTCCTCTTTGTCTTGCTCACCCTCCACTTGTCTGTGTACCTCATTCTTTCTGGACTCAAGAAGTCAGACCAAGGTGCCACTGGCCACAGAGGTTTCCAGCCAGAAAAGCAACACCCCAAAGATCTCGTAACATTTTTACTCATTGACAACGCACCTGGTCACATGGGGATGAGATGAATTGTTTTCGTGCCTGCTAACACAACATCCATTCTGCAGCCGTGAACATTCATAATTCATAGGAAGAGGACAAAATATCAACATTAACAGGAGTTTGAAAGAAGCTGATTTCAACTCTCATGAATGATTTCAGGGGTTTCAAGACGTCTTTGGAGGAAGTAACTGCTGATGTGGTGGAAACAGCAAGAGAACTAGAAGTGGAAGTGGAGCTTGAAGATGTGACTGAATTGCTGAAATCTCAAATACAACTTTAACGCATAAGGAGTTACTTCTTACGAGTGAACATAGAAAGTGGTTTCTTGAGATGGAATCTACTCCTGGTGAAGATGTTGTAAACATTGTTGAAATAATAACAAAGGATTTAGAATATTACATAGACTGAGTTGATAAAGCAGCAGCAGGGTTTGAGGGGATTGACTCCAATTTTGAAAGTTCTACTGCGGCTAAAATGCTGTCAAACAGCATTGCATGCTACAGAGACATCTTTCCTGAAAGGAAGAGTCCATCAATGTAGCAAGCGTTGCTGTTGTCTTCTTTTGTGAAATTGGCACAGCCACCCCAGCCTTCAGCAACCACCATCCTGATCAGTCAGCGGCCATCAACATCGAGGCAAGACCCTCCACTGGCAAAAGAGTTACAGTTTGCTGAAGGCTCAGATGATCTCTAATATTTTTTAGCAATAAACTATTTTTAAATTTAGGGATGTACATTTTTTAGACATAATACTATTGCACATTTAACAGACTACACTATAGTGTAAACATAACTTTTGTATGCATTGGAAAACCAAAAAATTCACTTGACTCTCTTTATCGCAATATTTGCGTTATTGTGGTGGTCTGGTACTGAACCCACGTTATCTCTGAGGTTTGCTGGTACTCAATTCCGATGGTTATCATGACTGAACTTCACCCTTCACAAGGGCCTGGAGCTGGGCAGAAGTTTTATGATAATACCAGGACCTCTTCTTTCGATCTCATCTACCAATGATGTAAATCATTCTGTTGATATGATTAACTTTCTGTCTTCACTGATATCATTCAGCTGACTTTGTGAATGAATCAGAGTGTTAAAATTTCATATGATCTCAGAGCAGGTTAAAAAGTATATTTTCAAGTTTATTTTTCTTAAAGAGACAGATAAGAAAGTTTCCTTATTTATTTTTCTGTTTAGTTGACCCATGATTTTTTGCAACAAAATCACATGGTGGTAAACACATTTTCTCACTTCCATATACAAACCACTCTCACCTTAGTATCTGTTCCTTGTAAAACACCATCAGTCGCTTTTTCACTCATTATGAAAGGCCATCTTCATTTCAAACAACAGATTGAGTTCGTTAAAAAAAATGGACTCGGTGGCTTCTCACCAGGATTGTGAAGTTTGGTCCTGTCTTCTTAATTAAGGGCTCGGCTGGGACAGGCAAGAGTCTGAAGTCGGAGGACATGTCGACTCCCCGTTCTCTTTCCCTCACTGACCAGCACACAGGTCTAGAGCCAGAGTGATCTACACAGACGTGGGACCCTCACGCTGTCAGGGAGCCCTGAACAAAAGGCTCCTGCAGTTTTAGGGGCCCTGAAGTCATGGAGTTGGGAAAGGCTTGGAGCGGGAATTCCCTGGGAACTGAGTCAGAGCGTGGAGGTGGCTTTAAGCTCTTGCCCTCCCCCGCCAACACGGAGGTCTTAGCAGAGACACCTGGAGGACCTCTGCCCAAGGCCTCAGATAATGAGACCTGAGAATGAAGGTGTCCCCAAGATAGGGGTGCAGATGTGCTGGGAGCGTGACTGGCCCCAGGGCCCGAGCCTTTCCCTGCTGCTCCCTCAAGCCTGCCATGCCTGGCTAAGCAAGAGCCTGGTGTGGGGACGCAGCTTCCCCCTGAGACCTGCCCAGTGCAGCCTTCAGGTCAGGCCCAAAGTATCACACTCAGGCTTTGAACCAGGAGCCCGACTCCTCAGGTGCAAATCTGTATACTAAGTACCAAGCTGTATGGCTTCTCTGTATCTGTTTGCACCCGTATCACACCCTATAGAGATCCAACCTTTCCTTCCTGTGGGTGGGTGGTCTTCGACAGCCCCTTCCCGACCCAGGAGCCCACAGCTTGGGCCTGACCACCAGCACTGCTGCACCTGTGCTCTGGCAGGGCTGCTAAGTGGCAAGGGCAGGGTGTGTTGCCCCAGTCCCTCTCTGCTGGGTAGGAGGAGCTTCAGGGATGAGAGTCAGAGCATCCCCGGCAGGAAGGTCAGCCTGGGCTGAGACCAGGGAGAAGCTTCTGGCTGGGCAGGACTTGGGCACAGGAAAGGGGTGTGGGGGGAGGGGGAGTGCAGGGGGATGTTATCAGTGGCTGAGGGGCTTTGCGTGTTTCAGCCCTCCCTCCGTCCCACCCACCCATTGCCCTTCTGGGGGCTCCCAGTGGTTCCTGGGGTTTGGAAAACTCCAGGTCATTCTGATACCATCTTTTCCTTCCTCAACTGGAAATAACTTCCCAGCAAGGACTTTAACTTTTGCGCTCACTCAGAGGCCCACTAAGCAGGTTAAATGAAACTACTAAGTGGTTAAATTCCAGTGGAAACAGCTGTGGAGAGGCAGCATGCAAACAGAGATCCTAAGGGGAGAAGCCATTGTTAATAAATTTGTGTAGGGCTTTCTAGTGCATCAAAACTTCTGGAAAATTCCCTCCTTACACTGACACATGCTTACACTGTTTGGACCCTGCAGTCTACTGCATAGCAATAAATACAGAAATGAACCTGTTTGCAGACGGTTGTTTATGTCGTCGTTATCTATCAGAACAGCACCTATTACGATGGAGGTGGGTAAAAATATGGCAAATGTATGGGGCACGTGCCTTCCTTGGAATACAAGGCTGTGGTTCATAGTGGGACTTTTGAAGGCCATGTAATGATAAAGGAAGTGTTCATTTTATAGCATCTCATGAAAAAGCCACAGATGTGGTGTGATTGTGATACGTTTCCAACACAGCCAGGCCAAACAACTGCAATATAACAAAAGATGGACAGTGTTCAGTGGGGGAGTTCAGGAGGGGCCTTTTTATCCGCATAATTACTTTATCTTATAAATTTTCTAAAGTGTGTTATTATTAAGATGATATATTTTGAACAGTGCTTAGTTTTTTCTGACTTCAAATCTGTCTATGGCAACAAGTAGATTCCATGACATACTTTTTAGAAAAGCCGACATCCAGAACACCGACATCACTAAATGCAGATTGAGGATGTGGAACAACAGGAACTCCCATTCACTGCTGGTGGGAATGCAAAATGGCATAGCCACCGTGGAAGACAGTCTGGCAGTTTCTTAAAAAGCAAAACACACTCTTACCATAAAATCCAACAATTGTGCTTCTAAACTGTGACACATCCTGATAATGGAGTATCATTCAACAATAAAAAGAAATGAGCTATCAAGTCATGAGAAGACATGGAGGAACCTTAAATGGATATTGCCAAGCGGAAGATGGCAGTCTGAAAGGGCTACATAGTATTTGGTTCCAACTGAATGGCCTTCTGGAAAAGGCAAAACTAGAGAGGCCATAGAAAGATCAGCGGCTGCCAGGGGCTAGGGGGAGGGAGGGATGAACAGGCGGAGGCCAGGGGAGTTTTAGGGCTGTGAAAATGCATTGTATGATACCACAGTGGTGGTACAATGGCTGTGAAAATGCTCTGTATGATCCTACAATGCCTCTGTCCAAACCCATAGGATGCACAGCACAAAGGGTGAACCCCAGTGAACACCGTGGCCATAGTTAATAAGGTGCCATTGTCAGCTCATGAACTGTAACAAACCCACCACGCTGATGCCAAATATTCACAATGAGGGGAGTGGAGGCATCCATTAGGGAACTCTCTCTACTTTCTACCCATTTTTTCTGTAAACCTAAAGCTGCTCTATAACAAATTATATTTAATTTAAAATAGCTGTATATGCTCATCATAGGCAATTCCAAAAGAAAGGAGAGAAAATCAGCCGTAATTCTGCCATCTAGATATGTTCATTATCACGACTTTCTTCTATTTTTTAACCACATCTGACATCATAGTGTTAAGTACCTCCTATATGCCTCCAAATGTCTAGCTCTAGCCTGGATGTCTTCCTTGAAATAGGGACTCTATAGGGTATGGCACTGAGCCCATCTGGAAGCGATGCTGTCCCCTGCGCGTCTGTTCCCATTCAAGCAGGCAGGATGAAGACATTCAGCTGAGACTCAGAGCTGGCCTCTGCACTGCTCCGCAGGCTCCGCTCCCTCCTGTGGCTCGCCTCGCTTGGAGTAAAAACCAAGTCATCCCCCGCCTATGTCTGCCGGCAAAGCCTGGCTGTCCCCTCACCCCCCACTTCCTCATCTCCCTGTATGCTGTGCCTCGAACACTGCACCTCATCCCTGATGATTTCCTTGCAGCTCCTGGAAGGCACCACACAGGCACTGGCCACGGGGCCTTCGCACGCCTGCTTCTTCTCTAGGGGTCAGCAGGGAGTCTCGCCTTGCCTCATGCAGACTTTTACCTATTTTTTCCTTCTCAGTGAGGACTTTCCTGGCCACCCCAGTCACAATTGAGGCCCACACACCAAGGCTAGATGCCCTCTCCCTGCTTTCCCACTATGCCCACCGGCCTGGAAAGTACAGAAAATCAACAAGAAGAATGAGCACCCTGCCTCTTCCCTACCTGGGAGGAACCTTCCCCGAAGGCCAGCCTTCCCAGTGTTTTGTTCACTGCTCTGTCCCAAAGAGCTACTGCTGGAAAATGCCTGGCACTTGTCAGCTAAATAAAGACTGGTTGACTGAATGACGATACATTGCAGGAACCTATATGATTTTTAGCCTGTTTTCTTTGCCTACTGTATCATGAGACCTCGCTCTGGCACTAACGATCTTCCCTGATGTAATCGTGCTGACCACTGACCGTCCTGTGCACAGCGCACCATCCTTCATGCAGCCGTCCTGCTTTTGCTGATATTTCTAGCTCCTCATTCTACACCTGTATCCTAAGGCACTGGGCATGTGGGTGGGTCACACGACAGGACGTGCCAGATCAAGAGTAGTGAATTATATCAAGGTTTTAGAAACATATTTCCAAATTGCTGTCCAGAGCTGGCCAGACTAAGTTTCCACCATCCATATAAAATGGCACCTACAAAATACTTCTTAGATACCACATTTATTTGGGAAACTGAGGAGTCTTTTAAAAGAAAAAATGTTTTACTGAAAAGGCAGAGGAAGAAGCAAACTTTCAGATGCGTCCATTGATGTCAGAAAAGATGCCTGATTCCAAGCTTGCAGTCTGACTCCTCTCAAGGAGCGACCCACGCTGAGCTGGGTGTGGGTGTCTCCTGCAGCAGCTGGTCTGGTGACCGGCCACTCCCTGCAGGGCCCAGCTGAGCCTGGTGCCCTCTGGAAACCTGTCCACCCTCTCCCTGCAGGGCCCGGCTGAGCCTGGTGCCCTCTGGAAACCTCTCCGCCCTCTCCCTGCAGGGCCCAGCTGAGCCTGGTGTCCTCTGGAAACCTCTCTCCACCCTGGCCCACAGCTGCCCCTTCTTCCAAACCACCCCCACTTTTTTATGTGGCACTCCTGGGCCTTCACCGGTTTCTGCTCCAAATCACTGAGTGCTGTTCATGGTCACTTCTGATTAGGTACTTAACACACTGGCACCAGGGACAAGCAGTTTCTCTTTAAGGCACCCGGGTCCTGGCTCGTCCCCTGGTGACTGTAAGCCTTGCAGCTCACTGGGCATCACACGGCTCTGTGTGTGCACTGGTTGCATGGCAGCGTTTGACTGATGGAGAACTCATCAGAAGCATTTGTTCTGCGGACGGTGGCACATACTGTGGGCCTCCATTAAAGAGGGGTAGCGCCCCCCTCACCTGTTTTCTGGGGGCTGATATCTTGCGGTAGCGAGATGGGCATCTGTCACCCATGGCCCTGGTCGTCCCCTTGCTGACCCTCTGCATCCCTCTTCCGCAGGTGGCTGCCATAACAGCCTTAAGGTGACCAGCAGCCCCGCCATTGCCATCGCCACCGCCGCCGCCGCTGCCATGGTCTCCGTGGACCCTGAGAACCTCCGGGGCCCGTCCCCCTCCAGCGTGCAGCCGCGCCACTTCCTGACCTTGGCACCCATCAAAATACCCCTCCGGACGTCCCCCGTCTCAGGTAGGCTCGGAGCGCCGTCCCGACGCCTGGTGCTGCCTTAGCGAGCGCGCGGAGGCTTCCTGGTTAGATGCCCCTGGCCTGGGCCCAGGCGCTGTGGGACCTGAAGCCCGGCTCCGGTTGAGGGAAACATTCGGCTGGGGCCGTTTGGGCTTTGCTTGACTTCGGACCCTGCAAATCGACCCGACTCCACTGAGCCACCTTGTCAGGTCCACCCTGGCACTTCCTGCTGTAAAGCCAAGGTGAAAGCTTCCGTTTGAGGAAATGAGACTTCTCTTTACTAACTGGAGTTTAGGGGGAGTCATGCATGCGTCTGGGAGTGCAAGCACCCCAGGAAGTTGTGATTTTCTTGCACGGGACGTGCAGGCTGGCGTGCTGGAGTGGAGCCTGGTGAGTGAGCGCAGAGCCAAGCCGTGTGCTGCTCCCCCCAGGCAGTCCACTTGGCATGCCTTCTGGCCCTGGGCTGGACACAGGGGCTGGGGTCCCACCCACTGTGACAGCTTGGAGTACCAGAGGCTTGGGCCGCCACAAAGGCATTTGAGCTCATTAATGCAGTAGACGTGCTCCCTTTCTGAGATGTCCTCGGGGCAGGGGCCCGGAGGGTGGCCATTCTGGTGTCCTGAGAGGTGTGAGATGCATTGATGAGGCACTCAGGGTAGATGGGAGGCCCTGGGTCCCATCTGCAGCTCTGTTGTCCCTGCGTGTTCACAGGCATGCGTGTCCATCCACTAACTGTAACCTGCACGCTTCGTGACCCAGACATCCTTGTGAAATGCGTGTTTCTTCAAACTTAGGAACAGCACCATTAATTTGGAATGACAGTGCCAACTCCCAGGAACTGAGGATTTACTCTGTTATTTTGGTTTTAGTTCTTCATGTGAGATGGTAAAACTTGAAGAGAAATTCCATGGAAGATTGTATTAATATCATTAATTGCTAGATTATCAGTAGCAGGAAATGTATCACTAGACTGTGATAGACACACACACACATAAATATATACCTACTACTTTATGGTAGAAAGACAAACAGCCTAGTTCCATGACTTTCCAATTTTTGGAGTGTTTGCAGTTTGTTGACTTTGTTGCTAGTAAATCTAATGTGGTCTTTTTCAACAATGGACCTTCGGCGTTCGCTATTTCTATGCTGGTTTGATGAATTAGTTGATAAGTCGGATATTGTATTCTCAAGATCAAAATTGTATTTCTATGTCAGCATGTCAGTGAACATGCATTTAGAGTGTGATGGAGAAAATAAATAAAACACATGGATAATCTCGGTGTGGAACATAAATTACAGCTGTGTCAAGAGTTTGGTTAAACCTACTAGTACATTGACATGTATTAGGGGTGACTTACTGTTTTCAGAGGAAAATTAATCTTAGAACCAAAAGCTGTGTACCTCAGGGGCAGCTTCACTTTCCATATCTCTGACATGATTTATAAGGTGACATAACAATTAGGCATCTTCTCTTGTTTGCCTTTTATAAGGTTCCATGATCAAATTTGCAATAATGCGTGTTCAGTTAGAACGAGGCCAGCACCAACGTTATCTGTCCTGTAGATAACTGGAAAAATGGCCTGACAGGAAGATGAAAGGGGCGTTACTCAGAAGGTAGCTCCTAAAATTGCCTTCCCATTGCTGGAATTGATCCATCTGACCTGGAAACCCTGCCCATAGGACAGGATGCAGGTTGAAGTTGAAATACCACCAGGAGGCTGGGTCTGGACCGGTGATGAGCAGGTCTGAGCTGTGAGCAGCGTGGCCCAACCCAGGCTTCATGGGTGGGTGTGGTGCTGCCAGGGGCGCCCCTGGTGAGGGCTCCATTGGGAGGTGGGACTGCCTGGCAGTGCTGCCCTGGCGGCCTCCTCTGGACTCGGGGCAAGGCTGTCATGCCCATGAAGAAAACCATCCTAACATGTCCCTGGGGTACTTTTCGAAAACCAAGACTTGACGGAGATGGGATAGAGAGCTGGCCTATCTGCGCCATTCGGGCTGTTTTCTAAACCATCGCAAGAGGCCCACAGAACGATGGGAGCAAGGCGTTGTCTCTGCTGATGGGCAGTCTCAGCGAATGCCCAGGCAGCCCCCTAGGAAATTTCTGATACCCCTTAAAATAGATGAACTGGGCAGGGGCAGGACAAGGATGAGCTATCCCATGGAGGGGTGGGTAGAGGGAGTGGCCCCGGCCTGGCGGAGAGGAAATAGAAGGACATCAATGCAAAGCAGGTGCTGATGGACTCAGAAGAACACAGCTCACTCCAAAGTTTGCTCTATATTCAAACTGATTTTATAAAAGGATGTGACCTTTAATTTATCTACAGAAGAATAATCCTGTTTTTATTTGGAAGATAAGTCCCACTTTATATAAATGAGCTTGACTGTTTTACTTACATTCTGGACTTTGATATAAAAGTCAGTAACCTCAGAGCTCCACGTGGTTTAGCTTAATGGTCCCCAACTGGAGACAATTCTGCAACCAGAGGGTATTTGGCAGTGTGACTATCCATGTGTTTTGGTTGTCATGACCTGAGGGTTGCTACTGGGATCTGGTGGGTAGAAGCCAGGGAAGATGCCACAATCCTACAACCCCCAGGCAGCCCCCATGGTAGAGAATCATCTGGCCCAAAGTATAGGTAGTGGCTCTGTGGAGAAACCTGGGTTTGTATTATTAGAACTCTGCTTAAGGCACCATGAAAACCTGTCTGGATACCCGGCTAAGCTCATCTGGGAGAGTTAATGTGGCACTACCCTGACCCTGAAGGAGCGGGCTCTGTGTTGGAAAGAGTCCACAGTCATAAAGATTGTGCTGAATTCGGTGCCTTGCACTAGATTTAGCTTACCTAAGATGCCACATAATACTTAAAGAGCCCGTGACCAGGTCCAGATTCAGCCGTGAACCGGGCTTCTCTTTCAGAGTGGTGTCAGCACGGGCGGGAAGGCTGGTCCCTGCTGCCCTCCCAGGGGATGGGGTGTCCTTTGTGTCCGTTGGCCTCTGCTTCACGGGGATCTGTTTATCAGGCTGGCCCCTCCCAGGCAGTGGGTCTCCAGCAGAGGTTGCATCTTTCCATCCCCGCCCTGCCTGCACCCAACACAGCAATTCCCCTGACTCCAGGGACAGCGCTCCCTTCTGAGCGTTGATAGGCCGGGCAGAGCCTGCTCCTGTTCCACTTACTCACAGAACTTTTTTTTTTTCTTTCTTTCTTTTCTTTCTTTCTTTCTTTCTTTCTTTCTTTCTTTCTTTCTTTCTTTCTTTCTTTCTTTCTTTCCTTCCTTCCTTCCTTCCTTCCTTCCTTCCTTCCTTCCTTCCTTCTTTCTCTTCCTCCCTCCCTTCCTTCCCTTCCTTCCTTCTTTGTCTTTCTCTCTTTCTTTTTCTTGAGATGGAGTCTCGATCTGTCGCCCAGGCTGAGAGTGCAGTGGTGCGGTCTCGGCTCATTGCAACCTCTGCCTCCTGGGTTCAAGTGATTCTCCTGCCTCAGTCTCCCCTGTAGCTACGATTACAGGTGCACACCCCCATGCCCAGGTAATTTTTGTATTTTTAGTAGAGACAGGGTTTCACCATGTTGGCCAGGCTGGTCTCGAACTCCTGACCTCATGATCCGCCCACCTCCGCCTCCCCAAGTGCTGGGATTAGAGGCGTGAGTCACTGTGCTCAGCCAAAGTGATCCTTCTTTTAAGAAAGACAGCATTTATTTTTAAAATTTGGCCCACCATGACTGAATTGTCCAGGCCAGAAGAGTGAAATATGAGTGAGTACTTTTGGTCTCTGGTAGAGCAGGTAACTACCAAACAGATATTAAAAAGGGCCATCTGCCTGGGAAGCCGTTTGCCACCTGTTCTTTGCTTCCAGAACTATTTAATGGTTTAAATTTAACATTTTGTCCTGCCACAGAACAGCTGGGAAGTGACTATTTTTTTGTTCTATCAGTAACTTACCAGCCAAGTCAGAAAGTCTCCAAGCCAGAATTCTACCACGCAGCCTTTCATGTTGCTGTCGGCTTTCCTCATTAGCAAAATCTGCAGATGCTGAAGCAGGTTCTATAACAACAGTAATTCAGACATTTGGGAATAAGGTCTTTTTTTAAATCATCCAGGAATTGTTTCCTCCTCCTCTATAATCAAAAATGTCATAATACATATTAACATTTTAAAGATTTTCAGAGACAAAAATATTGTAACAACATAATTGCTTATACCTCAAGATTCCTGAAACTCATCTGGCGTGTGCGGGAAACACGTGTTCATTTCTAATGGAGGATTGAGTTACCTCTAGTGGAACACTTACTGGATTTAAACCAACAAACCCCTTTTGTATAGTTTGTTACGCATGATAAGTGAATTCTTACTGAGAATGCAACTACAAGTATCTGAGCTGGCATTATTACATTTAGTTGTATAAGGTGCAGACTTTCCCACTGTTGGGCTCTAAAGAGGAGAGCTGCTTTCACAGGGAAATCATTCCTATGAGCAAGGTCTGGCTCACTTGTCTAGAAAACGATGCTCCTGGGACCTCGCGTTCTTTCTGAGCTGCTCCGTTCCCTGTGCCTACCCTGAGAATCACCCTGACTTTAACTACGTTAGCCGTTAGCCATCTCCACTGTTAGCTCCAATTCACCCTCTCTTTGAAGAGAAAATGTGGAAATATATCATGCACGCCACAGCGTGCCTAAGGTTATGTCCAGTATAGAGAATACTAATACAATAGACACCCAGTGCCTCCCTCCGAGCCTGAGAAACGTGATGTTCCCAGTACCCCAGCCTCACCTCCTGCTCACCCCAGAGGTCACTGCTCCCCTGAAGATGTGCCAATTATTCCTTTGCTATTTTTAAAAATATATGTTTACCATATGCATATGCATTATCTCTAGACAATATGTTGCATACTTTAGTTTTTGTTAATTTCACATACATGTTAACATAGTTTGCGCATTCTTCTGCGATGGCCTTTTCACTCAGATATATGCTTTCTTTAAAGTTGTCCCTGCTGGCATGTGCAGTGGTGGTACCATCTTGTTCACTTTTGTGCAGCATTTGTTTGTATGAAGTCATATAACACCTTGTCCCCTCTGCCAGTGGGGAATGTTTCCTGCCACCTGAAAGGTCAGACTCAGTTGTCCCTTCCTTCCTGCTGGAAGCACTATCTTCTCAGGACTCTCTGAAACCACACCCTGCTGGTGTTCTGCCCGGGGCATCTCTGCACAGATCTCTCTAGCCTGGTGCCTCCTCTCCCACAGTGTTCCATAGATAAGAATGAGGCCGTCTCCAGCCCAGCCTCTGCCTCCTCCTGGAGCTCTAGGTTGACGGATGCAACTACCTCCACTTCCCAATGAACCCCTCAAGCCTCACCGCTCTATAAGGAAGTGTTGATGTCCCAACCCATGCTTCTGTTTATGGAAATCAAAACAAAAACACTTGTTTCTCCTGTGGTCTTTCAAGTAAACCTTTTTCACCCCCTGCCACAAAGACTCTCCAGTTCAGTACGTTGCCCCGGGTCTGCCCAGGAGTTCGTGCCTCACACCAGAGGTCGTCCTGACGCCTCCTTTTGCCTGATGCCTCCTCTCCAGCCCCTCGGCACTGCCGTCCTCCTCCCAACCCACACCGAGTCCACGGTGCCTCCTCCTCTCTTTGCCCACCTTCCTGGTCCAAACCAAGATCTGTGGACTGAGGCTCTTGCAAGTACTTCTGTTTCCACTCTGCCCTATTTTCTGCAGAGGAGCTGGAGTTCACTTCTCAAGGACCTTTGTCAGGCCAAGTCTGCCCTTGCTTACAGCCCCCAAGGAGCCAGGCGCAGGGGCACCACCTGTAGTTCCAGTTACCCCGGAGGCTGCGGCTGGAAGATCCCTTGAGCTTGGGAATTGGAGTCCAGCCTAGCAACATAGTGAGACCCCATCTCTAAAAATAAATAAGTAAATAAAAATAAATAAATAAATCAATACTTACTATATATATATATATATATTTAAATCCAGTGATTGCCTGCTCTGGAGGTTAGAACAAATCCCAACTCCTCTGGAGTCTGGGGTCACTGTCTGTGTGACCCACCTGCACCCTTACTTCCTGAGCAGCCCTCCATTTGTCCCCCAGGCCTGATGGTGCCTTCCCAGTCTGTGAGGCCAGGGCTGCCCCGGGACCTTCACACGGCCGGCCCCTCTGCCTGGACGCTCTCCTCCACCCCCTGGTGTCTCATGTGGCCAGTGGTTCCCCCACTGTTCAGGCCTCAGCTCCAGCACGTGGCCCGAGTCCTCCCATCCTGAAGTGGCCCCTGGAACGAACTCCTTCTCCTCACTGTTGCGTTTGCTTTTCAGCATTTATCATCGCCGGCAATTCTCTTCGGTGTCAATTCCTGGCCTATCTTCTCTCCCCCACTGGCATGTCACACCCTCAGGGGCAGGATCCTCCCATATCTATTCACCACTGAGGCCCTGGTGCCAGGAACAATTCTTGGGACAAAGTTACCTCTCGTTGACTCTTTGCTGATTGAACAGCATCCAGCCACACCTGTGCACTGTGGTTAGGACCCTCTTCAACGATGCTCTGGCGTGTTGGTCGACAGTTCTCTGTGTTCTCTATGAGATGGTGCAGAGATGGCTGCCCTACTCCGCAGACCTTCATCGCACACCCACCCAGCCCAATCCTAACAAACAGACAAACACAGTCAGGAAGCGTTCAGCACGGTGAATGCCACGTCACCCAGCCGCTGAATATGCTGGTCAGCTCAGCATTAACCGGAATCTCTGATGGGAAGCTCAGGCAGAGAGTGAGGTGATCGTGACCCAGTCACCACAATCTTTGGGGATTCGAATTTCCCAGAATCCAAAATTTTCAAGCTGAAAGGCCTGTGGACTCTGGGCAACCGATTCCATTACTGAAAGCTGGGGGGCAGGGTCGAAGGCCACTGAAGACCAGTTTACCTAAATCCCAGTACAAGTGAGGGGCAGAGTGAGGGCGGGACTCAGCAATCCTTTTCCGAGGATTTTCCCAGGATGTCGTTCTTCTGCACCATTGTCAGTCCCACCCACCAGCTGTCATTCCTGTCCGTCTATAGAGACACGGTGCTCAAATCAATCACCCGGTGGCTGCGATGGTGGCCGGGCTCCTGGTGCTGAAGAGACACTGGCTAACTTCAGCTGGGTCCGCCTGGCAGGCACAGGCCAAGAGCCCATGAGAGGCTGGATGCCTACTGTGCTGAGGACCCTCAGGGACAGTCTGTGACCGGCCCAGCAGGGAAGGCGCTACGGCCTCAATCAGGCACATGGCGGTACGTGCTGCCATCCCCGGGGGTCCCTGTGGTCTTCAAGCAGGGACCAGATTTAGAAGTGTGCCTGGAAGGAGGGTGGGGAGATAGTTGGTCTGTAGACAGATCAGGGAGGAAGGAGTCACCCATGGCTGCTTTAATGAAAGCATCGTGCAAGGAGGCTGGTCACTGTGCAGATCATGTTGCTGTAACCACAGACAGGACATGTCATAGTGTACTCACTGCAGCAGGAGCAGCAGCTGCTTCCCGGGACAGGCCACTTTATTTAATTTGTGATAACAGCACTGTTGGAAATAGTATCCATGGTGGGTGGCTGTCAGAAGTGGGGAGAGTGACATGTGTTTCAGGACTCGGTAGAGGAGGCGGTCCCTGATGGGCGCTCGTTGGAGACGGCTGGTCTGCAGCTCACACTGGAGAGTCTTCCGGTCCCAACACTCAAATAGACGCGTTTGGTGCATGAATGAAATCCGTGCCCTAGGGGAGGACAGCCTGTGTTCAGGAGCATGCAGGCCTGTGTTTGCCCAGGGGTCTGGATGGGAGAAAGCTGACATTCAGGCCCATGTTCCATCCAGGGGTCTGGGTGGGAGAAAGCTGACATTTTGCTGTCCATACTTAAACTCTAGAGACCATGTGGCAGTTGCTCTGAACGAACATCCCTAAAGCAACATTGGTGCTTCAGAGTAGCTCCAGCTGTGGACAACCGTGTGGCAGGTCCTCAGTTACACATAGTATTACCATGTGACTCACCCATTGAAATCAGGGTCTCAAACAGCTATCTGTGCACCCATGTTCATAGCAGCATTATACATTTTCCCACAAATGGTGGAAGTGATCCGAGCGTCCATTGATGGGTGCATAGATAAAGAAAATGTGGCATATCTATATAGTGAAATATTATTCAGCCTTAAAAAAGCTGGAATTGCTGGCACCTGCTTCAGCATGGAAGAACCTTGAGGACACGATGGTCAGTGAAACAAGCCTATAGGATTCCACTTATCCGAGGTCCCCCATCGGATTCACAGGGACAGATAGTAGAAGGGTGCTTGCCAGGGACTAGGGGAAGAGGAACAGAAAGTCATTGTTGAACCAGGACAGTTTCTGTTTGGGAAGGTAAAATAGTTCGGAGTGTGGATGGTGGTGACGGCTGGCGTTAAGTACTGCCAATGTGTTTAATGCCACTGAACTGTATACTTCAAGATGGTTGAGACAGTAAATTTCATGTTATGTATATTTTACCACAATAAAAACAATAAGAAAAGGAGGCGTGTTCTCATATGCACATGAATGAAGTTTATCTGAGGGACCTTGGAGAGGGTCAGAAGAACAGCATTAAGTAAGAAACAGTGAAAACCTCTTCCTGCTTATACCCTTCATGGTGCCTTCCATTTCTGCATTTCCTCTGATCAGCTCTGCTAATGGCCTTTCCAGCGACCGGATATCTGGCCACATCAGCAGTCCGGAACACAGTAGAAGCTGAGGTGTAAAGAGGAAAGGAGGCCCAGCAGCTTGGGTGAGGGTGGCTGGTGCAAAGGGCATGTGCTGTCCTGGAGGTGGCTGGCAGACTGGGTGGGGTCTGCAGAGAGCAGGAGAGAGCAGGGCCTGGGGGCTGGCCCGAGGTCTGTGACTGCAAGGATTCGCAATGAAGGAAGCAGCAGAGGGAGAGGGGCTGTTCTGAGCTGGGCTGGGAGGAGGGGCCGGGGGGAGGGGGCAGAGAGTCAGGACTGGCTCCCAGCACAGGCAGGTAGCCCAGTGAGCTGGGGTTGCTGGCCTGGGCAGAAGGGCGTGGGAGTGGTCAGGGCCACGGCAGAGCTCCAGGGGAACGAAGAGGTGGCAGTGTGGAATCTGACACCTCTGCTGTCATTGTGTTTCCTGGAATTTCTCAGTGTCTTGAAAGGGGCACCATACAGCAAAGATGAGTGGGTTCCCTGAGACGGACCCACGGCCTGAGAGCGTGATGATGTTCCGACAAGCCGGAGAATTTGGCTGGGCCCCAACTCTCCCAGGCATGAGCCATCTAGAAGCACAGGTGGGAAGCGGAGCCCAGTGTCGGTGGTGAAATGAGAGAGCTGCAGAGGGAAGGACTTTATGTGTCTGGCACGTCCTATGTCACATGGAGCCGTGAGAAAGAGGAATGTGGCTTGGGAGACCACCCAGCTAAGGAGACCCCATGTGTCAAATGCTCTGCGGGCAGCTGAAAGTTTAGTCAGTGTTTATGACCAGAAGGCTGAGTGAGCTCATAGCAGGCAGAACTTCTCACTCCCTAAGAAGTCAACTAACAGGGCGCTGGGCTCCCGGGCTAGGAGGAAGAGAGGCTAAGAGGGTGCTTTAGGGCAGGCCCCGGGCAGGCACTGCTGTCCACCATTTCACTGTCCCATCCCTGCTGTGGCTCAAGACTGGCTCCACTCACATCTAGGCAAGCGATGAGTGACAGCCAGGACTCGGTTCACAACCCATGTGTGTCTCCTCAGGATTCCCTGCGTTCGTGGAATGAGATTCCCCAAGTAGGATATACCGGCCACCATTCCCTGTGGAGGGTCTGATGCTATTGAAATGATTAGCGCTGACTTAGAACCCCGAGGAAAGAAGTGGAGAAGCATAAATAAGAAAAGGAAAATAGCCCACGATCCCTCCACCTCACTTGAACATCTGCAAACCTCTCAAAGGCTCCCGCTCGGCATGTGAGTGACAGATTAGCCTGCGTCTGTGAGTCCTCATCTCGCAGGAAGCACTAGCAATTTCCTTTTACTTCTTTAAGATTATGACCCTCCAGGCCACTTGCAGAAACCCCAGCCAGTCTCAGTGTCTGGTGATTCTCCTTGACAGCCTCTGGGAGGATCTGCAGGGGAGCGAGGTGGGCTCTGCCAGCCCCCGTCAGGCGTGCACGCCGCATGCAGCTTCATGTGAGTCGGCTGGGCTCCTGCCTGGTCTGTGATACCTCCTTGGTGCCCCGTGACTCAAATCGTGTGGCTTTATTCCTCCAGGGTGTCCCTGGCTGCCCCGAACAGTGTTTGCTCTTGCGTTCTTTCTGAATGCTGGGACAGGTGTGTGCTCCTTTCTGGGAGCAGAGCTTTCTTTGCTGGGAGGAGACAGTGTTTGAATTATTCTGTGAACAAGCAGAGAGTGCTGCTTTCTCTCCCCAGGTTCTTATTTGCCAGGCGGAGTGCTTTTGTTTCCCTGCAACGATTTGAAAAGGAGGGGAGCACAGCCTCGGCTGCTCAGGTTAAGCAAGCCAGTAATGCGTGAGCCAGCGAGTGTGGCCGTCGTACCCATGGAGCGCCCAGCCAGGTAGAACCAGGAGCGGGAGAGTGGATATGTGATTCCAGTTTAGACTGGTGATATATATTTTGAAAGTTTGCACAAGTAGAAAGAAAGCTTACTTCTGAGGCTTTCAAAAAAGAACAAAATTTATGATAATTACAACAAAAAAGAAAGAAACATGCTACTGGGCTGCAAGGACCCCAGTGTGCGTTTGCCATGGCTGGAGAGGGCCACTGTCCTCCAGGGACTCAGGGATGCTGCTTTAAACAGCTGCTGGGGACCCGGGTGGAGCCACTGTCAGGGCCGTGAAAGCCCCTACGCTGGGGTAGCCGGGTGGAGCCATTGTCAGGGCTGTGGAAGCCCCTATACTGGGGACCCGGGTGGAGCCACTGCCAGGGCCATGGAAGCCCCTATGCTGGGGTAGCCGGGTGGCTTTCCAGAGCTTGCTGTATTCCCTTTATTTTTCTTCAACAGTGATATTGCCTCTGCTAAGAAGGCAGGAACAATCACTTATATCTGCTTAAGACAATGGACTGTAGCACAATGCAAAGAGTAAACCTGAGCTTTTGTAAATAAATCATTTTGTCCCAGCCCCCACCTGATGAATCAGTCAGCCGCCCCACTTTTGCTGAGTCCCTGCTGGATTCCCAGCATCAGGCTGGGTTCTGGCTGTTTACAAGTGAGCGTGAGAGGGAACCTTTTCCCTTAGGAGGATTCAGTGCCCCAAGTCAGAGGCATCGCCTCTGTGCACCAGGTCAGCTCCATCCCATCCTGCCTCTCCCCGGGGCGGCTGGTCCTGCCGAGGGCGGCCTAGGGCACCATTCCAGGGATGGGCATGACCTGGAGGGCTGGGCACCCCCAGTCAGAAGCCGACTCTGAGACAAAGACTGGATGCGAGCACCGGTTGGGGGGGCTGTGATGGGAGCAGAAGGAGCCTCTGCCGGGCATGACACCCCATGGCACTGGGGCTCAGCTCTGCCGGAGACTTGGGCAGAAAGCCTAGTGCATGTTGAGAGTGTCCCACTCAGGGAGCAAAGCTATGTTTTTCCCAGTGACTCTCAGCTGCATGTGTTTGAGGGCAGCACGGGGGCTCTCATTCCCTGTGTTCCTGCCTGTCCCGAACTAGGCTAAGATGGCCCTCCAGCCACACACAGCCCAAGGCAGAGATAGTCTAGGGGGTCACGGGAAGAGTCCATTGGCCTGCGTGGGGGAGGCAAGGCTACGGGAAGGTACTGGGCACCAGGTGTGGCTGACGGGTGGAGTGTGGCCCTCCGAGCCAAGGAGGGCAGAGAGAGAGAGAGAGATCAGCCTGGTGTGCTTTGTGACTTAACCTCTCTCAAGGTCATAATTAATACGGCCTCAGTGCTAGGGACATGGAGACCTTTCTGTCATTGTCCTGGCTCTGACATTTCCTGCCAAGACCTGGGTCCAGTCCTGGGTGGCATCTGTGTCGTGTGTGTGTGTGTGTCCTGTGGGTGTGTGGGTGTGAGTTTATCAGTGTGTGTGAGTCGTGTGTGTGTGAGTTGTGTGTGAGAGAGTTGTGTGTGAGTAGTGTGTGTTTGTGTGTGTCATGTGGGTGTGTGGGTGTGTTTACCAGCGTATGTGTGTGTCGTGTGTGTGTGAATTTACCAGTGTGTGTATCATGTGTGTGCATGTGTGTGTGTGCATATGAGTCATGTGAGTATGTGGGTGTGAATTTACAATGTGTGTGAGTTTACCTGTGTGTGTGAGTGTATGCATGTGTGTGTGTATGTGCACCTGAGTCATGTGGGTATGTGGGTGTGAATTTAGTGTGTGTATGTGAGTTTACCTGTGTGTGAGTCGTGTGTATGCGTGTGTGTGCGTGTGTGCACCTGAGTCACATGGGTGTGTCAGTGTGAATTTACAGTGTTTGTGAGTGAGTGATCTGATTGAGGCCATGGCAGGAGGCAGGGGAGAGGTGGTGCTGCTGGTGGTGGGGATGGAGAGAGAGCCTTGTTTGAGAATCAGGTTTGAGAATCATTTGGAAAAGGGTAAATGGACCAGATGTGTGAATTGATCAAGGATGGATGATGGGGACAGAGAAGGGAAAGTTCATCTCCTCTAAAATCTCTTGGGTGTGCTGCCACCATTGAGGGTGGTTATTCTTCCAGGGTTCTTTTCACCACATGTGTTCTATCTTGTCCTTCTCACCATCTGATAACTCCTCTGCCACAGAAGCCTTATCTCACATTCATAAGCCTCAGGGCCTCGACCAGGGGTGGGTCTTGCCAGAGTTCAAGAATCATTTGGTTCTTGACTGAGGACACTTAAGGAAGGAGCTCCTGGGGACAGAATAGGAATTAAACCCAGCCTGGGGCTGGTAGGTGATGCTGATCTACATATGCGTGTTTCAGAATGTGATAATGGTAGAAAGGAAGGCGAGGATATAATTTGCTGTGGGGAATGTGTAAGACTTGAATATCTAATATTCAATTTATAGTAATTAATGGAAACTAATATACACATGCAAGCCACTTTGTGTCTGCCCAGCACAGGGTACCTTTGAGTAGGCACAGCATGGGCAACCACCTCCAGTGAAAATGTGTCCGTCGCTGTGTGTGGTGTGGATGTGTGCCTATGTGTGTAATTCAGTTTACTTTCCTGTTTTGGGATGGCACTGTGGCACCTGGGCTTGGTGGCTGCTGAACGAGCTGGCATACTCCCCTCCCTACACATCTCACCCCACCAGCTTGGGAATCTGTTGTGCCGCAGCGCCGGTGTCGTGGGTGAGAGGGCGCCTGGGCATACTCCCCTCCCTACACATCTCACCCCACCAGCTTGGGAATCTGTTGTGCCGCAGCGCCGGCGTCGTGGGCGAGAGGGCGCCTGCTATTTGGTTTGAACTCTGAGTCTCAGAGTCCTGTCCGCTGAGTGTGCGGCCCCCACCTCTATGCTCCCGGCAGGGGGATGCCTTGTAGGGGTGTGTGGCTGGGAGGCCGTCTCACTTCTGGGGATGGCCCAGCCTCAAGGCTGGAAGGTGGCTGCCCAATTCCTCCTCTTTGGACCAAGCTCCTTTGCTACGGACTTCTGCCGCATCCCTGAGTCATCCCGGAGTTCTGGCTCAGGCAGGCACCCACCACGGAAGGAGGAGCTCCCTGTGGGGTGGGGTGGGGTGCGGTGGGGCAGGGGAGGGAGAGGAGGAGATTCACAAGCCCCTAACTTGTCCTCTGTTTTTTGCCGTTCTTCTCCAACTGGGAAATGCCTCCTCTCATCATAACTTTCCGCATCCTTGTGGAGACTGTAGTGTGCTGTCCCAGTCATGTGGGGCCTGCCCTGCCCACCTCCCAGCCTCCATCACTGGGTCCCACCCTGGCCTGACCAGCAGACCCCTCCAGGTCCAGCATGGCCGCCCTCTCCAGCACACACCTGCCCCTCTTCTCTCCTTGCTCAGCACTTCCTGAGCCTCTTGGCCCCCAGCCTTCCTTCATGGTGCTCGCCATGCTTCTGGCCAACAATTGCTCATCCTCCAGCACTCAGCTCGTGCCACCCCCAGAAAGCCTCACTGAGTGCAGCCACCCCTCTGCCACTGTCATGCACGAGGTGCCATCTCCCTGCTAGGCTTTGAGCCACACAGCCAGGCTGAGGTGCAATCCCCCCTCCAGCCAGGGGATGGGCCCTGTAGCCAGGAGGTGCCCAACCAAGGCTGTGGCTCTCGTGAACCCAGCAGGGCTGGTTCTCTGTGTCTCACCAGAGCCTCAGTGTTTCCAGAAGACCCGACACTTGGGGGGCTCTCGGCCTCTGTTTACCCCGTCATTCCCATCAACTCAGCAAGGGCCCTGGACCTTGCTCCCTGGCGCTGCCTGCTCTGGGAACTCTTTCCACCTACACTCCCATCCACCCGAGGCCTCTGCCACCCAGGCCCTTGCAGGACTCCTGGCCAGCCCTTCCATGAGGCCCTGCAGCCCACCCCACAGAGCTCTGATACAAAGGCCCCGTGCGCACTTCCCACCCACTGCACCCCTCCCGCCAACTCCGAACTCGACCAGCTCTTTATGAGGATGATACACTAACCTGTACCGAGGAGCAGTGGCAGGAGCCCCTCGGGAAGGTCCCTGCCTGTTCTGGGCTGTCGCCACTGAAGGTTACCAGAGAGCCACATGTGGCGGCGGCCTGTGGGCAGGACACGTAGTTTCCCAGGGAGGACCGTGAGCTGCGGGCTTGGTCATATTTCCTGTCGCTGCCCCCGGAGAGCCGCCCCCTCGTTTTGGGTGGAAATGCAGAAGGCTGGAGGGAGGGAAGCCCTCTTCAAGGGAAGTGACTGTGGGCTTTTAGGAAGCTAATGTCGACTTCAACTTCTCAGTTTTTTTAAAAAAAAAATTATTATTTTAAACCAATTAACAAGCTATGATGTTGGCTGTTATTCCCAGAAATAATTTATCATAAACAAACTCAGAGAACCCCAAAGAGGTAGGCCTGGCCACGCTGCCTGGTGGATTAAATGCTGTAATTATCATTGCTCCTGCAGGCTCCTTTCATCTCACTCTTTAATTAGGTTTTGCTGACACTTTCTCTGGTGTGTGTTGGGGTCACAGTGCCCTGCTCTGCACACTGGTGGCAGCAGTACCAATGAGACCTTTCAGGAGCTCAAAAGATCCCACCAGGCTCCCATCAGCCAAGATCTGTGGCCGGGGGCAGGGTAGCAAGCCAATTTCTTGGGTGGAGCTGGGCTTTGTCCAGGTGCCTTCCAGCAGCTGAGGGGCTCCCCCACTCCCCTGTGCCCAGCACACTCCCACCCAGTCCCCCTGCAGCATCTGCCTATGTTACTGATGCTCTTCCTGTTCCCCAGTGTCCTGGGCAGGAAGACACCTGGCCCTGCCTGTGCTCATGGACATGGGATTTCACAGTTCCCTGCCCATCTAGGGGGTGGTGGCATGGAGACTCTAGGCAGCTGCTGATGTCTTCTCTCCCTGGGGGACACCTGGGCCCACTAGTCCACGGCACTGTTGAAAGTGCGCAGGTGACTTCGTCCACAGGTAAAACTCTTTCAGCCTGGGCCAGGATTTCAATGGCTTTGAGCTCTGGAAGCCCTCCCCAATTGGCCATCCTAACCAGACCCTCCCCAGGGAGTTCCACGGCACCCTGGGCGTTACTGAGACCGAAGTCCTGGCCATGGCTGGAAGGGGCTACCACAGGGAGTGAGAGCTCACTGCTGTGTACTCTGGAGACAAACTCTAACTGTCCCCTCCACCTCAACCATGGGGGCATCACACTTCTTGCAGTTTCTTCCAGCGCACCTTAAAGAATCTTAGCCAGCTGCTGAGAGGCCCCTCCCCACCTACTCCCAAAGCACCCCCACTCTGCATGCTCCACTCTCCCAGGGCTGCCTGTTCTGAACGTAAACCTCCCTCTCCCCTGGATGAACTCCTTGAACCCCCGGATGAAAGCACGTGCCTGTTCCATGTGGGTGCACCTGACACTTCTGCTCCTGGCATTTCTCATGCTTCACGGTCACACTTTTTCATACTTATTTTTACTCATGTGCCTGTACTCATGGAGGGAGATGGCTGGTGATGAGCAAGGGCCTCCTGCCCCAGGACCCCGGGCCTCCACCCCACGGGCAGCCTCTTCCGATCGATGCACTTTTATTTTATGTCTTGCGTTTTTGCGAGTTAACTTTTCCTTTATAATTACACAGTTGATATCTTGATCTCTGGGTGTGTCAATTTTAGACAATGGCTGTTGACATCTTGTGAAAGAGGAAGATAGTTTTCGTTGTCTGTTGCTGCACAGCCGAAACCTTAGCTTTTGTGGGACAGCAAACCATCCCCAAATAGAGAGCTTCTGAATAATGGCTGTTTATGTAGCTCACGATTTTGTGAATCTCCAATTTGAGCTGGGCTCAGTTGGACAGTTCTTGGGCTTTTCTCAGCGACCTATCTCATGATTTTGTTATTTTGAGCCCAGCTCAAATTGCTGACCCACAAGTCACGAGCTAATAATGTGTCCCTTGTGCATCAGGTCATCTGCCATTTTGCCTGGTGGCTGACTGGCTGAAGATGGTTGTCACTTACTTGCGTCTTGGTGAACAGAGGGTGTCTGGTCACGTGCCTCTCACATCAGGACCATGTTTCTCACATCAAGGTTGCAGGGTTGGTTTTAGGAACGACAGAGAGGACAGCCGCAGTGTGCATGTGTATTATTTGTTTGTTCGTTTTTGAGACAGAGTCTCACTCTGTTGCCCAGTCTGGAGTGCTGGAGTGCAGTGGCGCAATCTTGGCTCACTGCAACCTCTGCCTCCCGGGTTCAAGCCACCCAAATAGCCAGGATTACAGGTGCATACCACTACACCGAGCTAATTTCTGTATTTTTAGTAGAGACGGGGTTTGCAACGTTGGCTACGCTGGTCTCCAACTCCTGACCTCAAGTGATCCACCCATCTCGGCCTCCCAGAATGCTGGGATTGCAGGTGTGAGCCCTCACGCCTGGCCATGCCTGCAGTTTTTAAGCCTCTGCTTATGTAACATTCACTCCTGTCTCACTGGCCAGTGCAGGTCCATGGTGAAGTCCAGGGTCAGCGTGGGAGGGACACTCACAGGGCGTGAGTGTGGAGAGGCAGGAGCGAGTTGGCGATTGTTATTATCGTGCAGGCGAACCAAAATCTTGCACAGCCCCACACAATGGTATTTTCTAACTTTAGGTATTCAGAACTAACTATTCTTTAAATAAATCGTAATGTAAATAAAACAAGCCCCTCATTCTTCTTCAGTAACATGATGAGTTTCACAAAATGGTGACCTTCTTTTTTATAACACGTGGAGATTGACGTCCCTATTTCTTCAACTTTCTGAGTCCTAACTTCTGTCAGTTAACACTTTTCCCTTTCTGTTTTCAAGGGTGTTCATAATTATATTCGCTTTTACAGGGACCACCAGATTTTCTAGTTTTGTTCCTAGACTGATCCTACAGGTTAATGAGTCAATAAATAAACACACAGACACAGGTGCAGCATCCTCATCCAGAAGGCTCCAGTGAGCTTCTCTTCTGAGCATCCTGCTGTCACTCAAAAAGTCACAGACTTTGGAGTATTTTGGAATGCAGATTTTCAGCCTAGAGATGGTCAACGAGTATGTATTTCTGCAAGTATTTCAAAGCTGGAAAAAAACCCTGAAATCTGAAACGCTTCTGGTTGCAAGCATTTCCTATAAGGGATACTCACTGTGTAGGTTTTCAACAGTATAATTAAGTAGATGTTGTTCCCTTGAAAGTCGCTGGTGCCGTGATTTAGTATCAGAGTGAAACCCGCACCTTGACCACTCTCTGAGTGCTCCCAGTCATGCCACTCTGTCGTTTGCCCAAAGATTAGATGGTGACTTTCTTGTGCACTTCTGCCTGTTCGTCCAGCCAGTCCCCATTTTCTTTCTCTTACACATTGCCAAGATGTTTTTCACATTCTTCACTGTACTTTTCTATTCTATTTCTCGTCCTTTTTCCCTGGAGGCCCCTCACTCCTCACAGCATCCATATTCTAGATGTCTATACTCTCAGCAGCTCCTCCTGGCGGCTGCAACGCTGGAACTTCGTGCCATTGCTCTGCTGGCTGGGAGCCACGTTCCCCGAATGTATTATCTCCACCTTTCCCAGTTCACAATCTCACTTGCTGGAGCACAGCCAGAAACAACCTCCTAATAAAAGTATTCCAGATCCCTTCGGTGTTGAAAATTCTGTTCTTGCCCTTCAAACTTGATTGATAGGTTGCCAAGTTGTACAATGTTACTTTGAATTGTTTTCCCTCAACATTTTAAAGGAATTGCTCTACTACCTTTTAAAATCTGACCCTACCATGAGAGAGACTCACTGAGTTTGTGTTACTGTACAGGTGACTTGTGTTTTCTTTCTGTAGAAATGCTGCGGTAATTGTGACCGTTTTATCTCGGATGTTCAGTGATTTTCTAATGACATCTAGACATTTTAAAATATTAATTCTGTGGAAACCTCCATGGGCATTTTCAACCCAAAGATGCATATGTGTATACATAAGCATGTATATGTATACACATATACATTCCTGCTGTTAATACGTGTTCTATATTATGTTTTTATATTACGCTATCCACTGTGTTCATGCATGTCCTCTCTTATGCTTTTATATTGCGCTATCCACTGTGTTCATGCATGTCCTCTCTTATGTTTTTATATTGCGCTATCCACTGTGTTCATGCATGTCCTCTCTTATGTTTTTATATTGCGCTATCCACTGTGTTCATGCATGTCCTCTCTTATGTTTTTATATTGCGCTATCCCCTGTGTTCATGTTGCGTATGGACGATGCGTTGCATGTCACGCAGCATGTCACAGGTGCTTCCTCCTCCTCTGCCTGCACTTAGTTCCTGGAGCTCCTGTCCACAGGTTCCCGGGCATCAGGAGTCATCCCTCCCTGTCTCTTATTCTTTTCTCTCCTGTGTTTGCCTCTTTGACTTTTTCCTACATTCTGGTAGACTTCCTTAACTTTGTTTTCTAAATCTATTGACATTTTGAAAACCTCCTCCACCTCCTAGTTTTCCTGTGTTCCCCACCCCCAGCCTCGTGTTCTCCACCGCCCTCCACCCATTCTGCGTGCGGGCGGCTCCTCCACTCTCCGGATCCACACTGTCTTGTTTCATCACCATTTCTGTGCGGTGCCCTGAGTTCTCTGCTCCATCTCCGGGGTGAGCTCTTCTCTCTGATGATCTCAATCTTCCGCTCTTGCTGCGATGTCTTCTCACTGCCGCCTCATAGACCTTGGCCGTGCTTTCCCGGTGAAGGAGGAGGCCTGGGAGCTGGTTTGGCCCCCTTCTGCCCTGGATGAGTCTCTTGGGATTGAGCCAAAGGCCCTGATGCCGCTGCAGCCCCTCGCAGGGGACCTGCACGCCGGTTTCTCCACCTCTCCTATCTCATAATCAGCTCCCTCTGGGTCTCACCATCTAGAAGCCCGTGTTTCTCTCTCATCTGTGAGAGGCGTCCCTCCGCGCCCCCTCCTTCCCCTTCTCACTTTTCCTGGATCCATAATTCAGGAGGAGCCTCAGACAGGATGGACGCCGACTCAGTCACCTTCCCTGGGATTGTGAAGGACCAGGCTGTGGCGTATTTTTAGAAAACGCGTGGCTCACGTCTGTCTGCAAGACTGTAAACCCTGTGCGGGTGCTGTCCCGTCTCCAGCACCTCGAGCAGGCCTGGCCTTCGGGACAGACGCTCACTCACTCACTCACTCATTCATTAGTTCCTCAGATACTCACTGGGTGCTTCTGGCGTTTCAGGGATTGTGGTCGGTGCTTTGGATGGTCAGATTATAAAAGAGCCCAGAATCCCTGCTCTCAGGAAATTTATGGGGTGCAAGAAGAGACAGATCATAAAATAAATCAGCTCCATAAAGCGTACCCAATACATGCATGCATGAACGAATGAACGGGGAAGGGTCAGGGTGGGAGGGACCATTCTGAGTTCCGTGTGGATAATGCAGTGGCTGGCCACATGGCATGGACCCTGCCTTTAGGGATCTGATGCTCAGCTGCCAAGCGCCTGCTCCACACACATTTAATGCCCAGAACTGGGCATGAAAAGGACAACATCAGGCTCAGAATACACATTCCTGCACAGAATGGAAGCCAGCGGGGATAACTAGGGACCACTGTCCTCCCAGGGATGGTCATCATAAGGGAGGGGTCGTGTCCCACCACAGGGACCAGCACAGTCAGCGGGGTCCAGGGAGAAGGGCTTCTTCACCAAGCCCAGATGACCCATTTCCTGAAACCACGGGGTGTGTGCCTGAACAAGCAGATAGAAAGCACCCCACAGACAAAAGTGGCTCCCCAGAAGGACCGCTCTCCTCTGCATTCTGAGATGCAGTAGGAAGACACCGCACCCTTTCTAGGGGCTGTAGTAAGATAATGCACGCTTTCTAGGGGCCATGAGGGAGCCTGGGAGGGTCTTGGCTCTGACCAGAGGCTGAGCAGATGTCTGTACGCTGGGAAAAGGATACGATCCCCTTTATGCGGGAGCCTGAGCCGAAGGCCAAGTGGCGAGATTTCCATACCACCGGAAGCAATCTATCGTGGGTGTAGCCAGCATCTGAGGCCCTCACGGCCAATCCTGTAAAAGCCCCTCTGTCTGCACTGCCCTGTGGGCCCCTCCTCACCTCTGACTCTGGTGCGATGGATGTCTGAGGGCCGATGCGTCTGAGAGTCCCTGCAAGCACACACCTGGAGCGTGCAGCGTGGTGTTGAGATGTCTGATTTTTACCAAACTTGTTTTCATTATTTGACCACTTGTCAAAATCTGTAAAAAGCTTTCTTTGAGGTAATAAATAAATAAGCAGATAGCAAGGGAACATATTCTTTTTTTGACATGCCTTTATTTTTAGGAGATAAGATATATGCTGACTTTTCATTCTCATTCTTATTCGTGGCATCGCTGTCAACCTCTTCTGCAGCAGGCTCTTTTCTATCTGTTTATCTTTGGTTCTTATATCAGCAAACAATTTATGGGTGGTTGTTTATTTTTTTAAATGTGCATTAAAGGCTGCATTCAAGCAAAGGTGTGGAATTACACCTGGGAAAGGAGACTGCAGGTCTGCCTTTTGCTGCTGGGTGCCGGAGCAAGGCTGGGTCCCAGGCCCAGCTCTGGGCTTCCTTACACCCAGCTGGCTGGGCTTCAGCAGCCTCAAATGGGCTCTCTCTTGGGAACAGCACTCGGCTTGGTTTGCAGCTGATGAAAATGCACACGTGCTACTTGGGGCTTTGGCTTTTATGTTCTCGGAGTTTAAGTCCATGTCAGGCAGGGAGGCAGGGAGGCAGGAGAGCAGCAGGCACACCACCCACTGCATGGGGACGTTGGCATGGACCAGGCTTTCCCGGGACACCTATGACCAGGACAGATCCCCCTCTGCACGGTGTACCTTTTCCCAGCACTGCCAGGCAGAGAAAATGCCTGAGCGCCGAGTCAAAGCTGCGGCCCAGCCTCTTCTTCCCCTTCAGCTCTGCCCGCGTGATGGGCAAGTGGCTTGGACCATTTGGCAAGAGGACCAGGTCCCATTTCCAGCCCGAGACCATCAGCACTTCCAGAACAATCTTTGCCAGGGCTGCACATGGAAGGGCGACTTCCTATTTCACAAAGAACCGCAGCAAGCTTGAACAAGCACCAGAGATAATGAACATGGAGGAAGGTTCCCAATAGGAAAGCACATAACTTCCAGGAGCCGTTCCCTCGGGGGAGGTTTTGCCCGTTGCTTACTTGTGTCCGCTTGTGAAATAAAGCCGGTCCCTGCTTGCTGGGGTGGCTCCTGGCCCCAGTGCTGCCTTGAGTGTGGGCAGCCCTGCAGCTGGCTCCTGGGTAGACTCTGAGCACCGTGGGGAGACCCCCGCCCTGCGTGTTACACCCCTTCTGAGGGCTGACCTCCTCCGTCAGGACTTCTTTTTGGAGGAAGCTTCATATCTTCTGCAAACTGTCTCCAAATATTATCCCCAGGGGAACGACCATCACTGTGTGTACTCCAGTGTGGATTCCTTAACGAGATGGCTGCACAACGGAACAGCACGTGGGGGCCGTTTCCTGAGATCCTGCCGGAGCGGACCCAGGTCTGTGGGCCTTTCCAGACTGCAGATCTAGGGGCTGGAACAGGGGCGGGGTCTAGCAGGTGGAGAGGCCAGGCTGTGAGGTGGAAGATAATTGGGCAGGCCCTGAGGTCACGGAGGGTTCCTTGAGTTTTCAAAACACAAAAAAGTATTTTGTTGAAAAGACGGCCATTGATTGTACCACACTTCAGTTAGGGATGCTCCACATTAGGGCTCTGCAGGCAGAAAGGTTGTTTAAAATACTCCAACTCAAAAATCAGTGAAACGCCGAAGCAAGGAGCACACAAGTAATGAGCATACGCCCGCCAACTCTCAGTCAATGTGATCAAAGAACACGAAGACTTGCAACCCATTAGGTGTTACCGGGTTCAAGGCCCTCGCTGCCTACAGGGAAATATTTAGGAGAGAAGCGATTGGACTGGCTGAACCATGGAGTTGACATTTTCCACCCCGCCGATGCCTGGACTAGCTTCTCAAGCCAAGAGGTACAGAGGGTGTTCAACGTGGAGATCACATTTTGCCTCCTAGGAACGTCTTCCTTTTGGAAATCATTAGCACTCTTTTAATATACTGTAAAAAATGATGACATTGTATGTGAGTATCTGAAATTTTATCTAATCCGATACAATGCAACTGAATTATTAAACTAGCAGTGCACTAATGCATCCTCATTGCTTCGTTTATCTCCTCCACTCACTTCAGTAAACACTCATGCCTACTGAGTCCCAGGAACTGTTTTTGGTAAGTGGAAAATCTTGAGAAACAAAAATCTCTGAGGTGGTGCAGCTGCACCCTAGTAGGAGAAGCACATGCCGGGCATGAGGTCTGTGAGTTGCCTGTGGTGTGGTGGAAAGTGACCAGCATGGGAAGTGGACAGAGCAGGGGAGGGAGGGGAGCTCAGGCTGGAGGGAGCTGGCACTCAGGGTCTCCATGTGGGCTCTCAGAAGATGACCTTCTGGGCAAAGCTTGGAGGGTGAGGGGTTTTGCTAAGTGGGTCTCTGGGGAAGAATATTCCAGCAGAGGGAATGGCCCACAGAAAGCCTCCGTCAGGAGTGAGCCTGACATGTTCACAGGCCAGCAAGGAGGGGAGGGGCAGCGGCAGGGCATGGGGTGAGGTGGAGGGCAGAGCTGGGTTGCCTAGGGATTCCTAGGACTTTCCTCTACTCCAGGTGAAATGGGATGACTCAGGGTTTGGAGCAAAGGGGCACCATGGGAGACTGGATGGCTTTAAAAGTGTCCCTCTGGCTACCGAGAATAAGACATTGGGGCAAAGGATGATGCGAGCTTGAATGGGTGGCTTGTGTGGGGACAGTGGATGGTCCATTCTCAGAAAGCACCTAGACTAGATGAAGGCTGGATCTTCACCCACTTCTAGGGACTCATGTCTCTCTGCTCTTACCTACCTGCCTTACTCCTTCCTTCTCAGAGGAGAGGCTCCTGGCGGATTCTCCTTACAAAGACAATTACCTCTCTTCAGCCTCCCACCCCTGGATAGGACCAGCTGGGCTCCAAGGAGGGAGAGAGCTGATAATAAGATTCAGAGGGCTTCAACCCAGTGGGGATGGCTGTCATCGAATAGATGTCATTTTTAACTACAAACGATCTAAACATGAAGGGATGTGCCACAAGATTCAGTGACGTTGGTGAATGTGGAACTTCACCTTCAAAGACAGTTCTGTGAGCAGCGGTAGCCACAGGGCACGGTGACCCTGGGATGCTGATGTGGCCACATCATGCGGTTTGTGGCCCCAGGCTTGGTGGCCCTGGAATGTCAGCATGGCTGTGTCATGTGGTCCATTGCCTGTCTGAGGCTGATTTCCATGGCTGATGAACAAATGGCAGTTTTAATCGAATTGTTTGGGGGAAAAAAAGGTAGCAATAGCTAATTTACGGAGAACAATTGTGTGGTTTTGATGGTCAAATTCATTAGATCATAGATCACAGGTTGGAGCATATGATCCCCTTTTATATAGGACTGGAGGATCAATGTCCCCACTGGGATAACAAGATCGAAAGGCTAAGTGTTTGCATATAGGCAAGACACACAGTATCTTTGGAGATGGGAGTGCAAGAGTCGTCCTGCCATGTGAAGTTCAGATTAGGATTTTGAAGGTGACTCACTGCCTGGCACACACACTAGGTGAGCCTAAATGTAATGTAATTCCATGCATTTGCTCATGTAGCGGGCACTGTTTGCATTACAGGCACTGTATTTACTGTCTATTTCTTTAATTTTGTAAGGACATTTTATAGGGATTTATCTATTGTTTTAAAGGGATTTGCCTATTGTGTCAAAGAAATAGATGAATGCATTTTCGTTTTATAAGATTTATACACAACAGAAGTACAGAGCAAGATGTGCTCATTGGCCACCACCAGCCCCTGCTGGTGCTGGCTTCACTGTCTGCCTTTGGTGGCCCCTGGCTTATCTCTTTCTGTCCCACAGACATGTACAGATCTATTTGGTTGGTTTGCATGAACAGGGTTATATTATATATGTTGTTCTACATGTTGATTTTTCAGACTTAGCTGTTTTTTATGAGAATGTTTTCTGTATCAGTAGATAGAGACTGATCTAATTCTGTTAATGCACCAGAGTATTCCATAGTTTTGAGCTGTCATGCTTTACTAAATTATAGTAGTTGCCTATCAATATCGTTTTTAGTTGTTCTTTATCATTAGAAATGATGCAAACACATCTTGGTGCTTATTTGCAGTATCTTGAGGAGAGACTCCTAGAAATGGAACCGTTGGACCAAAATGACACCCCTCTTCCTTTTATAGATGCTGCCCTGTGGTTTTCTAGCAAGGCTCGGACTTTCCTTGCTCACCACTGGCAACGAAGAGCCATTCCCTGCATGTTCATTTTCTAGAGTTGTCTATTTCCACTCTTCTCCAACGTGAAATATAAGTCTTTCATTCTGCCATCATCATTGAAATTGCCTTAGAAAACTACTTTGTTGGTACATGTGGTAAGGGTAAACTACATTAGGCATAAGCATTTTCATGGTTGATGATTTTAGAATTTTAATCGACCTTGGGCGCCATCTGAGTGACCCTCCTGCACCTGCAGGACCCTGCCTGTGGTACCCTGGGCCCTGCGGTGCTGTTTGAACTCTCCCACTGTCCAGAGGCTCACCACCTCATGTGGCAGCTGCCCTCTGCTTAAAATAATTATCCAGCTGAGCACGGTGGCTCACGCCTGTAATCCCACCACTTTGGGAGGCAGAGGTGGGCAGATCATGAGGTCAAAAGATCGAGACCATCCTGGCCAACATGATGAAACCCTTTCTCTACTAAAAATACAAAAATTAGCTAGGCGTGGTGGCGCACGCCTGTAGTCCCAGCAACTCGGGAGGCTGGGGCAGGAAAATCACTTGAACCCAGGAGGCGGAGGTGGCGGTGAGCCAAGATCACGCTACTGGTCTCCAGCCTGGTGATAGAGCAAGAAGACTCCGTCTCAAAAAAACACAACAAAACAAAACAAACAAACAACGACAACAAAATTATCCTCAGCTTAGTGAACCACACATGCTTCTCAACGACTTCTTCCAAGGTGCTGGTTATTTTTTGCCCTTGGGATCAAGAATAAATGAGTACACTCTTTCTCCCGTGATGTAAGCTGTGGGCTAATCTGAAGTCAGCTCTCATGACCCCTTGAGCTATCCTGCCTTCAAGCCATGAGCCTCTCGTTTATTCCATACTTTTCTAAAATAAAAAAAAGGTTTTAATAGCTTTTATCCACAGCTTTTATATTGCATTCCATCATTTTGAGAATTTGGTGTGCCTAACAGCTAGTGATAAATTGAAAAAAATATTATTTGTAATAGCAATGATTCATGAAATTACATTGGTAAAATTAGCCTATCTTACTATGAAGTATCTTTTCAACAGCTTACTTAAAAGGTAGCAGGGACTCTCACAGATGCGATGGGTTGGGGTTGATTAGGATAGGAAATAAAATCAAAACAAAAATACCTGATGATCTTCTTCCAAGAAGTTTCAAGAAGCTGTCTTAGTCTGTTTTGTGTTGCTACAGCAGAATACCTGAGGCTGGGTAACTGATAAAGGAAATGGTTCTGCACACTGGGAAGTTCAAGAACATGGCACTGGCATCTGCTTGGCTTCTGGCCAGGGCTTTCCTGCTGTGTCACAATGTGGCAGAAGGTCAAAGGGGAAGTAGACACACACAGAGAGTCAAGAGCCAAGAGGCATCCTGACTTTATAACAAGCCACTCTCTACGGAACTAATCGATTCCCACAAAAATAATCTAGTCTGTCCAGAGCGAGAATGCATTCACTACAGAGAACAGCATCAAGCCATTTATGAGGGATCCACCCCTCTGACCCAGCTTCCCCAGGCCCCACCTCCCAACATGGCCACACTGAGGATCAGATTTCATCATGCGTTTTGGTGGGGACAAACCATAGCCGAAGCATAGCAGGAGTTAAGTAACTTCTTAAACGTTTAATGGAGATTAAAATGACATTTTCTTTTCACTGCAATATATTTTTGATAGTTTCAAAATGTATGCTTTAATGTAGCATTAAAAATGGATTATAAAATTATATATTAAAAATCAGTGCTAACTAGGGAAAATATCCAGAGGGAAAAGGACTAGTAAACTGTAGAAATGAAACAAAAGCCGCAATGCATCATCAAATTTTGTGTGTGCATGTGTGTGTGTGTGAGCGTGTGTGCGTGTCTGTGTGTGTGTGTGTGTCTGTGTGCATGTGTATGCATATGTGTGTATATATGTGTGTGTGTAATGGATATTCAAGAACACCATCCCTGATTAGTAAAAATATAATGGCTGTGATTAAAGGGACCAAAAAAGAGGAAATACATGTTAATGAAAACACAGAATAAGTGTGACCTCATTAATCATCACAGAAAGCAAATTGCAACAATAAGATCTCAATATTTTACTACATTTTCCTCCCACTCTCTCTCACTCCCTCCTTTCTTCCTGTCTCTCGCGATGTATGATCTGTACTAAAACAGGTGTGGTAAGAAGAGCTGCGGACACGTTAATAGAAAAAGTCACCTTTTGAAAACACTTTGGGAATTGTGTCTTGAGCCTCACATACGCTAACATCGTCTGACCAACAGTTCTCCCTCAGGGAGTTTAGCTTTGTGATACAGGACATTTGCTCTAGCCAGACCTACTTGTGATATTTAAAATTGGCAGCCACTTACATCTCCAATAGTAGTGTGTATAAATTATTCTTTGAAGTAACTCTCTATGTAGCCTTTGTAAAAACCTATTTACAAAGACTGTGGGATAACAGAATGCTGACCACACCTTGAGTTTTGAAGATGTAGAGATTGGAAACAGGTGGGGTTGGGGGGAGCTTTCAGGGCAGGTGTCTCTGGCTCCAGGCCCTTGTCTTTCTGTGAGCTGAAGGGTTGGGGGACACTTGTGTGGTGGAACAAGGAGGGGAGGGTTTTGTGCCCATTTTAGCAGCTTTTGGGAAAGGGCTCTCAATCCCAAATACTACTTGAGCTGTCCGCACTGTTGGAACGTGAAAACTTCACTTTTGGAAATTTTCACATTGCAATTTTAAAGAGAAAGAACAAAACCTGTTTTAAAACTTTTCTCAGATTCATCAACCTCTCTTACCCATTTTTTGTGAACACAAATTGGCTATGGACCAAAGCACATGAGATGGATTCAGTGAAACAGGCATCTCGGGGCATCTCTGCCAGGTGAGCGTGTGCGTGTACGGTCTGGGGTGTGCACTGCCTGTTAGCCACTGATTCTGCCAACGCTCCTGCAAAACAAAAGCAGCCTGTTGGAGGCGGCTGCCAGGGAGTGCCCCGGCGTGTGCCACTGCTGAGACGGCAGCTGCTCATCCTGCTGGGCTCCTCCCAGCTCAGGGGTTGCCTGGCTGTTGTGGGGTCTGGAGTGCCTATATGGAGTGATGGGGTCACTCACCTGTGCTCCTCACGTCCCACCCAGGCCCACTCAGCCATGTTTTCATGGGCATGACAGCGCGTGAGAATGAATGGGCCTAATGGCATCAGTGACTGGAGTCCCAGTGAATCGCCTTGGCTAACATGCCACTGGCCCTGAGCACAAGGCTGGGACTGGAGTCAAGGAGGTGGCAGAATGGCCCCTTCTGGGGCGGGCAGACACTGCAGCATTAAGGGACAAAGCTTTGGCCTGGGGGATGGGAGGAACGGGGGCCATTTCTGCCATTGTTCACACATGGAAAGCAGCTTCCTCAACTTCCTACGGCCTTCCTTCTGCATCAGCCCCCGCTCAGCAGGAACCCTCAGCCTCTGCAGTGGCTGGAGCTGCTCTCCCCTCTCCACCAGACTCCCACATGTGGAGAGGGAGAGCCCCCCTTGTCCCCACAGGCACTGAGCCCTGAGACTCAGCTGTCCCGGTCTTTTTTTTGCTAAGTGGAAGTAAAATCGTATTTTATTGGATAAAATCTTAGCACTGACTTCCCCCCACGTGCCGGCCTCATTGGCTTCATCTCTCTCCCACAGCGCTGGATGCTGAACCAGGAGGAAGGTCACAGGCATAGAAGTGCAAAGGGGGAAGGCAGTGGCAGACCTCACGATGTGCTGGCTTTCCCTGCTCCGAACCCCTCTGATGCCGGAGGGGCTCGGATCTGTGTGCTCCTGAGGCTGCACCTCAGAAGGATTCGGCAGAGCCACAAGCTCTGCAGGCAGTGCCACGGCAGCTGCAGGGGATGCCAGCCGGCTCCAGGGCTGCAATTCTTGGAGTCTCAGTCATTTCTCTCTAACTGGGGTTGGCGACCTTCGCCTCTGGAGGGGCCGGTAAGGGTGGGGCTGTGGAGGCACAGGAAGCACACGGTAGGCTCTTAGGAAGCTGTCACTCGTGACTGAGTCAGTTGTGCTCATTTTCCAATGGCGTAGCTCTATGATCACAGCTTAGGAGCCATCCTGAGAAGCACTGGAGCCTGCTGGTTCATCACTGTCGCAACCCTCAGTGTCCGCCGTGCTGCAGTCAGAGTGGCAGCCCTCGGGCAGTCTGAGGGCAGTGGCCTGCTCAGAACCCACTCGCTTGGAACTCGGTACACTTGGAGGCCAATTCACCCAGGCCGGGCCGGCCAACATGGCCACTGCCCCCCTCCAGGTCCTCATACTAACAGTCATGCAGTGTTCAGGCTAAATCTCAGTCTTTCATAGTTCTAGGAGCGGTGCTCAGGGGTACCCTAAACAATGAAGGGTGCTCAGGGCATGTGTCCCTAAACAATTACGAAGTCTATCACTAGCTCTGGCACGGCACCCTGCAGAGGCCCCTTTGTGCTGGCCTGCAAGGGGCACACTGTCCCCTCTGGGGACTGACTACTGCACATCTGTCCAGAGCCGCCTGCCTGGAGCCAGTAGCAGCAGCATCTTTTCCCCTTGGCACATGGAGCTCAGGTGCCAGAGACTCTCCCAGGCTGTCTGGCTGTGAGTAGCCATGCGTGGCCCTGGAGATGCCTGAGGTTTGAGATCCATGCTTTTCTCTAGCCCTGAGCTTGGTCACACATGGAGTAGTGGACCCGAGCCACAGACCCATCTCCACTGTCCCACTGTCTCACATCCACACGGAGGCTTAGCTGAGATACGATTTGACTCAGCCTCTCCTGTAATCTGGGCCCGCCAGGCTCGTCAGTGGGAAGAAGATGTCTCTGTCTTTGGCACAATGGTTCTTTTCCCCAGCGTCCCTCAGTGTGCTGGGACTTGCTGCCGGTGAGCACTGGCCAGGATCCACTGCTTCAGCCGGTGCCCTCTGGGGTGGACACTGGAGGTGGCAGCAAGGGGCCTGCACGTGCTGCGGTCACCCAGGAGGCGGAAGGGGCCACGGGAAAGCTGGGTCACAGGCACGCAGTGACCACCACAGCAGCACGCGCTGTTCAGAATAGTGCACCCAGGAGGGGCGCGCAAGCAGCTCACAGCTGCCTCTGTGGAGGGGAAGCTGCCTTGTCCTCGTAAAATGAAACACAAGGACCCAAGGAGGGCGTCTGCTGTCCTGGGGGACGTCTCTGCCCCCTCTGCTCTTTGGTGGTCTGACACCTGCTGGAGCCGGGCTGGGCACTCTGGGAGGCTGCAGGGGAAAATTGTGTCATGCTGAAATCCTCATGGGACAGTCGGGTTGCAGTGGAGAGCTGAGTGTCTGGGGCACCCATACCTGCTGCTCCCTTCCTTGCTTCAGGCAATTTCAACGCTCAGAGCTGCTTCTGCGGAGGGGAAGCTGCCTCGTCCTTGTACAATGCCACACAAGGGAGAAGTGCAGTGAAACAAAATCACGTTCTCCTCAGCGCTTCGTTCAGAAGGTTACTCACCCTGTGCCTTTATTCTTTATTATTATTATCACTTCTTTAAATTTTATTAAGGTTACTTACCCTATGCCTTTATTCTCAATTATGATTACTTTTAAAAATTTTATTTACCTCTAGGAGGTAAATATTCTATAAATATTCTAAATATTTAGGAGGTAAATATTCTATAAATATTCTAAATATTTAGGAGGTAACTATTCTATATGCCTAGGAGGTAACTATTCTATATCTCTATGTGTCTTGGGCTATTTTGGGGTTTCATCTACCTCCTAGAATCAGAAGTTGATGGCTGCGCTAATTGGTAATTGGTATTTATACTTCATACTTCTTATATTTTACTGTCATGTTGACCTTCGCTTCCTGGAATGGTGGTGCTGAGCAGCCTGTTGCCAGGAGCTGAGTGTTCCAGGGGCATTTCGGAGACCTATATGTGGGCAGGAAGCATAAAACCTGCGTGTCATTGACGGCTGGGGTTTCTTCTGAAAGATCTTGAAGGTGTTTCATTTCCTCCCCTGTCATCTGTTGGAAAGAACTAAAAAGTCTGAGTGGAATTCTGAAGGCAGATTTAGCTCCAAGGGCTTTGATGTTGGACAGTTCGATGCGGAGGAGAATGGCCTGGGCTGGAACAGCCACTGAGGACGGCCCAGAGTCAAAGCAGAAGGGGAGACTCCGGAGTCCTTGAGGAAATGCCTGTCTGGAGGGGAGACTCGTGAGGCCTTGAGGAAATGCCTGTCTGGAGGGGAGCCTCCGGAGACCTTGAGGAAATGCCTGTCTGGAGGGAAGACTCCGGAGGCCTTGAGGAAATGCCTGTCTGGAGGGGAGACTCGTGAGGCCTTGAGGAAATGCCTTTCTGGAGTGGAGACTCCAGAGACCTTGAGGAATGCCTGTCTGGAGGGAAGACTCCGGAGGCCTTGAGGAAATGCCTGTCTGGAGGGGAGACTCCGGAGGCCTTGAGGAAATGCCTGTCTGGAGGGGAGACTCGTGAGGCCTTGAGGAAATGCCTGTCTGGAGGGGAGACTCCGGAGACCTTGAGGAAATGCCTGTCTGGAGGGAAGACTCCGGAGGCCTTGAGGAAATGCCTGTCTGGAGGGGAGACTCCGGAGACCTTGAGGAAATGCCTGTCTGGAGGGAAGACTCCGGAGGCCTTGAGGAAATGCCTGTCTGGAGGGGAGACTCCGGAGGCCTTGAGGAAATGCCTGTCTGGAGGGGAGACTCCGGAGGCCTTGAGGAAATGCCTGTCTGGAGGGGAGACTCCGGAGGCCTTGAGGAAATGCCTGTCTGGAGGGAAGACTCCGGAGGCCTTGAGGAAATGCCTGTCTGGAGGGGAGACTCGTGAGGCCTTGAGGAAATGCCTTTCTGGAGTGGAGACTCCAGAGACCTTGAGGAAATGCCTGTCTGGAGGGAAGACTCCGGAGGCCTTGAGGAAATGCCTGTCTGGAGGGGAGACTCCGGAGGCCTTGAGGAAATGCCTGTCTGGAGGGGAGACTCGTGAGGCCTTGAGGAAATGCCTGTCTGGAGGGGAGACTCCAGAGACCTTGAGGAAATGCCTGTCTGGAGGGAAGACTCCGGAGGCCTTGAGGAAATGCCTGTCTGGAGGGGAGACTCCGGAGGCCTTGAGGAAATGCCTGTCTGGAGGGGAGACTCCGGAGGCCTTGAGGAAATGCCTGTCTGGAGGGGAGACTCGTGAGGCCTTGAGGAAATGCCTGTCCGGAGGGGAGACTCCGGAGGCCTTGAGGAAATGCCTGTCTGGAGTGGAGACTCCGGAGCCCTTGAGGAAATGTCTGTCAGGGGCTCGGAGGTCCAGAAACATAGCCCTGCAATGCCACTGAGAAAACACAGCACGGAGAGGGGGGCTGGGCAAGGAGGACAGAGTCCAAGTCAGGTGCTGGGGGTGAGGAGGGGTGGGGTGAGGAGGGCAAAGACGGAAATGCACTCAGCCAGGGAGCAGGAAGATGCCTGAGCACAGCCCGACAGCTCCTGAATATTGACCCGGAAGATAGTTGCGCTCAGGTCAAATTTAAATATTAGAGACCACGGGAAGGGGTTCCCTTTCCTGTTTAAAAAATGAGAAAGAACACTATTCATAAGTGATCAATATTGTAATGAATGTGCCTGTGATCAGTTTTGTAATCAAGACGTGTATCTTGGGTTCTTTGCTCATGTCCGTAACTCATTCATCTTTTCAGTGGGGCAGCTGGCTCGCCTGATGGAAAACCCTCGGCTCACCTGGAGGTGAGGCTGAGCTGACGGTTGCCCCATAGAGAACCCAGGGTCGGGCCGATGTGGATGCAGGCGCATGGGCTGGGCGGTCCTTTCCGGGATCTGAGTGGGACATTCCTGGCAGGTGTTTGCTATCTCAGGTCTATATTAGGTGTGTGGTTTGCGGGGAAGCGGGGAGGCGGTGGCTCTTCTCCCACCCAAGCTCTGACAGCAGGGAAAGCTGGGCTGCCCTGGAACCAGCCAGACCTGAGGCTGCTGTGTGCCAATGACTTGGTCCAGCTCTGCCCACACCGCGTGTCCACCCAAGGGGACTCTACTCTTCTAATTGGCCAGCTCCGAGCCCAGCTTTGGGAGGAGAACCAGGGATCACCTTTTTCAGACCACTTATCTGCAGGCATAGAGCTGGGGGCCTCCCATGGTGACCAGCACTGGGTTGGGCTTCGGCCAGCCCTGGTCACTTCCAATGGTGGCTGAAGTGCCACATTAAACAAAGGCCCTTGCTAGGGCCCATGGCCATGCCCTATGGGACATTATGGAGAACAAGTCTCTGAATGGGGTGCCGCTCTCTCCAGGGTCCTGTGAGGGCCGAGGGCGAAACCGATTTTCAGCCTTGCTGTTGTGAGCAGGGCTGGAGAGTGCCTGCGAGGGGGCCGCCTCCCTGCCCAGAGCCCACCTGGCCCTGAGCAGCTGCTCTCGTGCTGCGGGAGCTGACAGCGACTCCAGGAGGTGGGAGGGCCCGCACATTCTGCTTCTCTTTCTGCTTCTGTGTTTTTTGGTTGAAGCAGGATACTTCGTTTTCCTCCAAGTTCTACACAAACATGAAAATACAGCACTTTATCTGTCCGTCTGCCCCCAGGCAAGAACAGGATCCCGTTTTGTTCCAAATGAACCCAGTTTTTGTTGGTTGGGCGTTTACACTTCTAAACTATAATTATTTTTGATTACATGTATTTACTATGTGGCTAATTTACCTTGAATGTCTTTCAATTGGATTTGGGGCTGTGTTTCCCTCCCTCACGCCAGCTGCTCCACCGACGGTCTCTCCCTTCCTTCAGTGGCTTATTAAGACTGTGCTGCTGAGCAGAAAGCTTGCTTCTGCTGAATGCTAATCGTCATGGCTGTAATCCTAATTTTTATGGTTCTGAAGGAAAACATGAAAACTCAATCATTTCCTGGATTCTCTGCTATTCTGGAAAGGTGGTGGCTTGTTTCTGGGACAGACTAGAGCTCCGCTGAGTGAGAAAACTTACTGGTCAGGTTAGATGTTTCAAGGAAATTGGTAGCCGGGCATGGAGGCTCACACCTGGACTCCCAGCACTTCAGGAGGCGGAGGCGGGCAGATTACTTGAGCCCAGGAGTTCAAGACCAGCCTGGGCAACCTAGTGACACTTCGTCTCTAAAAAACTATTTTAAAATTAGCCGGGTGTGGAGGATCACACCTGTATTCCCAGCACTTTGGGAAGCTGAGGCGGGCGGATTGCTTGAGCCCAGGAGTTCAGGACCAGCCTAGGCAACCTAGTGACACTCCATCTCTAAAAGAAACTATTTAAAAATTAGCCAGCCATGGTGGCTCACACCTGTAGTCCCAGCTACTCAGAAGGCTGAGGCTGGAGGATCACTTGAGCCCAGGCATTCAAGGTTACAGTGAGCCATGATGGCACCACTGCACTGTAGCCTGGATGACAGCGTGAGACCCTGTTCAAATAAATACGTAAATACTTGAAGGAAATTGACCCTGGCGTCTAGGGCGTGCTGCTCTGAGATGTGTATTTTTCAAGTGGTTTCATATCATTAAGATGACTGAACAGAAGTCTCTAATTTTGAATAATTTTGAAACTGCATTTCTGAGGCCAATCACACTTGCGTTTATCGGAAACCTAGCCTGGGGCATCGCTGTGTGCAGGGAGTTGGGAGGGGGGTCACATTGGGGGTGCCAGGTGCAGGCTGTGCCTTGACGTGGAGAGCCTTCTCATTCTGCGTTCCATGTGGTCTGTGTCCTCTGCTACTTCAGTGGGATGATTCTGGAGCCGTTGTGAGATTTGGGGTCTCCCTTCAGGTGGGGTTTTCCTTCAGCATTAAATAGGGACTCGGTCTTGAAATCAATCGAAATGCATCTTGGGTCTGAGATGAATCCAGAAATGTGGATGCCACGGAGGCATCGGGAGAGCCTCCAGCTGGTGTCCTGGATACCTTTGGATTTTAGAAATGAGAAACGCCTCTGTCCTCCTCCCTTCTCAGGTGGGTAGAATGGTGTACTTACAAACACAGGTGCAATGGTCTTCCCGAAGCCGCTTCTCTCAGGTTCTTCTGCGTGATCCTGTCTGTAGCATGCTTTTCCAGCCTGTGTGGCAGGGCTGTGCGTCTCTTCTCTGGACTTAGCAATTGGATGTTGATGTCTGGTTTGTAGGGCCCATCCTAGAAGAAACCTTATCAGGTTGTAGCATTTTTGCTCTCTGCTTAATTGTTTTCCTCTGATAAACTAATACAGTGCATGATGCAGAAGAGCACCTGAGCTCTGCCACGGGGTGGGAGTGAGTCGGACTACTGGTTCTGTGGGTCTTGGGAACCTCTTTGTTCCCATCTGCAAAACGAGACAATACTCAGGCCTTTCTCAGTCAACACATCCACGGCACTCATGAGCCTCAGTGCCCAGGCCAGTGCTCAGCACACGGCAGGTCCACACTGCGGGCCGATGGTCATGATTACAAACTACATTATTACCTCCACTAGTAAAGAGAGACATTCTACTTATTATTCCATTCAGAGTTCCTAACGTCCAGGTACGCTAATTAGAGTATAAAGTGTGTTTTCATCAAAATGAGATCTTGCCAGAGGTTGTTATTTTTCATTTCCACAGATTGTCAGTGTTTTCCCACATGTTTTATCTGGGAGAGTAGGGGGTGGGGTTTGGGGGACGAGGGGCCACAGGAGCCTGCGATGGGCCGTGCACTTCCCAGGCCTGGCCTGTGCCATCCTCCCAGGGGTCCAGTGAGGGAGGACGTGACTTCGGTCTTGAAGTTGGAGAGTTCAGGTAACTCCCCAGGCCGCACAGCTTAGTCCAGCCCTGAGGACATGCCATCAGTTGTGACTGACTTAGCCACAGACATCTCGCTGTCAATCAGACAACAGACACTGGGATACCCACCAAGGATCCCTGGTGAATTAGATAAAACCCCTGACTCCCTGGGTCCTAGAGCCTAGGGGAAGGGAAGCGTACAAAGCTACTTTAGTGGGTAAATCTGAATCAGGGATGTGGCTCGTTGCTCAGGGGACTCAAGAGGCCAGAGTGCAGGAGGCAGCAGACCCAGGAGGATGGGACAGTGGGGCCAGGCTGGCTCGGGAGGGCACTCCCAATGGGACGTGCAGCGACCTCAGGGTCAGCACACTTCGGCTGGAAAGGCGTGTGGGGCAGGAGCATGTAGGGGCATCATCCGAGGCTTGGAGAGGAGCCCCAGGGAATAATGGGGTGAGAGTTTCCAGAGTTCAGGTCTCAGCTGGGAAGAAGGGGGATAACTGGAAAGAGAGGGAGAGGATGGGTCAGGGGGAAAGGAGACAGGAAGGGTTCCAGAATTCCTAATCGACTGGAATTCAGGCCCTAAAAGGAAACGGTTGGAAGTGACAGTGAGGCCTCCAGGGTGGAGCTCTGGTGGGATGGAGCGGCTGCTTCTCACCACGGGGAATGCAGTGAAGAGAGAGAAGTGGGAGGGGAGAAGGTGGGGATGTGGCCTGGGGAGGGGACAGGGCTCAGCAGGTCAAGCTGGGATCTATTAGTGAGCTGCGTCCTGAAGATGTCCATGTACAGTGGGCAGGGGGAGGGCCAGGGGAGGGTTCGTGGGTGCGTGGGGGGCTGCTTGCCAAAGGAGACTTCAGGGAGTGACCTTGAGCTGGAAGGAGATGTGCAGTGATGGACCCCAGAGGCTTCTGGGGTGTGAGCATGTCTGTGTGTGAGCATGTGTGTGTGTCTGTATGCGTGAGGGTGAGCATGTGTGTGTGCATGTCTGAGCATGTGTGTGAGCATGAGTGTGTGTGAGCATGTCAGTGTGTGTGAGCATGTGGGTGAGTGTGCACACATGTGCTTTGTTTTATTTTTGTAGCTGTTGGTTTTGAAGTTAAAAGGCACAGAAGTATGTTTATAATGTAAGGGAAAAGAGCCAACAAATAGAAACGGCAGATATAGGAAAGGGTGGACCCAAAACAGTATCTGAATCATCAGGATGGGTCGGCATCTAGCTCTCTCTGGAGCAAAATGCAAACCAAGCTTTGGCAACCAAAAGGAGCCCCTTGGGATGGAAACCCACTTGGAGGTAACAGGCAGCGGAGCATGCGGTCCCATCCACCTTGACGCCTGGATTGGGGTCTGCACCAGGGTGGGGACACGGCTGGGCTTGCCGTTTGCCCCGGGGGCCGAGGAAGAGAGGCACCCAGTTCCCATGGGGTCCCAAGGCTGCACAGTCCAGCGGCTGCTGGTGCAGGTGGCAGATCTCCTGGTCTCCTGGCGCGAGGAAGTGCCTGAATCCCGGGTTTAGCCTCTGCTCACTTGATGTGCAGGCTGACCGGCATCCTCTGGGATCTCGTCCCCGCCGGTTGATCAGGGGCACTAAGAATGGTGCTTGCATCTCGTGAACCCCAGGGAAGGGAAAAGTCACCATCAGGGATGGAACTCACTATCCTCACCAGAACTAGGCCATTGTCTTGTGCAGACTTCCCACAGGCGGGGCGGGGTTAAACCGGCCACAGCCACCTAGGGTAACAGCACCTTCTCCCAGGAAACACCCTCTGCCTTGACCAATTGGAAGGCAGCTGGGGCTGGGAGAGGCCCCAGCCTTCTCTCATGACCCTCCCCAGAGAGCGGTGGCTTGGGAAGGGGCCTTATCCACCCTCTAAACCACATGTGAGAGGGGACAGGAAGGGGCCAGACAGGCATGGCCACATTAATGAGGCTGTTGCCGTGACTGCTTAGACATAGTCTTTCCTGAGTAGGGTGATCCCGAAAGGCTCGGCCATACCCTCACTATCTCCTGGACCCTCTGAATGGGGCCAGTTCAGGGAGCCTTGGTGAAAAATCCACCTTGCTGAAGAAACCATGTGAAAATCTAGAACTTTCTCCTTTCCATCTGGGAGTCCCAGCACCAGGCTGGCACTCACACCAGTGTGGCGGCTGCCTTCTGACTTAGGTGGAGAAATTTCATTGAGTTTCACATCTGCCAATAGAGAGATGCATCCCTCTCAGGGTGCTGAATTTTGCTCTAGAAGTTGACACATTTTTTAACTCATGGCCCCTCGGGGCAGCACTAATTCATCCACGAGTAGTAAGCAGAGCCTGGTTCAAAACGCAGCCGTCACTGTCCGCACAAAATATCATGTATGGATAACTTTGAAGCATCTGTCAGATGTGGGGCACTCAGGATGCCTGAGTATGCACCAATAATTCACTCTTTTGATGAATAGTTGTATTTCTCATGCTAAACTCGCATGCCGCGGAGAAGCGGCCACCTTAATGGTCTGGAACTCCTAAGGCCATTTCATATTTATGGTGTAATATGTTACTCACTGGCTTGCTAGACTGAGGGAGGCTGTTCTCTTTCCGGTTTGAGACTGTTGAGAAATGTGGATTAACCCCAAGACACTTAGTGTGTTTTCATGCTCCCTGGAGGAATAGGAATTTAGAGTTCTGCAAACCGCAGTAAACAAGCGAAAATGAGAGCCTCATGACTGCAGTCTGCCTCGTCCATCACCTAGAGGTTCGGAGGCTGTAGCTGGGATGCCCACGCAGATTCTCATTTGCCCTGTGCGGGAAGGTACTCCCAACGTGGAGGCAGCGGCGGGACAGTGGTCTGCAGAAAGACGCCACTTCTCCTGTACAATTTTCACACTGCAGAAAAGCAGACCGGGCTGCCCTCCGTGTGATTACGACGTGCTCTGCTGTCTGTCACGTGGCTAAGTCATAGCATGGGGACCTCCCCTGCTGCAAAAACCGGTGACAAAATGTTCATTTAGAGAGGAGCCGGGATCCGTGTTCAATACACGGCGATAACACATGCAGTTTTACACATACACCTGGCACCTTTAAAAAGCGTGTTATCTTCTGAGTGCCACATCCCCTCAGCGCATCTTCCAGAAACTTCCTACTTGGAGCCTCATGGCACAGTTAGAAGACCGCCGCTTTCCTCGCTGCCTTCTAATTGCTCAAGGTGGAGGGTGTTTCCTGGGAGAGGGTGCTGTCACCCTAGGTGGGGTCTTTCTCCACTACCTTTCCCACCCACCTCCCACTGGGCACTTTTTTGGAGATTTCTGTAGAAAACATTGAGAAGGAAATTTGATGGTGCTGCCATCTCTGAATTGAGTCTCTCCCACTCCACCGGTGATTTGAACACAGACTTCCTCCTGCCTTTCCTGGACGGCCAGGGGCCTCCCACCCCGCAGCAGCAGGGAGGGGAGCTGCGGCTCTTGGCGGGTCAGGGTGGGAGACACTTTCCACCTGCCATTCTGGGCTGCCCCTGTGGCCTGCAGGGAGTTGGAGAGGAGGCAGATCCTTGGGGGCAGGCGTGGGGGCCACCTCAGTGACCACCCTGCAGGTGTCCAGTTGCTCAGGGAGGCTGCCTCAGTGACCACACCACAGGTACTCAGCCGCTTGGGGGGGCCTCAGTGGCTACACTGCAGGTGTCCAGTTGCTCCGGGGGTGGGGCTGCCTCAGTGACCACACCGCAGGTGCCCAGCTGCTCATTGCCCCTGGATGGTGGTGGCCCTGGCCCCAAGGCAGAACTAAGACCACACATACGAGGGCATGGCGGACTGGGCACAGTGGTTGGCAAACCCTCGGAGCCCCCGAGGTGCTGCTCTCCACCCCCACCCCCTTTCCTCATCCTGGCTCTGGACCACTGCCAAGGGTTTGGGCAGCTTTGCAGGGGCGGAGGAGCTGGGGGGATTCAGTGATCTGCTGCCAGCCTGGTCCGGCCTGGCTGCCCACGTGGGGGCCTCAGGCAAGCCCTTCTCTACAGCTGAGGCAGGGTCCTGGGAGCAGCTCCCTGCTCTGAGAGCTCTGCAGGAGCACAGGGTGGCTCCCATGGGGTCTCCATGCCCCTTCCTCCCTCCCTCTCTGAACCCATTTCCCTGGCCCCACAAGACACCAAGTAAGGTCAGTAGCCAGAGTTGAGTAGCCCAAGCCAAAGAATGCAGGAACGGAGCCCTGGGATCCCCATGTGCCCCTTGTGAGTCAGGGCACCAGGAGGAGCAAACGCTGACCAGGGTTTCTGAATGGTCAGTCCTGCGTCCTGCAGACAGAGCCAGAGGCCCAAGGGCTGTGCTCTCCCTGGTCCCTAACCTGGGCCCTAAGCCAAGAGCCCTGGAGGATGGGGCTGGGGTGAGTGGAGACCAACCAAGCCCTCCTGACCTACGGCATCTGCGGCACCTGGGTGGGTCTCCCCTTCCAGGCTGTTGGGGGCAATAGGCCCGAGAGCCAGGGGATGTTGGGGGGCTGTCCCCTTCGCATGGCAGGGAACAGTCGCCAGGAGAAGCCTCACTATGGACGAGGCTTGGAGGCTCTGAAAGGCCATGCGGGTGCCAGGGTGGAGCTCAGCCCGGGTCCAGGGCCTGTGATGTGTGTTGGAACCTCAGGGAGGCAGAGGTCGTAGGCTGGCTCTTTTGTTGTTGGGCTCGTTTCTCAGGAAAAGGACCATTAGAATGGAGCCCCTCTGTTCTACGCGCTTTGGTAGGCCCTGGGAGGCTTCAGAGCTCAAGCCGGGGAGCAAACCACGCTCATCCGAGGGTGAGCCTCTTTCCACTACAGCCTCACTCCAGCATCCCACCTTAACACTGGATGCTGACTTTACCTTCCCGTCCCTTAGTTAACACTGTTGTACTGTAAACAGCTCTGGTTTAAATTGCCAAGCGTGGGATAAATGGTCCCTCAGGACACTCAGGGCCCATATCCAGCCCCGAACGCCCCAGGGATGCCGCGGTGAGCTTCGAGGGGAAGCCCCTCAGAGCATCGGAAGGGAAGGCCCTGGGGCCGGGCAACCTTCCCTGGGGAGGCGGGAGACATGGACAAAGGATCAGTGAGGAGGTAGCCTCCTTGCACTGCAGCCCGCAGGTCACCATGGACTGCAGAGTGGCCTTTGTGGACGGTCACTCAGCCCTCCTGCAAGTATGTATTGAGCCCAGCGATGTGCTAGGCTCCACAGGGGTAAGCTAAGGGTCCACCCACAGCCTGGCATCCCCAGAGCCTGCTCCTGGCCTGGGGGCAAGAGCACATGCACAACTCGAAGCCGCTGGCGGTCCTGGGGTCGGCCAGCCAGGGGTCAGCCCCTCCTGGGGAGTGACAGCTGAGTAAGAGTTTGAGGATGATGGGACCTGCCTGGCTCAAGGACAGGGGACAGGGGCTCTCCTGGAAGCAGAGGCTCCCGAATTGGCCTGTGGCTCAGGGACCCCTGTGTACTGGAGGGGCCCCATGGGGAAGTTGGGGGCAAGGGCGATGGCAGCCAGGCTGAGACATGGGCAGAGCCAGGCCAGGGAGGGCCATCATGACTGCGGGACGGAGCCTGCAGGCAGAGCCAGGACGGAGAGGAGTCCTGGAGGCTGGAGCTGCTGGCAGAGCCATGCCAGCCATGACCACTGGACAGGTGTGAGCTGGGCAAGGAGCTGGTGACCAGTGCCCAGGAGGAGTGACAGTGGCTGGTGCCCTGGCTAAGGCAGGAGGGATGGTTCTGAGGGGCCGGAGGGAGCTGTGACCAGATTTGCTGTGTGTTGGAGGTCGCTGCCAGGGAGGAGGAGAGGTCACAGCAGGGCACGGCTGGCCTCCGCAGAGGCCACATGACCACGGCCCCACACTGGTCTCAGGACATGGAGGTCGCCAAGCTGCAAGGATCCCCCTTGGCCAGCACCGTGGTTCCATCCCCACGTCAGCCCAGCTGCTTCCCGGAGGAAAGGGAAGATGATTTGAGATGATTCCCGGTGGCTCAGGACACACATCCACTTCCCTCCTTTCATCTCCAGTCACTCGCCTATGGGCAGACAGCAGGTGCACTGTAATCCCAGCTACTCAGCAGGCTGAGGCAGGAGAATCGCTTGAACTTGGGAAGCGGAGGTTGCAGTGAGCCAGGGTCGCACCATTGCACTCCAGCCTGGGCAACAAGAACGAAACTCTGTCTCAAATAAATAAATAAATAAATAGAAAAAAAGGATCGCAGAAGCGATCTGGCTCTGGACTTACTCAGTTGCCATCTGTAAGCTGTGAATCAACATGCAGTGAGGTCACACCACCCAAGCCAGAAAGGACTGCAGGCCCACTGTGGGAGATGGACAACTGATAGGATTATGCGGCGTTTCCACAGGGCTGTGCATTGTTTCTGTGTTTTAAAAACAGCATTTCTATCCATGTCATGCACGTATCGGTTAGATGTATTGGTGCTTTCTTACACAGCACTCACGGTACTCTATGTAGAAATATGAACAGAAGCCATGCACTATTAAAACAGTGGCAGTCCACGCACCAGGAAACGCAGTAATGAGAACAGGAAGGGACACAGGTGGGAAAAAATGGGCTGTGTCCAACCAGGCAGCTGGGGCCACCGGGACTGGCTGTGGCTCCTGCTCTCGTGGCAGGCACTGTGCATCCTTTAACTTAAAAGCCAGCTACAGCCGGGTGCGTTGGCTCACGCCGGTAATCCCAGCACTTTGGGAGGCCAAGACGGGCAGATCACGAGGTCAGGAGATCGAGACCATCCTGGCTAACATGGTGAAACCTCGTCTGTACTAAAAATACAAAAAAAAATTAGCCGGGCGTGGTGGCGGGCGCATGTAGTCCTAGCTACTCAGGAAGCTGAGGCAGGAGAATGGTGTGAACCTGGGAGGCAGAGCTTGCAGTGAGCCGAGATTGTGCCACTGCACTCCAGCTTGGGTGACAGAGTGAGACTCCGTCTCAAAAAAAAAAAAAAAAAAAAAAAAAAAAAAAGGGCAGCTACTGTGTAGGGTCAGATTGAAGCAAGACTCAGCCTGGAAGGAGTGGAGCTTCCCATTGTTCCCTGGGCCTTGCCTGGCCACCGTCCTGGTTTCTGGGCACACAGTGACTGCTGTTGGCCAGGCAGGGTAGCTGGATGAGAGGCTTTTCCTTGGACTGCCCTGTTGCTGACCAGGCCTGTGTCTGGGATCCAGCCCTCTGCTGCTGAGTCCTGCCTTCCCCTTTGTATGAGTCTGTTCTTCCATTGCTGTAAAGGAATACCCTAGACTGGGTAATTTATAAAGAAAAGAGGTTTAATTGGCTCACTATTCTGCAGGCTGTGCCGAAAGCATGGCCACATCTGCTTGGTGTTCTGCAGAGGCCTCAGGAAACTTACAATCATGACAAAAGGTGAAGGTGGAGCAGGCGTCCTACATGACTGGAGCAGGAAAGAGAGAAGCAGGATAGGGGAGGGGCCACACACTGTTAAACGACCAGATCTCAGGAAAACTCACTCACTGTCACGAGAATAGCATCAAGCAGGAAATCCACCCCAGGATCCCATCACCTCCCACCAGGCCCCACCTCCAACACTGGAGATCACAATCTGTCATGAGATTTGGGTGGGGACAAGATCCAAACCATATCACCCTTGTTCTACTGCGTCCACCACCCAGCCAGGGACATCAACCCTGTAGACTGTGGGCATTGTGGGTGTGGGACGGTGGAGGAGTGAGACAGCTTGGCAGCCAGAAGGGATGAGCCATGGCCAGCCTGGTCCTGTGCCCTGGGTAGAGATGCCACCCTCGGTTTCAGTGGGATTTGGGAACCACCCCGCGGTCTCTTGAGACATAGCTTCTTCCTCTCCCAGCTGCCACAGGGGCACTTCCCTCTGCGGACAGCTGGGGGGCTCCGATGCCTGTGTGCACCCCACTCCCATGCCTGGCCCGCAGCCAGCACAAGACACATCTTCTTATAAATGCCACCAATATCTATTTGCCCACTGTAGTCAGTGAAAGTGAAATCCAGCTGTCCTGGGCTGATTCTTAGGCTATTTTCTTAGCTATGTTTAATCCCCTCTCCAATTCTGTCCCTGGTTAGAGCTTAAATAAAAAAGAAATGGTAGTTATTGAGTTTCAGAAAAGTTTGTCCTTGTCCTGTTCCTGGCTCTGAGGAGACTCAGTTTCCTCCTATGTAATACGTAAGGATGAGATGTTAAAATCTACTATAGAGTTTCCAAAGCAGGTCTATCCCCATTTTCTGCAAAGATTCTTAAAACAACCTCAAAAGAAGCAAGATATTGTCCAAACTGAAGGCCTCACTGTAGCGAAAAGGGCAGGCAGTTGTAGGATCTGCGACAGTAGATGGTACAAGGCTCTCAGCTTGATGCTTCCAAAGTGATGCCTATGGGCTCTGGGAGCTCCTCTTTGCCCCAGTCTCTACCCTTCCATATTGTCTTACACCTGACCCACTTCTCTCTCCACCTCCTCTCTTTGGGCTTTGTACTAGTGAGACGATTTTTCTATTTCTCCATCTCCAACAAGGGCAGAGTGAGCAGAAACTGACTAGCTGATGACACCTGGCTGGATTTTGCTAATGTGAAACTGTTTTTATTTAATCGATTATCTTCCAGTCTGCTTCTGATGTCCAGGCTGATGCAGGGACAAGGCCATTTGCTCACCTGCCCTTCCCTTCCCTGTGGCTGGTCAGGTCCTGTGTCATGGGGAGTCTGGGCAGCATGGCTCAGCTGTGGCCGCCCCACAGTGCGCGTTCGTGGGTGAGTTCTGCTTCAGACTCGAGCTTCTGCACAAGTGGCAAGCTGGTTGCTCTGTGCTTTCTACTTTGCTCACTCTTTTTCTTGGTTATGTAATTTTCCATGGAAAATGGTTTTGTTTCCCTTCAGCATGGTCAGTTTGTCCTTCTCTGTGGACACTTCTTAGGGGACTTAGGCGTCAGGGTAGACTCTTGGCCGCAACAACTTTCTTCCCTGTCCTTAGTGATTTTATCTAAAGCTCCAGAGGGCTGACTTCCCCTCCTCTTCCCTCTCCACAGCCCCTCTCTCTGGCTGTAGTCAAACACCCTCCCATGGGCTGGACCAGGCATCCTCAGAGCCTAACTCTCCCGAAATCCCTTTGTCCCGGGAACTCTGACCTCAGGCTGGGGTCTGCTCCTCCAGCCGGGTGCAGATCAGGTCTCCGAGTTTCCTCGGGTTGGATTCATTCATCTCCTCCAAGAACAGGAAGCCTCTGCCGAGACTCAGGCTTTTACCAATTACGTGGATTCCATTTTAATCAAACTGGATTGGATTGAAAATTTCCATTTCTATTTAAATATACATTTTAAGGTAATTTCCTCTCAGCAGTTGATATGTTTACCTAGTGGCTAGTTCCCCATTTAGAATTCTTCTTCAGACTTAAGGACTATCTTCTCTCATGAGCCGCTTGTTTCTGGCTCCCTGTGGGGCGACGTGGATTCAATATGGGAAACATGGGTGTCGGGCTTGGGGTGAGCCTTGGATAACTTATAGTCTGGAGGCTTTCAAATAAAGGGAAATCATTGGCAGGTAAGGACCAGCACTGCTTTCACATAAAGTGGCATTGAGTAGAAAGTATCAGAGTATGAGTGCGTCACAGCGAGGAAGTACAAGCGTGGGATCTGGCCTGGGCTGCCTCCCACTCACCTGCAATCTCGGGAACCGCCCAGCCTAGCTCTGAGTGCCCCTGTTTCCGCCTGTGAGTGAGGGCAGAAACAGGGCCCCCGACACGGCCATGGTGAAAATTCAATGAGATGAGCTTCACAAAGGCCTTAGAGGAGTCCTTGGCATGGAATAAGTGTTTAATATGCTTATTAAATAAGTAAATTCAGTTCAATATCAGTGTATCAGTACATGTTTGCTGGCTCTCACTGTCAAATGTCTTTCTCAGTGGGCACATGGTCAGTAGGTGTGACCCACCCAGCTGGGCGTCTGTGGAGCTGACCTTCCAGGGGCCTGTTCCCACTGCGTGGACACCACCCACTTCCTTCGGCACCCCTCCGCCTTCAGATAAGTGGAAACGCTGGAAATCCCTGTATGAGTGGAACTGAAGCTGCCTCTCTGAACCGCGTCTGTCACTTCCTGGGTGTCAGGCATTGTGGGAGCAGCTGAAACGCAGGAGAAGGTGCTATTTTCCTCTTAACACTCATGGTTCAGTGAAAATAGAAGGTGTAAATGATGATGACTAGCCTTTTCTTAAAAGCATATAGAAAGACTAATTTTCTTGGAAGGGGTTCCAAACTCTGGGGTGGGGTAGGCTTGCTAATCAAGAGTTAAAGACGTATTAGAGACGGCTGTGAGAGTGGCTGAGATGCCACCAGCTGGAACAAGATCCTGTGGAAGGGAAGAGATGAGCAGCCAGGAGCATGTGTGGCCCATCCAGACTCCCTGGGGGTCCCATGGGGACTGTGCCCTGGACAGGGGGCAGGGCGTGCAGTGGAGATGGAGGGGACTCTGCAGCCAGGTTAGGACAAGCTTCCCAGGGAGCCTCACCCCAGGCTCCCACCCCTCCCTGGGCAGGCTCTCTAGGACCCTGCAGAGGATGTCAGGAGGCCTGTGCATTTCTACATTCTTCAAGGGCTTGTGAATTCATAAATGACTGCCCAGTTAGTCATTGTAACTGTTGTGCGTGTGTGTGTGCGTGTGTGTGTGCGTATGTAACATTAAAAGCATGTTTGTATCCCTGGATAAGTAGTGGGCCTCTGCTGAGTTAAACTGACTGACTTCCACAGCCACTGGAACTGCCGGGACTGTGGGATGGTCTGATCCTGGTGAGCATGTTCTCAGGGCCTGGGAAACACAGGGTTTCCTGCTGGGCCGTGGCTAGGGCAGGGCTCTTGTTTTATTCCCGTGTTCTCCCAGTTCCTGAAGCAGGGCCCAGCACAGGGCCCTAAGCTCAGGTTGAGGGGATTCTTGCCTGTGTGTGCCAGTGCCCTTGCCCTTAAGAGTCCCTTCAGCAAACACAGGAGAGCAGGGTCCAGGGAGAGGCCCTCCTTGTGCCTGCTGAGGGCCTGCCTGGAACCTGAGGCTGATGGAAGCAGCTTGCATAATTAAGTAGCTGCATCTCCACAGCAGTGCTGGAGATAGCTTGGGTTGTCCCCATTCCATAGACGGGGACACTGAGGCGCAGCCGGGCCAGACAGAGTGGCCCAGCTGAGCTGGAATCTGAACGGAGGCTGTGGGGTGTCTTGATCCCACGTGCCTAGCTGCTCAATGATATTTTACTACGAATTTGAAGAGCAGAATCATGTTTCCTAATATCCGGTTCTGGTGCAGAGAAATTTTATAACATGAAGTCTTATTCCAGTCAAACCTTTCTGTGTGTGAATTTCCATAGACATTTCCAGGAAGTGAGTCCCAGGTTTCAAGCCCTCCCACGTTCACGGGTGAGCCTGGGTGCAGGTGTGGGTTCTGATGAGTCTGGGCCTTTCTTTTTCCCTTCTTGGCATGTGCCATCTTCCCGTGTGCCAGGAGCTCAGGGCTGATAGAACTCTTGTCCTCTGGTCACCAGGCAGCCATGGGAGGGAGGCCCCACATAGCCTCTGGGGGCTGCAGCCAGTCCTCAGCCCTGGGTGGCCAACACAAGCCCCCTCACTGCCCATACAGCCTCTGATGGAGGTTGCTGAGGGAACAGTTTGCTTGGCTGCCTGCCTGATGGGGCAGAGAGGGTCATTTTCAGCTGATGGGTGACTAAAGTCTTCAGATTCAATATGCTTGTGCAGGTCAATCCGCAGCTGTGGGAGGAGCACTTGTGGGGAACCTCTGGGTAAGAAGCACTCCAGCGGTGCTAGCCCCATGTAATGCCTGTGTCACACTTCCTACCTCATATCACATGGGGCAGCTGCATCCACAGTCCTGTTTTAAACTATTCATGCCTTGGCTGTTTTCCTCTCTTACTGTAAAATGAGCTTTTATTTGCATCTGTGGTTGCTTATTAGCATTCACAAGTTAATTCTTTGTTTTATTAGCCACTCACAAATAGAACTAATTTGGTAGTCTCAGGTTGAATTGAGAATTTTGGAACTGTAGACTTGTGGATGTGCAAACTAGAGATGTTAATTTCAGGAGAGTACCTAAGACCCTTCAAAGCATTATCTTTACATATTTGTAAAATCACCTGGACCCTCACTTCTTTCATTTACCATTCCACTTTTAATTATAGGTGCTTTAGGTAAGGCCTAATTATTTTGAGCTTACAGATGCCAAGCATAGATGAACAGTTTCAAATAATGCATTTAGGCTGGATAAATGGAGTTTCCCATCATGCATTTGTTCTAGATAAATGGAGTTTCCCATCATGCATTTGGGCTGGATGAATGGAGTTTCTGATCATGCACTGGTATACCCTTAACTTCAGGCCATGGATGTGGACACCAAAAAGGATGCTCCCTTCAAGACCTTTGTGTCACAGCCTTGCAGAATCAACTCTGCATGGGCCTGAAGGCAGTGGGAGAGCTGCTGTCTTGCCCTGGGTCTGAGTCTGAGTTGAGATGGTGCCAGTGGGTACAGCGTGTGAATGAAGAGGCAGACACAACCTTAGCCTGCACTTTTGGGCAGGGATGGTTCCCACACCGTCACCTGGGGAGATGAGGTGGTCTCTCATACATGTGGGAGATGAGGATAATGTGGCCCCATAGCACAGTTGAGTCACAAAACCTTAGAATCACCCCAATCTTATCATTAATTCTTGCTTGCTAATCTGGAGAAGAAATAAGGAAAGATCTGTGGATGGTCATGTGTCTACTCAGTAACAGCATAAAAATGATCTTAGATAGGAACTAATGCTGTGGAAACTTCTGTTTATCTGATTACTTTTCTATTTATATTTCTTACATCATCTTTTTCCATCAGAGAAATGGATGCTCCCAGCCGCCGTCTGCACTAGAGGTGACGCTGGCAAGTGGCCCGGCAGGCCTGGTGCTCTGGTGCTTCTTGGGGTGGGGCTCGTTCTCAGGCCCGAGTCCACCGCCCAGCCGCTTCTTTCCTCCATGTGTGCAATTTTCGTGCTGCATTTATGTTGTTTGAAGGTTGAAGTGTTAATAAAATAGGTTGCCTTCATGAAAGGAGCTGCCTATGACATTTCTGGCAAGTTTCCTCCTTTGGCTGAAACTGGCTCTCTGGCTGGGGCTTTGCTTTCACTTGTCCCAGGATGTGGATGGAGAAGTCACTGCATCCTGGGACATTACTTCTCGTGGTGTAACTAAATAGAAGGGGTTCTAGCACATCTAGCTCCGGCCACAGCATGGGCCCAGAACACCGGGAAAGGGGTTGTAGTAGGAAGCCCTTTGCCACACCATGGAAAAATCTGGCAGGGAAAGTCAGAGCCCCGTGCTCAGGGGCCCAGCCCTGGCCGCAGCTCACCACATGCTTCCTGATGTGAGGCATCTGATCCGGTTCTAGCCTCATCTGCTGGGGGCCTGAAGGCCAGGGACAGTCCTCCTCAGTCCTCCTTTGAGAGGCTGGCCTATTTCTTGCACTTGTGGGACCAGAGCCACGGTGCCTCCAGCAGGGAGGGCCGAGCCATACGGCCCTGACCGTGCCCCACCACCCAGATACCATCCCAACACCCCTTTGCTGCTGTCCCCAAAGCACAGATGCACAGGCTGCAGGCAGCTTCAGAGAACAAACGTTCAGAAGGTCTCCAGGTGGGTGAGACAGAAGGGGAGATGGGACAATGTCCTTAGACGTTTGATTTTGATTCACACATTGAAGTGCATGGTAGCGCCTCGTGGAAGGTGTAAATCTTCATTGGAGGAAAACGATGAAATAGTGATGACATGAAGTAATGACTTGCTGTTTCGGTGGCTTGCCATGCCTCCCTGATTTTACATGGGGAACTGTGTACTGTTGCTCCCAAATTAATTTTTGGAAAATGAGTTATTGACTGCAGATATAATTTATTACTAATAAGCAAAATATGTTTGTAACGTGGGCCTGATGGGGTGGTTAGCAAAGAAGGAATAAGGAGGAGGAGGAGGAGAGGAGGGAGGAAACTGAGGGAAGGGCGGAGATGAGGGCTGAATCCAGTAGGGCGGGCCTGCGGGACAGCTCAAGACATGCAGTGTGTTCCCGCAATGCCTAAGAGTTCTTAGTTGTACAGTCTGGAGGTAAAAACAACTTGGCAAAGCTGTGCCACTTGTGAATGGTGAAGCCTGGAATTTTTCCCAGATAATTCTTTCTTTTTATTTTCACCTTGGTATTGCCCACGGAGTGCCGGTCATTTGGATGTCTCCCTGCCAGAGGGTCTTTGGAGAGTGGATTGGTCAGAGCTGGCTCTCTTCCAGCAGGGACAAAAGTGAGGCAAGTGGGCAGGTTCTTAGTTCCTGCCAAGGATGGCCCTGGGGGCAGAGGGTTGGGGGGACTGTGGGCACAGGGGCCTGGAGTCAGTGGCCTTGGTCCTTGAGCTGACACTGTCTGCAAGGCTGGGCGACCTCAGGGAGAGCTGGATCCCTTTGTCAGTCTCCTCATCTGGAAAATGGGCACAACAACAGCTCCCATTATTTTTCTTGAAGTTATGGTAATAACAAAAGAGAGGGAGAGATGATGACAAAATGCTGGAAAATCTGCAATGGATTTCATGTTGAATATTTTCTTCTTCTCCAGGTGATCTTTATGTCACTTCTGTTCCTTCTGTATTGCAAAAAACATTCATTTTTGTAAGCTAGAGAAACTTGCTTCTTTTGGTATGACTGGCACAGCGAAATTACGACGGCATCAAAATGCAGCCTAATCAGTGAAGCCTCTATTTCTAGGTGTAAAATATATTTGTAACCTTGCTATTTTGGGTGTCACATCAAGATTCTGATATATTAAAAAGTAACATTTTAAAAGCATTATCTTTGTAAATTAATATTACAAAGTCTTCTTTAAGCTTAAAATTATTTAAATAGCTATATTTATTTAGATAATTACAAAGTGCTTTATTTTATCATTTATTTTAAAAACTACTTAACTATAAAATATAATAATTATTGCCCTACTATGATACTGTGTTTGTCACTGGTAGGAGGACAAATGAGACCATTCAGTTTCCAGATCCTATAGAATTAAAGTGGTTATTCAGAGAAGGTTAGCAGGCCTCACAAATGGCAAAGGCTATATATATTTTACATTTATAAGTGCATTTATCTAAGACATTTACTTTGTGGCAAAAGAATTACTTTACTAGTCATGCTGCGTGCATATAAAAATATCTGTTCATTAAAGTTCTAACAGTGATTCCCTAATGCTTTTAAAATAAAACTCCTATTTTTAAATCATAATTACAGTATACAGGTATCCACTTCCCCTTACTGCTACACTAGACATTATCAGTAAACGTGGTCCACGTTTCTATTTAATGACTCTTGATTTTCCAGACTTCGGCTTCTTTGTCAGAGCCAGGCTGAGAAAGAATGCTTTCCACCTTTGGTTTCCCTGATCTGAAATGCTTGGGACGACAGGTGTTTCAGATTTGGGAACACTTGCTGATACTTACTGAGGTATCCTGGAGCTAGGACCTAAGCCTGAACACAGAATTCACTGATGTTCCCTACGCACCCTATACACATAGCCTGAAAGTAATTTTATGGAGTATTTTTATTAATTTTGTACCTGAAACAAAGTTTTGACTACGATTTTTTTTTTTTTTTTTGAGACAGAGTCTCGCTCTGTCACCCAGGCTGGAGTGCAGTGGTGCAATCTCAGCTCACTGCAACCTCCACCTCCCGGGTTCACGCCATTCTCCTGCCTCGGCCTCCCGAGTAGCTGGGACTACAGGCGCCTGCCACCACGCCTGGCTAATTTTTTTCTATTTTTAGTAGAGACGCGGTTTTACCATGTTAGCCAGGATGGTCTCGATCTCCTGACCTCGTGATCCGTCCGCCTCGGTCTCCCAAAGTGCTGGGATTACAGGCGTGAGCCACTGCGCCCGGCCAAGTTTTGACTGTGTTTTGACTGAGATGAGCCACATGAGGTGAGATGTGAAATTCTCCACTTCTGGGGTCAGCACGGAGAAAGTTTCTGATTTGGGAGCATTTTGGATTATGTGTTTTCAGGTTAGAAGCGCTCAACCTACATCCTAAGAAAGGTAATGGCTTCCCCCTCCCTAGAAACGGTGGGGCAGGGGACAGATTGTGGAGCATTAGCACATGACCTCTGATTTATCATTTAACTGCAGCTACGAAAATCTGTCTGCTCAGACACAACATGAGAAGGGGATGCTGAGGACGTGGAAGCAGCCTGTGAACCGGGCGTTCTCGGCAGCTGGTCTCTGCGGAGCTCACCATCGTTCACATGCATCTCTGTCGAGCTCTGTGGGCTCGGAGCTGAGGAGCAGCCATGTTAAGGAAAGCCAGGCTCACAGGCCCCCTCTGAGGCTTCGCACTCTGTGGCCAGAGGGTGACACAGATGATAGGCATCCTCATGTCACATGAGAGGGAGCTTCCTCCAAGTGACGTAACCTGGGCATCCGTCATGGAGGAGGGGTGTTGAATTTGGAAGCTTTCCCCTGGAGGAACCGCTTTGGCTCAGGCATCAAGAGATCACAGGTGACTAGTGACGGTCATATTGACTCCACCTAGTCCCGTCCTTTCTTGGTCTTTGAGCTGGTCCTTGGGGTCCTCATGTGGGATAGTGGGCTAGGCAGGGCTGGCCTCTCTGTGGTTGGGCTGGTCCCTAGGGTGCCTTGGTGGCACGGGTGGGTTGGCTCATTGTGGAAGTGGAGTTCGGGGAACCTTGACTCCCTCTCAGCACAGCCTCCCCTGCCTGCCTCCCTGAAGCCGCCTGGAGCCTTGGGTCTCTCACTCTTGACACAGCCTATTTCCAGCTGAGCCTGGTACCTTCTTTCTTCTTTCCATGATGCTTGTCCTCCTAAGACCCACTCGGTGTCAGGGACCACCCGCTCGGTATTTCAAGGCTGATGGGAAGCCCGAGCTGTGAGGGCGGTCCTGGTTCCCGGGCCTGGCGCATCTGAGGTCGCATGGACCTCAGCCCCACACCCCTCCTCTTGCTGCAGAGGCCCGCGCTGTCCTCACAGGAAGCGGACACATCTCCCAATCTGTATGAGGCCTCCAGGCCAAGGGGGAAGCTTTCTCCATATTCAGGTTTTCCCCCATGAATGTTCTTAAACCTGATGTAGCTGTTTCTGGTCTGCTAACTGGAGCCAGGGGAGAACAAAATGGTAGCAACTGACTCAAGGGAGAGCTGCAGGGAGAAGCCGGCATTGCCACTTCAAGGGAACATCTGTCTTCATGTTGGAGCCGCTGTGTCACCTGTAAACAGTGAACTTGAACTCTGCCCTGCATCACTGCAGTGCCGGCCCTGCAGGCTCCCTCCTGGGCAGCAAAGCCTCGGCAGCAAGACGCCTGTCCACCAGGCCTGCGCGTGAAACCAGGTGACACTCATGCTGGCTTTCAGCCCATTTGGAAAGCTCCTGTGACCTCTGGGGTCTCCCAGGACAGAACCTCCCTTTGGAGATATGGAATCACGCTGTGCCTGGAGCTGGAGATTGGGTGGGGGAGGGGATCAGGGTAGGGGAAGAGGTCGGGGCAAGTGAGGGGATTGGGGTGGGGACCTCCCTGAAGATCTCCATGCAGCTTTCTTGGCCAGTGGCCAGCAGAGTTGCGCCCACTCCGACGCTCGCTGAAAAGGACAAAGCACTTTCTGATTCCAGGCTCAGCTCTGAAGAGGGGAACTGATGGAGGGGACCAGCCACGGGGACGCCAAGAAAGGCCTATTTGAGAATTAGGAACAAACAGAGTTTCAAAGACCATTTGCTTCCCTGGCCCCTCTGGGAGTGAAGTGACTGTACCAAATCCTTCCACGTCCTCCCGCACCACTCGCTTGGCCAGAGGAGCATCTGGCTTTTCCCTGGACGCACCCCACCCTCTCCTCATGATCTTGTCCTCTTCAAGGAGGACCAGGCCTCCCTGTCCTACACCCCACATCCCTGGGAAATCACTGTCGGGGCTGCCCCAGCCACTATTTCACCCTGGCTGAGCTCAGCTGCTACTTCTGGGCTCCAGGAGGACCCTGCACCCCTCACGATGCTCTTGTTCTCATCACAGTCGTCCCTTTGGGAACACGTGACCTCTGCCCCTCCTTCACATGCTGCCCACTGAGCTCAGCCACGGGGTCCTTGATTGCACGGACTTTGCACCCAGGGCCTGTGCAAGGCCTGGCGGGCAGCCGCCCACGAGGGGCGCTTGTTCCATGGATAAAACGCCCTCTATTCTGCCTCTCCTCGTGCCCCTTCCTTTGAGGGCTGCTCCAGGAAGGCTCAGGTGAGGCAGGTGGATTCTTCCCTTCCTTGGCTGTCTGGGGCCCCAGGGCCTGGGAGGCCTGGGCAGAGCTCCCACACCGGTCTTCACTCCAGGACCCCCTTGGAGGGTGTGTCCCGGGCTGACCTCCCTGCCCAGTGCCCTGAGTCCACTCCCAGGCTGCCAGCCGGTCCGCAGGACCAGCCCTTCTGGTGACCCAAGATGGTGTTTCCATGAGGATTTGCCTTTGCGGACCTTGGCGTACACCCGATTGGCAGTTCATTCGTTGTCCATGACATCCTTCAAATCCGCCTGTACTTCTTATTCCAGAGCCACCAGCCAGTTCTCCCGCCTGGGAATCCTGAGGGCTTCGTGTCTGCAGCATCCATTTTCCTGCCCTTTCAGAGTCTTCCAGACAAAGGAGCTACAGAGCTATAGTAAGACCTCTGTGGTCATATGGCAAACCATCTGCCCGTGGACCCCTGCTCATATGGCAAGCTGTCTGCCCACAGACCCCACAGAGACCTGGCACAGGAGCCAGGTGGAGGGCAGTCACCACCTCGGCCCTCTGTCGTAGCTTCCCAACTCTGGGTCCATCCCAGGGGCTCCCACAGCCTCCCGTCTCCTGCACCCTTTGCATAAAACATCTTTTGGATAAAACAACCTTTGCAGCCTCTTAGGAAGGATGAGGTCCGCCGTGCTGAGCCTCCAAGACCAGGTGACCTCAGCAAGGTGGCTGCGGACATGCTGCCTTTCCAGGAAGTGGCAGTCAGAGATGCCAGGGTGGCCCCATGACCCCAGGCCAGGATGTGCCCTGCCAAGGGAAGGCCATGGAAGGCGGCGTTTACCTCCACGTCCCCAGGGCTGCACTGGAGCTACTTAAGAGAAGCATTTTTAAATAAAAGTTCAGCCTGTTACAAAATTCCCTAATGTGAGATACAGGCTGGAATGAGGCAATTCCACAGAGAAATCATTGTGGGAATAATTCACATCTAATGTAGTTTCATGAAGGATGCTATTTCCAGAGTCTAACTTTTTCTCCCTTTTTCTCTCACTTTTTGATTTTATTGCTGTTTTTTTTTTTTTTTACATTAGGAGAAATTGAAAACCTGTTTAGGTTTCATAGCTTCACATTTCTGAAGCAAGTGACACAGCAGAGAGTTGGGATGCATCTGATTTGTGCCTCACAATGAGGCGTGCACGTCACTGGTTAATTATGTGGCGTTCCATAAAGGAGAGCTGTTGGGATAAAAGGATGAATTGCGAGCATTAACCTTCTTTTTCCCTTTTTAAGGGGACCACTTGTCAGTCACAACGGCAGTAAAGCCAGGTGTAATGAAATTGGATTTTGGGAGAGGCTGCCATTGAGTTGATGCCATGGGCCGCTTGGTCTGGGAGAGGCTGGATTCTCAGTGCAGCCCCAGAAAGAGCCGGGTGGCAGGGGTTGAGGGCATGACAGGTCCAGGGACAGGGGCCTTAGACCAGATCCAGCTGCAGAGCACGTGAGCCCTGACCCCATGGTCAAGACCCTGGACTTCAAGCAGAAAGGCCACTGGGCTTGTGGTCAGAGATGGTGTGAACCTCCATCAAGGATCCCTTCCTCTGCCTGTTCATAAAACCGAGAGGTGGGCTCTTCTCTCCAGCCAACCTGTTCTGCCTGGGGCCAGGCTGTGAAGGGGCTGAGGGACAAGTCCACTGCCATCGGGGCCTCTCCCTGAAGGGAGTCTTCTGCCCCAAGAAACATTCTTCCCTTACCCGCAGGCTCATTGGTTTATTTTAGCCTCTAGTGGAAGGACACTGGACAGATGTCCTTTGATTTGAGGACACACACCTTTGGATCTGAGCTGGCTCCGTGCCCCACTGGAGCCCACACAGTGACTGTGGCCACCGCTGCTGGGAAGCCAGGACCCACCATCACGGACAGTTTCTCCACTGTACATGGGAAATGGCTTTGACAGGTGCTTTCTGGCATTTGGGGTGGATGGACTCATCCTCATCCCCATTTTCAAGCTGTGCATATGGAGGCCATGTAGATGCGGGGGCAGGGTGGGGGGGCAGGTGCCAGTTTCCTGAGCCTGCTTGTGGTGGGGCCATCGGGCCAGCCCACTTGCTGGTTTGTGACCTGTCTCAGTCTGTTCCCGCTCCTCTATACTCTTAGACTAGACAATTTATAGAGATGAGAAATGCTTTTCTTACAGGTCTGGAGAATGGAAAGTCCAGGACCAAGGCATCAGCAGATCTGGTGCCTGATGAGAGCTGCCAAGACCCTAGCTAGGCCCAGGCCCAGTGCTAAGCCACCAGGCTTCCAAGATGGCGCCTCCTTGCTGTGTCCTCCCATGGCAGGAGGGAGCAAGGGCTAAGAGGGCCTAGCTGGTTCCCTTCGGGCCTTCCATGAGGTCGCTCATTCCATCCATGAGGGCTCTGCTCTCATCACTTCACATCTCCTAAAGGTTTCACCTCTTCATATCGTCCTATTGGGGCTTAGCTTCCTACTTTGGGGTTTTGTGGGGACTCACGTATTCATGCCCTAGTGTGACCTAATGTGACATCACGCCTCTCCCCTCCCAGCTGGGTTGCGGTGGAGACAGCCAGCTGTCCCCTTAAGATGCCCACCCCCCACTTGGAGGAGGTCTGAAGTGGAAAGTGGCTAGGGAGGCTGCCATCACATTTCCCAGGCTGCCCCCAGGGCTAGCGCTCGCCGGCGGGATGTGAGCAGAAGCAGCAGTTAGGAGAGTGCCTTCCCCACCTCCCGGCCCCTACTGGCCTCTGGATTCCAACCTCTCTGAAACTCGGTATGGCAGGGCCACAAACCAGAAGCAGATGTGTCCCTGAATCGTTTGCGGTGACCCACATTCATCCTCATGGGAGAGACGCACCATCTTCGAATGTGAACGGTTGACATGACGGGGGCGTTTTCCCATGAGGCTGAGAAGTCCTGTGCATGCATTCCCTTAAAATAGAGACGTGAGCACCTGTGATTGGGGCCAGCTTGGATGTTCTACCAGAGGCAGTTTGCTGTCTGGTCAAAGAGGTCTTAGGGTGCTTTTTTGTCATCAGCCTCATTAAACAGTGAGCTGATCTTAAGTGACGAGACCATGAAGGTCACCACTGTGACATACTGGAAGTCTTTTTTTTTTTGAGACGGAGTCTCACTCTGTCACCCATGCGAGAGTGCAGTGGGACGTACTGGAAGTCTTAAGTGAGGTCATCTACCACCCAGCTGTGCTCTGTAACCCAGAGAGCGCAGCTCGGAGGGCTGAAGACAGGTATACGCATATCCATGAACACTGTCACTACTCCTGAGAAGGCGTCACTGCTGTCATTGAAAAGCTTTGAGGGCTGTTGTCTATGGTTCTTGAATTTGTAAGTGGAATTCCTGGCAGCTGTGTGATAAATCAAGCACATCGGTGTCGGCGTGACCTTTGACTTCTGTCCCCACAATCTGTGAACCAGAATAAACCTCTTCACTCAAACTTCCACTTAGGATGGCACCTGGTTAATATGAATCATGAAGCAATCAAAACTGAGGTGTACGTTTCCACAGACGGCAGACTTAATTATTTAAGTGTTTCTTTTTTCTAAATAAACTGTAAAAAATGAACATATTTTATTTTAAAAATGGAAACAATTTAGAAGCTTATAGAATCAAGCTCCTCCCAACCCTATTCTTCTCATATTGGAAACTTCTATTGATAATCAGATAATCAGAATATTTCCAGTGTATTCCATGCAAGCCTATGGATTCCTGAAAATGTGGAGAGGATGTTATTGACTTGAATTCCGCTACGTTACTGTTTTACTTAGCAGTGTACCTTAAAGACCAAAATGTAGTGAACTTGAAAAAATCTGTTTTTTATTTTTATTTTTTTTTGGAGATGGAGTCTTGCTCTGTCACCCAGGCTGGAGTGCAGTGGCATGATCTTGTCTTACTGCAACCTCCGCCTCCCAGGTTCAAGGGATTCTCCTGCCTCAGTCTCCCTGTATCTGGGATTACAGGCACTCGCCACCACGCCTGGCTCATTTTTGTATTTTTAGTGGTAATGGGGTTTCACCATGTTGCGCAGACTGGTCTCGGACTCCTGACCTCAGGTGATCCGCCCTCCTCGGCCTCCCAAAGTGTTGGGATTACAGGCATGAACCACCGCGCCCGGCGAAAAAGTTCCGGCCTTACCAGCTTTTGTGGTACCCCACGGTGCAGACATGCGCATACCTACTTGCTTTGGGGGCATCAGTCTGTTTCTAACGTGGGCTGTTACAATCAGTTGAGCGTGTACGTTCTCTGTGCTCCTTCATGTGGTCGGGAGGCTCACGTGCAGCTGGTGATCATGCAGTTTGGTACAACGCTTCTGGAAAGAAATGGATTAATATAAATCGAGACTCTTAATTAGTTTGTCTGTTTAACCCAGCAGTTCTGTCCATGGGACCTTTCCTAAGGAGCAGTCATCGGAAACGCATTACAGGATCTGGAGAGAACCAGCCCCCGTGACCCCCACGTGGCCCTGGGACTTGTTAGAGCTTTCTAGCATCTTTCATTGGCTCTTTCCTCGTCTCTGAGGAAGGTCGATGGATGCGCCTTCAGCACAGCGTGGTGGTGGACGTGGGGTAAAAGAGCAGCCATGTTTAGCAAAGCCGGCAGCTCTGAAAAACTCACTCACAGCTGAGCATTTAGAAGGTCATTACAGTCCCGCAGAGAAGGACGCATGAGGACATCCCACAGAATGCAGTGTAAAATTCGGAGATTAAATATAAAAAAGAAGTCCAAATGCCCAACAGCAGCAGCAGAGCAAATTGCAGTCCATGTTTTGTAGAAATATTTGGCAGCCATTGATTTATTTTATTTTTATATATTTTTTTATTTGCAGCCATTTAAATCATGCTTATTAAGAGCTTCTAAGATTGTGGCGTTTGTTAAAATAGTAAGTAAAGCAACAATTCTACATTGGCAGTGACGGGTCCATAATGAATGAATGAAACTGAAGTACTGGGACCCTCCTTTTTGGCGCCTTACGAGACCCCGGGGAACTCTTGGCGCTGTGCTCCCACGATCACGTGTCTGTGTAAAATCTGCGGATGTTCGATGGCCTCAGGAAGGCTGCTGTCTGTTCCCAGCGTGACCCTCTCTGTCGCTGTCCCTGCCTTGTGGGTGGTGGTGGAGTGTTTGTAGGTGTGGCAGGACCCAGCTGGGGGAAGGGAGGTGCTTCATTTAGTTTGAGTTTAGTGGGATGTGTTTTGGGGGCTCACTTTCCAGGGAGGCAAAGCCAGCTATGCGGGTGGTGGGCCTGACTCTCAGGAATTCTTTCACCTCTTGTGATGGTTCCAATGTGTCCCCTCCACGTTTCATGTGTTGAAACTTAGTTGCCAGTGTGATGGTGTCAAGAGGCACGGCCTTTAACAGGTCATGAGACCACAAAAGCTGCCCTCCACGTCCAAGATGGCGCCGTGATTCTGTATCCGCCCGAGGGGAGGGAGGCTGTGTCCTCACAGCACTGGCAGGAGGGGGAAAGGCAAGTGGGAGATAACCGTGCGAGAAGCCTCTTTTATAAGGGCCTCCATCCCCTTTGCCAGGGAGGATCCCTTGTGATCTAAGCGACTCCTAAAGGCCCCACCTCTTAATGTGTTCACATGACCATTAAGTTTTAACTTCTAAATTTTAGAGGGGACATATTCAATTATATTATTCTACTCTGACCCTCAAAACTTGAGTCCTTCCCACACGCAAAATACATTCATTCCATTTCAGTAATTCCAAACGTTTTAACTTGTTCTAGCATCAACTCAAAAGCGCAGAGTCTTTTAAACATCATATGAGTGAGACCCAAAGTGTGATTTATTCCGAGGAAAATTTCCCTCCAGCTGTGAGCCTGCGAAATCAAGCAAGTCATCCGATTCCAAAATACAATGGTGGAACACACATAGGATAAACATCCTGATTCCAAAAAGGAGACATAGGCAAGAAGGAAAGAGTAGCTGATCCAAAGTAATTTCAATACCCAACAATGCAAATGGCATTACATCTCGAGGTTTGAGAATCACCTTCTTTGACTCCATGTTCCAGACACAGGAGCAGGGGTTGGGCCCTCCACACTCCTTGGGGTGGAGTGGCCAGGAACTTGCATCAGACAACAGAGCTGCCAGTGCCTTGGCCTTGGACTTCTGTCCTCTGTTCTTCATAAAATACCCAGCCTCAGCTCGTTTGTCTAGCAGCACAAACGAGACTAAGGCAGAAACTGGTGCTGAGAAGTGGGCTATTGCCATAAAATATACCCAACATGTGAATGCAGCTTTAGAACCAGGAATGGGGCAGAGGCTGGAATCGTTTCAGAGTGAATGCTGGGAAAAGCCTGCATTGCCATGAACAGAGCATTAAGGACGATCCTGGTGAGAGCTCAGAGGAGGGGAGAGCTGTCGGGAAAAGTAGTGATATAGATGGGAAGGGCCATTCAGAGGAGGCTTCAGATGGAAAGGAGGAATGTTGACCTAAAGGGAGAAGCTGAGACACAGCAGGTAATTTTACAGCCTTTGCTAGAGCCAGAGTGAGGGCAGCCGCCGGGACACACTTCTAGGTTGCATAGGGGAGTGCTCCGAGTAGGTGTTTAAAGGCGAAAGAGAACGAGGGGTGGCTGCTACAAAGCTGTCGGGTGGGATTTCCCACTGTTTACAGGAGGGGCACTGTTTAGTGATTGGCTGTGCACTGCTGAACACAGGGTGTGATGATGGTGCCTGGTATGTGGCCCTTTATGACTGCTTGTTGTCAGTTGAGACCCCACAGAGCAGGTGGCTTCAAGAAGTAATTATTTAGCTCAAGGGGGTGTGACGTGACTGCTGTCATAGTTTTAATGCCCATTTAACAGGCCTGTTACTTTAAAGGGGCTTGCATTCCTCAGATAAAAAGTTTATTTTCTTTCTCAGCAACAAGGTATTGGAAACTGAGGGAAGGGTACCCTTGTTATAATGTGGCCAAGAACTGGGTGAGCTGTGTCTGTGTCCTGGGACTTGGTGAAGGCAGAGCTTTGCGAGCAGTGAACTAGGACATTTGTCAGGAATCTCTAAGCAGCAAGGGGTTCAGGATGCTTCTTTTGACCTTATAGTAAAATGTGAAAAGAGGGAAACAAGTTAAAAATGGAATTTACAATCAAAAGAGAAGCAGAGCTTAAAGTTGGAACATCCTCTGTCTGGCCAGGTACAGAATGAGAAGGGGGTTGGGGAGAGAGCACCAAGGGTAGCCAAGGCACCCTTTGATCAAAGGGTGAGTACAGATAGGCCACGGCCAGATGCTGTTCACCAGACAACGGGAGCAGGAGCCTGCAGGCATTTCAGAGAGCCTGGGGCTGCCAAGTCCTTCACAGGCCCAGAGAGCCAGGCCCTTGAGGGTGGAAGGGCTCAGGGAGGGGCCCAGGGTGCCCATGAGATCTTGGGGCTCACTGCGCAGGGCTGCCTCAAGTTTCCATTCCCCTCATTCTGACCCAGCACTCATCAGCCGCCCCAGCTGTGGCTCAAGTGGGCCAGGTGAGAGGCTGGACCTGCTGCCCCAGAAGGTACCAGCTGTGACCTTGGTGTTGTCCACGTGGCGCTGCCTCTGCAGGTGCACGGGGTGCATGAGCTGAGCAGGCACAAGCTTCTTCCACCCCAGATGCAAAAGAAGCCTCAGAGAGGCTCGGGGCCCCATCTGCCAGGGGTGGTGTCTTCACAGACAGCCCTTGCTAGAGTAATGCCTAGTGGATACATGAGAGCAGGGCTCCCCACAAAGACCCGTAGAGTCACCAGCATGCAGCATCAGCCTGGGAGGGCCACAGGCCTAAGACTGCCACCTGGGAGAGCAGCTGTGGGGCCGCTCCAGCACCGCTGCATGGGAGGGGGCAGCCAGGAACCTGCCTTGGATGGTGGAACTGGAGGAGCCTTGCCCTGGCTTCCCAGCCTCCGGACGGTGAGGAACACACTTCTGCTCTTTATAAATTACTCAGCCGGTGGTGTTTTGCTATGGCAGTGCGGCATGGGCAGAGACACCTCTTGTCATAAAAGGAAGGCGTGGGCCAGACGCTCTGTCTTGAGGGACACTTCCCGTGAGTCCTGGCCCTCAGGAGCAGGTGGGCAATGGGTCACCAGGGGACCTGGTTTGAAGCGTGAAGAGCCAGAAGCCAGTCTGGGAAATTCCTCCCAAGTTGGATGTGTAATTTCTCAACAGCTAGTCACTTTTGAGTTCTTTTCTATCAGAATAGACTTGATGATGCCACGTACATAGTGATAAACACACCACACCTGTGTCATTTCCCATGATAATCCCACAAAATAGAACATACCAGGATGCCCAGACCATTGGGCAGAGACACAGCAGCGCTGCACCCATGGGCATGTCGCCACAGGTGAGAACCTCCTCAGGTGCAGCAATTATGAAGAATTTTTGTAAAAAACAGCAATTCTGAGCATAGATGCTACAGGAAAATTTGAATTAAATATCTATTCTACTATAGAAAATGATGTTACAAAATTGTTTTGTATGCAGAGATGTTTGACAAGGACACAGCCCCAAAATGTAAGAGCAAAAATAATTCAAAACATAACAGGAATTTGGTCTAAAGATTATGCCAATTTCCTCGATTATGTGATGTTTGCAGTTGTTTAAACTTTTTTGTATTTGGGATGTGTTGTGATTTTTTGCTCATTCAAGGTAAAGATACACATTTGTATTTAATTTTGCTTTTGTATTTTATGCTATTTTTCTAAAAGAGGGCTCCTCACCTCAGGTCGGCTCTGGCTGGTGTGTCCTGCTATCTGCATGCACGTGTTCAATTTTGGGCCATCTCCCTGGGTAGACCTGCTTGTTGGTGAAGACTGGGATATAATGAAAAATTCCCCAGGGATGACTGCAGTTGCCTTCTGATGCTCGATCATGGCTAATTTCTTGCATTTTGTGTTTTGTACCTTTGTACACTTTGTGAAGTTTGCGTCAGAAAAAAAAATGGAGGAGAAAGGCCAGGTGTGGTGGCTCATGCCTGTAATCCCAGCACTTTGGGAGGCCGAGGCAGGAGGATCACCAGGTCAGGATATCGAGACCATCCTGGCTAACATGGTGAAACCCCATCTCTACTAGAAAAAATACAAAATAATTAGCCGGGCATGGTGGCGGGCGCCTGTAGTCCCAGCTACTCGGGAGGCTGAGGCAGGAGAATGGTGTGAACCTGGGAGGCGGAGCTTGCACTGAGCCGAGATCTTGCCATTGCACTGCAGCCTGGCAGTGCAACAGAGTGAGACTCCATCTCAAAAAAAAAATGGAGGAGAGAAGGAAACTATTTGGCCCTATTTAAGAAGAGAAAACTGAGCAGGGTCCCAGATGAAAGCTGCAACAAAACTTCTGGTCCCTGGCACTGACAGACCACACAGGGAGTGTCTTGTAGAGGAAGGGCAGGGTGAGGGGGGCATGGACTCCCCAGCCTCTTCCTCTCCTTCTGATTCCCTGGAGCCCACTCTTCCCTTGCAAAGGACCTGATCCCCAGGTCCCTTGTTCTGCCTTTCATTTTAGGGGGCAAGTCAGGGGCCCTCCCTAAGTACCCCATTCTCTGATTCTCCTTCTTCTCTTAGTAGAGCTGAGATCAACAATGCAAATACGGTATCAATTTGTACTAAGAAGTGAATGGCAGCTAGCGCATGATGACAGCAGAGGTCAATGCTACTTTTTTGGTAGAATGTTTATTCCTTGTAGGGAATTGCTTGGTGGTGGTGTTCCAGCCAGTCAGGCCGAGTCACGGGAGTCTGTTAAGGCAGCAAGAAAGCGGAGACTCTGGGCCGCAGCCCCAGGTGTGCCAAGGTGGCCTCCGAGCTCCAGGGCTCCTCCTGCCCTCTCCTCTACGTCTTTCCCCATGAAAGTCCAGGCACTGATCATAGAGTTTTCAGGACAGTGGAGACTGAACATGCAGTGGTAGAGACTGGAGGAGGAGAGGAGCACCTGCACATCGAGGTTGTCCTCAGAACATGCTCAGGCCTTGGCTGTGAGTGTCAGCGTGGCTGAGCTGGCATCCCTTGGCCTGGGGTATCCTGGCATCCTGAATCCTCTTTCTCTTGGAAGGAACCAACACGCCCACCACCTTCCCTGCAAATGCACAGGGTCACTGAGCGACGCGGCTGTGTATGTGCCTGTGTCTCCGGTTCAAGCAGGGACAGTGATCATTGAACTCTTCAAGAAGTGGTGGATGGAGGATATTTCACAGAGGGTGCCATGCCGATAAAGTAAATCTCACCTCCAGTGGCGGAAGTCCGATCTCATCTGTGTGTGACAGGTGTCTGAACATTTTATCAAAGCCAAGATCCGTTAATTTTTATTTCTCTTATTTTGTCTCCTGCAACGGGAGTACCATGAATACTGGGCCCTAAAGGAACTGACATTCAGTGGGGCTGCTGGCAATGGGGGTACTCACTGCTGTTCAGCTGGCTGACCAGCCAGTGTGTGTCACTCACAGATTTTCTGCGTGTCCACTCAGTGCCAGCCCCGCTGCCCAGTTCTGGGGACCAGCTTCCCGCATCCTGTGTTCTCCAAGGAGCTCCAGGCCAGTGGGGACAGGGTGCAGGGGCTGTGCTTGCCTCGCCTTGTGTGGATGGAGCCAGGAGAGCCGCGCCCCGCAGGCCGAGCGTGGTCTCCACCCAGAAGTGCCCAGAAGGCCTTGCGGAAGACAAGATGCTTGAGCATGGCCGGCCATGGCAGGGGCGTCCCCCAGAAGATAAAAGGGTGTGGGAAGGGTGGTGGGACACAGCAGGCCGAGGGAAGGACCACCTCAAGCAGCACATGTGCCAGGACCACAGCCCTGAGCGTGCAGGGAGCCTGGGCCCAGCGGAGAGGTCCTGTGCGATCGGGCTGGAGAAAGAGGCCTCCCATCCTGCCTTGGTCCTTGGACCCCTCTCATAGAAAGCTCTCGGGGTACAGGGGAGGGGGATTGGGAAGAGCAGCAAGGAGAACATCTTCCCTGGAGATAAGCTGGCCTGCTGTGGCCTGCTGTGGATAGCCGTCAGCCTTGAAAAGCGGAGATTTCCTCCTTTTTGGTTTCCGTCTGGTGCCACAGTCGTGTTCTGGTTTTGCAGGGCCCCGAGCCTCTCAGATGGGGAAACCAAGTAAGCGAGGCCTTTCTGCCCCTGTGTCTGTTGTCTCTGGGTTGAGATGTGCACAGGTGCAAAAGGAAGACAGCCACACCCACCGGCCAGGTATGGGCAGATAAAAGCTGTGATCAGGCTTCACATACACGGTTTCAGCTTCCTGGATGTGCCTGCTAAGATGATCTCATGTCATGCTCCATTTCTTATCAAAGTATGAGAAATAAAAATATTCACCTGCTTCCCATTTCACGTCTGTTCCTCGTGCTTATAAGATCCAAGCATGCTGGGACCTGGAACAGCCTGGGCCAGGAGGGAAGGAAGGAGTCCATGGGCACTAAAAGGGTCTGGCCACAACCAGTGACCTCAGCAAATGGAACAGTGAAAACTTTGATGGGCTGGATTTAGTGGCACATGTGTATCAGCAGCCAAATCTTACCAGCAGTATTTATTGCTCCTTGATCTTAAAATAGCATGTGTGTATATACAGGCAAAAACATATGATCAGTATGTAAATATGTGCATATGTTTCCGGGACTCAGATATCCGTAGGCACAGAGTTTATGATGAAGAAGATATTGCAAATCAACAGGCGAAATGGATTATTCGGCTGATGCTGTTGAGAAAACAGGGCAGCCGCCTGGTGAAATACACATCTCGCCCCTTCTCCTGGATAAATTCCACGTGCAAACAAGACCACCGTGCAAAAAATGAAACCATAAAACTTCCAGAGGAAATCATGAGAGAATTAGTATATAATTTTGGAGTGAGGAAATTTCTCAATATAACAGAAAACCTGGAAGCTCCACTAGAAAATAATGGAGAATTTGACCACCTAACAATAAAAATTTGAGGCATGGAAACTGTGATCACAAGCAAAGTCAAAAGGAGAACAGCATGTCACAAACCTTATCTTAGACAAAAGGGCCCTCTAATTCTATAACCCAAACAAACCCACAGTCCAAAAGGACTAGGCACTAGGCATGAATAGGCAGCTTCCAGAAGAGGAATTCGGGTGCCTTTTTTAATCCCTGGAAAGGTGCTGAAGGCAATGGTGGGGATATCACCTGTCTCCCTTCGTCAGCGTGTAAGTTCCTCGGGGCAGCGAGTGACATCTGTTTGTTCCCTCACTCACTCTGCACCGCCAAGAACAGTGCCTGGCACATGGTAGCTTCCCAATGTTTGTTGAATGGAGCAACAAAAAGCAAAGCGAACCTTTATGAAGACACGCATTCCCACTGCTTTGGCACGGGTCAAAGCTCCATGCCGTGTGGTGTGGCCGGAGTGCCGGAAGCCTAGGCACGCCGCTGGGGGTTGGAGGTGTGGCTATTAATCAGCACAGTGCGTGAGATGGCCAATGCGGCAACATTATCAGAATCTCAAAGGTGTGTGTCCTAGATCCAGCCACTCCCCTTCTGGGGTTTTATCTTCATAATCCCCCTGTGGGGGCTCAGTGAGGGGTACACAGGGCTGTGCTTTCCAGCAAGACTCATAAGCACATTTTTAATAAAATTAGAAAAAAAATTCTAAAATTCACATGGAATCAAAGAAGAGCCCAAATAGACAAAGCAATCTGAAACAAAAGGAAAAAGCTAGAGGCATCACATTACCTGACTTCAAATTACATGACAAGGATATAGTAACCAAAACAGCATGGTACTGGTACAAAAATAGACCCATAGATGGATGGAACAGAGTACAGAAGCCAGAAATAAGGCCAGATATTTACAGCCAACTGATCTCTGATGAAACTGACAAGACATTGGAGAAAGGACACCCTTTTCCATAAATGGTGCTGGGAACATTGGCTAGCCATGAGCAGACAAGTGAAACTGGACCCTTATCTCTCACAATATACAAAAGTCAGCTCAAGAAGGATAAAAGACTTAAACATAACACATGAAACTATAAAAATACTATAAGAAAACCTGGGGAAAACTCTTCCGGACATTGGTCTAAGCAAATAATTTCTGACTTGCATAGGCAAGAAAAAAGTAGGCAAATGGAACTTAATTAAACTAAAAAGCTTCTGCATAACAAAAGAAATTGTCAACGTAGTGAACAGACAACCTGGAGAATAGGGGAAAGTATTCGCAAATGATTAATCTGGTAGGGAACTAATATTTAGGACATACAAAGAACTCAAAAAAACTCAACAACAACAACAACAATAAATTTCATTAAAAAGTGTGTAAATGCCATGCGTAGATATTTTTCAAAAGGAGACATATAAAAAACCAACAGACATATGACAAATACTTAACATCACTTGTCATCAGAGAAATTCAAATGTAGACCACAATGAGATGTCATCTTACCCTAGTCAAAATAACTATTATTTATTTATTTATTTATTTATCATTTTATTTCAATAGCTTCTGGAGTACAAGTGGCTTTTGTTATATGGATGAATTATATCTTGGTGAATTTGGAGATTTTAGTCCACCTGTCACCCAAGTGGTATATGTCATACCTAATGTGTAGTTTTTTTGTCCCTCAGCTCCTCACACTCTCCCTGTTTCTTAGTCTCCAGTGTCTATTTTGCCACTCTGTATGCTTTCGCATACTCATAGCTTAGCTCCCACTTATAAGTGAGAACATACAGTTTTTGGTTTTCCACTCCTGTGTTACTACTTCACTTAGAATAATGGACTCCAGCTCCATCCAAATTGCTGCAAAAAAGACATTATGTCATTCCTTTTCATGGCTGAGTGGTATTCCATGGTGTAGATATACCACATTTTCTTTATCTACTCATTAGTTGCTGGGCGTTTAGGTTGCAGTTGTGAATTGTGCTGTTATAAACATGTGTGCAGGTGTCATTTTCATATAATGACTTATTTTCCTTTGGGTAGACCCCCAGTAGTGGGATTGCTGGATCAAATGGTAGATCTACTTTTAACTCTTTAAGGAATCTGGGAATCTCCATACTGTTTCCATCAGGGTTGTTCCAATTTCCCTTTCCACCAGCAGTGTAAAAGGAGTCCCTTTTCCTCATATCTATCGTTTTCTGACTTTTTAATAATGGCCGTTCTTACAGGAGTAAGATGTTATCTCATTGTGGTTTTAATTTGCAGTTGTCTGATGATTAACTATGTTAAGCATTTTTTCATGGTTGTTGTCCATTTGTATATCTTCTTTTGAGAAATGTCTGTTCATGTTTTTTGCCCACCTTTTAATGGAATTTTTTGTTTTTTCCTTGGTGGTTTGAGTTCCTCATAGATTCTGGATACTAGTCCTTTGTTGGATACATAGTTTGCAAATATTTTCTCCCATTCTGTGGGTTGTCAGTTTACTCTGCTGATTATTTCTTTTGCTATGCAGAAGCTTTTTTAGTTTAATAAGGTCGCATTTATTTATTTTTGGTTTTGTTGCATTTGCTTTTAGGGTCTTAGTCAGGAATTGTTTGCCTAGGTCAATGTCTAGAAAAGTTTTTCCAGTGTTGTCTTCTAGAAGTTTTATAGTTTCAGGTCTTTTTCTTTTTTTCTTTTTTTTTTTTTTTTTTTTTTTTTGAGACGGAGTCTTGCTCTGTCCCCCAGGCTGGAGTGCAGTGGCGCGATCTCAGCTCACTGCAAGCTCTGCCTCCAGGGTTCACGCTATTCTCCTGCCTCAGCCTCCCGAGTAGCTGGGACTACAAGTTTCAGGTCTTATATTTAAGTCTGTGATCCATCTTGAGTTGGTTTTTGTTATGTGGTGAGAAATGGGATCCAGTTTCATTCTTCTACATGTGGCTTGCCAGTCTTCCCAGCACCTTTGCAATTTATGCTTTGTTGAAGATCAGTTGGCTGTATGTATTTGGCTTTATTTCTGAGTTGTCTATTCTGTTCCATTGGTCTATGTGCCTACTTTTACTAGTACCATGCTGTTTTGGTGACTATAGTCTTGTATTATAGTATAATTTGAGGTCCAGTAATGTGATGCCTCCAGATTTGTTTGTTTTGCTTAGGATTGCTTTGGGTATTTGGGCTCTTTTTTGGTTCCATATGAATTTTAGAATTGTTTTTTCTAATTCTGTGACACATGATGTTGGTATTTTGATGGTAACTGCGTTGAATCTGCAGATTGCTTTTGGCAGTATGGTCATTTTCATAATACTGATTCTTCCAATCCATGAGCATGGGATGTGTTTTCATTAGTTTGAGTCATCTATGATTTCTTTCAGCAGTGTTTTGTAGTTCTCCTTGTAGAGATTTTTCACCTCCTGGATGAAGTATATTCCTAGGGTTTTTTGTTTGTTTGTTTGTTTTTGTTTTGCAGCTGTTGTGAAAAATACTGAGTTTTTATTTTATTCTTGCATGGTCTTTGTTCGTGTCTAGCAGTGCTACTGATTTGTGTACATTGATTTTACAACCTGAGACTTTACTGAATTCATTTATCAAATCTAAGGGTCTTTTGGAGGAGTCTTTAGAATTTTCTAGGTATACGATCATATCATCTGCAAACAGCGATAGTTTAACTTCCTCTTTTCCAATTTGGATGCCTTTTATTTCTTTCTCGGGTTTAATTTCTCTGGTTAGTACTTCCGGAACTTTGTTGAATAAGAGTGGCAAAACTAGGCATCCTTATCTTGTTCTTGTTCTCAGGGAGAATGCTTTCAGCCTTTCCCTATTCAGTATGATTTTGGTTGTGGGTCTGTCACATATGGCTTTTATTATTTTGAAGTAGGTCCCTTCTATGCCTAGTTTGTTGGGAGTTTTTATCATAAAGAGGTGCTGGATTTTGTTGAATACTTTTTCTGCATCTATTGAAATGACTTGCGTGTGTTAAACCAACCCTGCCTCCCTGAAATAAAACCCACTTGATCATGAGGAATTATATTTTTGATGTGCTGTTGGATTGGTTAGCTAGTGTTTTCTTAAGGATTTTTGCATCTGTGTTAATCAGGGAAATTGGTCTGCAGTTTTCTTTTTTGTTATATCCTTTCCTTTTTTGGTAAAAGGGTGATACTAGCTTCATAGAATGATTTAGGGAGGCCTCCTTGTTTCTTAATCTTTTGGAACAGTTTCAGTAGGATTGGTACCAATTCTTTGAATGTCTGGTAGAATGCAGCTGTGAATCCATCTAGTCCTGGGCTTTCTTTGTGTGGCAATTTTAAAATTACTGATTCTATCTCACTGCTTGTTTTTTGGTGTGCTCAGCGTTTCTATTTCCTCCTGATTTATTCTAAGAGGGTTGTATGTTTCCAGAAATTTGTCCATTTCCTGTAGGTTTTCTAGTTGGCGCATATAGAGATGTTTATAGGAGTCTCAAATGATCTTTTTTATTTCTCTGGTGTCAGCTGTAATGTCTCCGGCTTCATTGTTAATTAAACTTATTTGGATCTTCTCTCTTCTTTTCTTGGTTAATCAAGCTAATGATCTATTAATTTTGTTTATTTTTTCAAATAACCAGGTTTTTGTTTCATTGGTCTTTTGTATTTTTTTGTTTGAATTTAATGTAGTTCTGCTCTGATCTTTGTTATTCCTTTTCTTCTTCTAGCCTTAGGTTTAGTTTGTTCTTGTTTCGGAGTGGCTATTATTAAAAAGATAAAAAATAGCAGATGTTGGTGAGGATTCAGAAAAAAGGAACTCTTGTATGCTGTTGGTGGGAATGTAAATTAGTACAACCTCTATGAAAATCAGCATGGAGATTTCTCAAAGAACTAAAAAGAGAACTATCATGCCATCCAGTAATCCCACTACTGGACATTTACTCAAAGGAAATGAAATCAATATACCAAAAAGATACCTGCACTCCTGTTTATCACAGCACTACTCACAATAACAAAGATATGGAATCAACCTAAGTGTCCATTAATGGAAGATACGATAAAGGAAATGTGGTATATATAGATTACATGGAATACTATTCAGCCATAAAAAATAATAAAATCATGTCTTTCAAAGCAACATTGATGGAACTGGAGGTCATCAAGTTAAGTAAAATGAGCCAGACACTGCGGGTCAGATACCACATGTTCTCACTCAATGTGGAAGCTAAATGATGTGTACACATGGACATAGAGAGGGGAATGGTGGACAGTGGGGACTTGGAGGTGAGGCAGTGGGGAGGGATGGATAATTGGAAGTTATGTAATGGGCACACTGTGTGTTATTTGGGTGACGGATACACTAACAGCCATGACTTGACCATTACCCTATCTATGCATGTCATAAAATTGCACTTGTGCCCTATAAATTTATAAAAATAAAAAAGGAAAAATAATAAATGGCAAATCTAAGCAGACTTTCTTTTACAACAATCTGTAACTTCTAGAAAAACCTACATGTCCTTTCCTATGGGGTGGGTTTAATGAATGCTAATCTATCCACACAGTGAATATTGTGAGCCATTAAAAATTAGGATGCTGCTTTATTTGCCTGTATCTCAAAGATATATTACTAGATTTTTTTAAAGGTGCAAAGAAAGTATATACTATGGTTCATTTGTGTACAGAAAAAGGGATAGAAAAGATATACACTCATATTTGCCTGAAAATGCGTAAAATAACTAAGGAAACTCGCATAAGAAAGTGGTGACATTTATTACTTTCCGTGACAGTTGTGTGGCCAGATTTAGGAGCGGAGGCAGACATTTCACATTATATCCATCTGTACCTTTTGAAATTTGAATCATGTGAATATAGTGAATATATGGTCTATTCAGAATTAAATTGGTTTTAAAAGAAAAGTGCAAAGTCATGGCCCATGTGTAGATACAATTTACACATGCGAAAAATATCCCAAGTCAGTATTACTGAAGAATTTGTACAAAACATCTTTAAATTTTCCATAATAATTGTCCTGAATTAATGCTAATTGTGTGCCCATTATTGAATGTAGGAGTAATGGAAATGTATAAATTAGGATTTCTTTCTGCTATACTAATGAGAGACCAGAGGCTGCCAAAAATAAAAATGTTTTTGTAAATATTGGCCTTTTGTTTTAGAAGTTCATTGCTCTCAGACTGTGGTCTATACAGTTCCAGTGTGGATGGAGTAATTGTGTGGGCAAGATGAATCTTTTATCTCCCTGTAAAAACTCAGAAGCCCGTTTTCTAGGTGTTTGCATGGAAATGAGGAGCGCGTGCCCGTTTTTACTGTGTTCTCTTGTGTCAGGCGGCACTTCAGTACCCACTATTTCCACTCATAAACCTCGCCATCAATGAGACTAATTGTATCAGAAACAGGCAGGGAACTTCACAAGCATTCAAAACACATAAATAACACAACCAATTAACTGCTGGGACAGCCAAGCCCTCCATCTTCTTGTCAGCAGCAGTGTGCTCCCAGCTCTAATTGCACCAGAGTCAGGGAAAGGGCCCAGCCCTGCCCGGCTGTCACTTGGGAAGTGTGCTGGGGACCAAGCCAAGGAGAGGCTGCCTTTCTGCAGAGAAAGCGTAACCCAGGATGCAGAGTCTCTGTGTGACTCAGCTCCAAATCTACCCCTTCCATCAGGCACAGGCTCAGCAGCATGGGAGCAGCACCTGGCCCAGCCATTGAGTGAGGGCACATGGAGCCCTCCCCTCTGCAGAGGATGCTTTTCTTTTCTTTCTATCTGCTAACACCAAGTCCTCCCAGTGCAGCAGGATGGAGTGCCGAGTAGGTGCCAGCTGCATTGGCCTGTCATGAAAGCTCTCCAGGCGAACAAACTGACCCCAGCGTCCTCTCTTGGGGGCAGTATTGTAGTTGCAGCTCAGTTAGGTCGGGGCAGGAAGTCAGAACTCAAGACCCGAGGGAGAACCAAGGAGGCCCCAGAAGCGGCAGATTATTGATTTTGGCCTTTGGTTTTCCACCATGCCATTCTTAAGAATGAAATGCAAGAGGATGGGAGGCCATCTACTCACAGATCTGCCCCATTTTCAAGCACGGGCGGGAGTTGGGGTGGGAGATGGGCGCCGGCCCTGGGTGAGGCTGTCCTGTTTGGATAGCAGCAGAGCAGCATGGCCAGGTAGAATGCTCCCTGCTGGGCCACCTGGACACCCACCCTCATGTCTAGTACAACTGGAGAGTCTGGAGGGCAAACTTCTCAGCTCTCTGCAATGGCTGGGCCTTGGATTAGCTTGGTCTCTGACTCTGAGGTTGCACAGCTCTATCGAATACCAGCTTCATCATTTAATTACTCCTTCGTTCAATAGACCATCATGCACCAGGAGCTGGGGTGGTGGCTGGGTAGTGGTGATTTGACCGACGTGCCTCTGCTGGCACTGAGGTCACTGTCTTTGGTAGCACAGCCTCTGTCCTCTGCCCACTTCTTGGCCTGGACTTCTCTATTTCCCTCGGAGCTCATGCCAGCTCTGGCAGACTTGCCTTGTTGTACAGGGGCAGAGCGAGTGCATTGGAGGGGTGAGAGAGTGGGCTGGAAGGACAAAGAGCTCCTGTGGGATGAAGGGCAGCCAACCTAAGGGCTGGAGGTGTGGGGTCAAGGTCAGATGCAGCTCTGATTCATAGCTTCTGACTTTTCAAAGCTCTTTCATTGATATCACCTTCCATTATTCTAACAATGTTTCTGTGGGGGTAAATCGAGACATTATCTTCCTCCTTGGGGAGGAGAAAACAAAAACCAGCCGATGAGAAAAAACAAAAATCAACCAATGACAAAACAGATGTCTGGGGCAGCTTGGTGGTGTGGAGTGCCCGGTGCACGAGTGGCAGGCCCAGAGGCAGAGCCTTCAGCGCCACAGCCCTCTGCCTTCTCGCCAGAGGCACGAGGAAAGGGGGCTCCTCGGGGACACATTTGGCCCTCAGACACCTGCATCCTCTCCCCATCCTTTGCAGGAGAATCAGTTTTCTTTTTCTTTCTATAACCTTCCAGATCAGTGTTTATCCCTGGTCTTCCAAAATATATCTCTGATTTGCACGGATACAACTCTGCAGCCATCAGATCTGCAGCCTCGTGTCTCTGGAGCTCCCAGAACTTTTCTATCAGTCTCTGTTATCTCTTTGGACCTCTTATGAGTTGGGTGTTCAACTTCCTGGATTGATAATCTGTATGTCTATTTTTATTACCTTTTCTCTTCTTTATTGAGATGAAATTCACATACCATAGGTTAACTATATTCAAGTGAGCAATTCAGCAGCATTGAGCGCAATTACCATGTTGCTCAACCACCACCTCCATCTACTTCCAAAACATGTTCCTCACTCTGAAAAAAAACTCCTTACTGGTTAATCAGTTTCTCCCCAGTTTCCCCTCCCCTCAGCCCCTGGCAATACCAACCTGCTTTCTGTCTCTATGCATTTACCTATTCTGCACATTTCAGGTAAATGAACCACACAATAGGTGACCTTTTGTGTCTGGCTTTTCTAACTTAAGATAATGTCTTCGGGGTTCATCTGCACAGTACCATATATCAGCAGTTCGTCCCTTTCATCGCAAGATAATGTTCCGTCGCTTGGATAGCCTACTTGGTGCTTATTCACCCATCCATTGATGCTCATGTACATTACGTCCACATTTTGGTGATTATGAATAGTGTTGCTGTGAACATTTGTTTAAAAGTATTGATCTGAATATCCGTTTTCAATTCTTTTGGGTATAGATCTAGGAGTGGAATCACTGAGTCTCACATTAAGTCTATGTTTGACTTTTTGACTGTTTTCTAGAGTAGTTGAACCATTTTACATTCAGCCATCATTTTCACTGTACTCTCAATACTTGTTATTTTCCTTTATTTTCTGAAATTGTTCCTTTCTAGTGAGTTTAATGTGTTCTCTGTGGTTTGGTTTTGCATTTCCCTAGCAACTAGTGATTTTGAGCACCTTTTCACATGCCTGTTCGCCGTTTGTGTATCTTCTTTGGCAAAATGATGATTTGAGTCATTTGCTCATTTTCAAATTCGGTGGTTTGTCATTTTCTTGTTGAGTTGTAAAGAATTCTTTGCATATTCTGGATACCAGACCAGGCCTTTATCAGATACATAATTTGCAAATATTTTCTCCCATTCTGAAGGTTGTTTTTTCCTTTCTTGATGGTGTTCTTTAATGCACAAGTTTTTAATTTTGATGAGATGCAGTTTATTAATTTTTTCTTTTGTTGCTCATGCATTTGGTGTTATATCTAAGAATCTATTGCCAAATCCAAGATTATGTCTCTTTCTCCTTAAAATCTTTCTGACATTCTTCTGTGTTTTGGGACATTTACTTGATACTGTCTTTCAAACATCTATTTTTTTCTAATTAAAATATATCCATATGCATTTATATTCTCGATGCATCTTGTTATCTAATTATTTTAAAATTATACCCACATCTATATTATCTATATTTTTATCTATATGTACATCTATATGTCTCTATGTTTTGAGATAGGGTCTCGCTCTGTCACCCAGGCTGGAGTGTGGTGGCATCATCATGGCCCACTGCAGCCTCAACCTCCCCAGGCTCAGGTGATCCTCCCACCTCAGCCTGCCGTAATCTCTACAGTAATCCCAGCTAACCTGTAAATATAGTAGGATGTATATTATGTGTATGTATACATGACTTTCTAGAGTTTATTTGTGTTTTGTAATAGTGACTTTGGTGCCATTTTGTTCTTGCCTCATGGCTAAAGGACCTTCTCAGTCCCTTTGAGGACACTGTGTTGATCCTGCTAAGAGGGCCCACAGCCTCCTCTGTGAGGCGAGAGGCTGATGGACACTTGTGCACCTGTTGCTGCCATTTCCTTGTTTGATGCTGAGGCTTGCTCGGTGCCTGGAGCTCCTGGGCTTCCCGTTCACAACTTAGAATCAGCGAGTAGCAGGAGAGTTTCCATCGTGACCGATGTGTACACGCAGAGCTGCTGGAGACGCATTTTCTACCTGAGGTTGGATGTGCCAGGAGCCAACTACTTGGTAGTGGGATCCCTCGCTGACTGGTATGGAGGGCTTTGTTCCAGCTGCCTTGACTCTTGCCAAATATCGCATGCAGTTTCAAATTTATTTGCTGATTTGTTTCTCTTTTGTTTGATTGCTCTGTGCCTGGGAAGGGCAGATTGACAAGCCCATTTATCTCCTCCAGCGATAGTTGTTCCCTCATTTATGTATACATTTAGTCAGCCATCCAATATTTATTAAACGTCTATTTTGTATCAATCACACAGTTGATTTAAAGTAGATTTAAAGATTAAAAGACATGACTTCTGTTTTCAGAGAGCTTGCGGATAAGAAACGGGTCATTTAAATGTGATACGCTAGAATAGAAATATGGGCCACGTTTTTTGAAACATGGAAGGACAATGAAGTCATCGCTTAGTGCACACTCCAAGTGTGGGCTTCGCAAGGCAAGGGGGTGTTGGAGTGCTCTACTGAGAAGAGAAGGGCTTTGCTGGGCAAAGAGGAGAGCAGCTTCCAAGAAATAGACACTTCCAGGTGGAGACACAGTGACAGAGAATATGGTGGGTTCTAGGGCAACCCCCAAGGTTGGCCCTGCGGAAACAAGGGCTGGTCACTGAGATGGGGAAGTGAGCAGTCAGAGGAGGTGAGTCGAGTCCCACTGCTATCAATGCCTTTGCAAGTGCATGGCAGACACGATGCTCAGCATGCCACACCCACCTCCAAGGAGCCTGTCTCCCAAGAAGGAGGCAGACACACGCGCCATAATGTTAGCATCACGTGTAAGAAGAAGAGCAATGCACAGAGTAGGAGACAGAACAGGGGTCCCCCCTCCCCACCATGGGAGTGTGGACAGTGTCCAGAGAGCCTGGGCCCTGAGCTCAGATGAGGGGGGAGTCAGTGGCGGGGCATGGGTGTAGGGTATTCTAGAGAGAGCGGGTGCATAAAACTGTATTCTGAGCTTGTTCTGGGAGCGGTCTTAGGTAGTAGAGAATTCCTGAAAACTGAGATATTTGGGAGGAAGAACTGGGATTAGATTATATCCTACAGAGGGTGAGGGGCCACTGAAATACGAGAGAAGCCCCAGGTCAGATCTGCAAATACAAGTTCTGGTGGATGGACCAGAAATTCTGATTCTAGTTGACAAAGGCTGGCCCATTTGATAGGTAGCTCAATAGAAATGGGAAAAGGTAAATCTCAGACAAGAACCTTCAGTTGAGTATTTCCCCAACAAAGGGTCTCTTTGTATCAGTTGCTTCATTGTAAGTATAGGATTGATTATTTTAAAAGTTTTAATTTATTTAAAAGCAAAAACAAAGAAATAGTCATTAAAAATGCAAGTTCCTTAGAAAATGTCTGCTATGCTTTAAGTCAGAGAAGCCCCTATGGTGGGTAGTGCCAAATAGAACATAGTTATGGTGAGTCTCCCCCTCCCCGTCGTTTGAAAAATGTACCTGCCCTTGTCATAAAAATGCATTTTGTGTGTATTCGGGGCTGGCCTTGGCAGAGGAATTATTCTTTCAAGTGATGGGTGGTTTGCTTTGATGCCAACCCAAATTGGATTGTGCAGCCTGACGTTACAAATCAATGCCATAAGCACTGCACTGTTTTTATCCTTTAGCGCACAACCAGCAATCCCAAGCCTGGATTTGTTAAAGGTTATGTTTGCCTTAAACTAATTAAAGCCATTTGTATCAAATGACTGGAATAACTTTCCTTTAGAAATAAAGAAGATAACTGAAAGAAGTTAGTTAGAAAAAAAGAGTTAATTTTATCAACTGAGATGAGAACTGCACTATTAATTTTATTACTTCTAAATGTGAAAATAAATCAGTTAGGTGAGCACTGCATTTTCACATAGATTAGTCTGCAAAAAGTCAGAGCCGACTTGATATGAGCTTTTTGAAGACTAACAGGCCCGCAAATGCTAAAGCAGGGTGTATATAAATCACAGGCTACCATAACCACACGGCAGAGGGATCCATACAGTTCTTCTGACGTTATCTTTTGTTTTGGTCATGCAGAGTTCCGAGAAGCATGAGTTCACTTTTGTGCAAGGGCAGGTGCCCTAAGTATCTACTCATTTAAATCATGCAGATGGGTCAGATTAGGATGGATTTATCACAAATCCTGATTTCTATCAAAGAGGATGTTTTAAATAAATGTTTATTTCTTTTAAATTAGTTGCTTACTAATGCCCTCCCGGTGCTAGCTCCCCAGCTAGGGACAGGGGCACAAAGACCCCGGCCCTGCCCTGAGGACCTCCCAGTCTTTGGTGTAACTTTAATGTGCGTTTTTTCCTCCCTTTCACCCAGTGACAATGCAAAATGCATTTTTACGGAGGCAAGAGAACACTCTTCAGGTCTGTTTCCCATGCCCACTCACACGGCAGACTCAAGGCTTCTAAAGGGACCTGCATATTTGATATACACATGCACACACATGCTCATACACACACGTCCTGTGTGCACACACACCCATGCACACACCCATGCTATGTGCACACATATGCATGCACACACACAGATGCTGTGTACACACACACATGCACAGAGTGCTATGTACACACACATACACACGGTGTGCTATGTGCACACACACAGATACATTGCTGTTGAGATTGGTTTTGATTTCTGTTTGGTGATTTGAAGCTGCATCTTAACACGAGCAATGCTGCCTTGGGAGGGATGAATGGTTGTTCCCAATGTATTTGCAAAGGAGGTTTGCAAAGGTTTCCCTTAAAATGTTCAGAATAGAATAGTGGCTACCACGAGTTTTTGGAATGCCCCGCTGGATGAACAAGTGCATTTTGCAAAGATACGTGGACCCAGAGGAGCTGAGTGTGCTCAGGAGGCGAGGGGGGACACGGAGAGCCTCTCCCTGCTCCTGGCCCACCTGGCCCACTGCAGGTCTCCTCCGGGCCAGGGTTTTCCCTGCTTCCTTGGCCACAGGCAGACGCTGGCAGCAGATGAGGCTGGCTCAGCAGGCTCTTGTCCAAACAATTGTTAGAATCTACTTCCATGAGCCCTGCCAGGGGCACACCTGTGCATGGCACTGAATGTTTAGCGTCTCTGTCCATAGCCTGAATCTTCCATATGGTATTACTTTTCCCATTCAGTTGATGGAGAAATTGAATCTCAGAGAAGGTAGGTGATGCTCCCCCAACTTTGTGGCTAGGAAGTAGCTGAGCTGAGTGCTGTGCCCAGGCCCGCCCAATCGCAGACCTCCGCCTCTGTGCTGAGCACAGACACCCCCGGGCCCCTGGTGTTGCTGGTGGTGCTGTCTCATCCTAGCCTGATTTCCATCCTCCCAGGCCAGGTGAAGGGAGAGAGGTGGGCCTTAGCTGAGCCTGGCCCCACTCTCTCTTTCTGGCCCCAGTGGCCCTCAGGCTCCAGGCCTTGGCTCCACTGTGGGGAGGTCCCAGCTCTGGCTGGAGAACTGGAGGCTGTGATTCAACCACGTAGATCAGGGAGCAGCGCGGAGGTCTGGACTCTGGGGTTATGGTCTGTGGCGGGCAGTGGCAGGGGTTGTGCCCTTCCCTGCCTGAGCCTTAAAACTCCCTGGTCATGAGAATGGAGGCAGCAGGGGCTTCTCCTGAAGAGCAGCATCAAACCCAGACACCAGGGATGCGACTTCCCTTCAAGGTGATAGACGTCGCTAATAATAGGATGCAGTCAGCGATGGGAAGCGTGGGGATTCACACGTCTCCCTTTTATATTATAATCACTTTAATACTGAACCCTTTTTTTTTACAAAAACGTTCTTATTTGATAAAGTTTAATGATGTAATTTAGAATGTGAATATACTTAATCATGCATTTATCTTCCATATAGAACTGAAGGTTATATTAAAAGGTATTTTGAGGTTTTAAAATCTGAAGTTCTGGATGCGTAGGCTGAGATAACGAATGTGTGAAATACAATATTTTAACTTTACGGCTCCAACACTTCATTTTAACATGGTCAAAATACACCTATAGGAATAGTACCGGCCCCCCTTGAAATTCTCTTTCTTCTACACAATCGTATCAGCAGTAGATGGTAGCCTAAAATAAATGTTAATGTGAAACAATATTAGCAGTGGATAGTACCCGAAAATGAATGTGAACGTAAAAATACAATGTCCTCATTTTTATTACGTTAATGAAACAGAATGTAATATCCTATATATGTTGTATATGACATTAGCAATGCAATACATTGGTGTCCTTAGAGTTTGTAATTTGCAGAGCTCCCTGCAATGCCCAGTGGCAGCCGTCTCTACGGCTGGGCCTGAGCTGGCCTCGCTCCTGCGTTGCCTGTCTTCTGTCACTCGCCCCTGCCTGTGAGCCAGGCCACTGTGGTCTTAGCTCTGGGACTTTGCATCCCTATCTGCCATTCCCGTATCATATAGATTCTTCTTTATCCCATCCCTACCCATCCTTGGGGTCTCACTTCAATGTCACCATCCCCTAGCCTCTCTCCCCTCTGAGCTGTGTGCTGGAGTCCCTTGTCGAGCAGGTTGGTCACTACCTGCCTGCCAGACCAGGAAGACCATGTCTGTCTTTCTCCCGACCTCCCTCAGGTCTCAGGCCATGCTCAGAGCAGGGCAATGCTTGGCACATATTTTTAACTAAAGCATGAAGAAATCATTGCCAGCTCTTTGTCTGGAAGTCAACTGCTGTCACCAGCAGCAGAATGGAGAATTCCAGGACTCCAGACCTGCTGGTGGCCACTTCTCTCCACCCAGAAGTGGGTGCGGGGAATCAGGGGGTGCCTGGGCCTTAACTTCGCAGAGCCTACTACCCCTCACTATTTGCAAGGGGACAAAACCGTCAGCGACGCATGCAGCTGCTTCTGTCATGGTGAAGTGTAGTTTAAGTTTAAAGCTCCACTTCTTGGCTCTGGAGAGCAATGTTTTCATTGACCTCAAAACAAAACCACAAGGGCCAGAAGAATTAGTGGAAGCCCCTCCCCGCCAGCCCTCCATGGTGGTCGTGTCAGTAGGAATGGCTTTGTGTGAACTTTGCAGGGTCACACGGCTGGGCTGGCTCAGTCCCCCTGGCTGCTGTCCAGGTTGGAAAAGGTGGTGCCCGAGGGTGGACCGAGGGCTACTCCGGTGATCACCGAGGGAGGGCAGGGCTGTGTTCTGCAGACCAGCCTCACGTGGGATGTGGTGCCCTGCGGGGCACATTCTTCCTACTTCTATTTAGGGCATTCTTGGATTGAAAGAAAAGTTTAAAAGGCCGCTGAATGGTGCTGAGTTTTGGTGTTTCTATATGTATAACTCAAGCTGAGAAGCTCCATGGTCCTGACTTGGGCGTGGCCTGGCCTCTCGCTGTGACCTGGGAAACACACAGGTGCTGCCCACGTGGCTGCGTGGGGGCTGCCCCCGCTGCTCTGCCTCAGCCGGCTCCTGTTAGTTTGCTGGGGTGGGCAGGAAGTGCTGCTCACCTCCTGATCCGGGCAGCCTGATCTGCAGCCCGTGGAGAGAGCCGGGCAGGTGTGTTCACAGAAGCCCCGGCTTCCACCAGCATGGTGCCGACGCGGGCTCAGCCTCCCCTGCTGTCAGAGGGGCTGGAGGCTGGGCTGGTGCCATCATGAGACGGAACCCTCCGTGATGACACGTAGGAGTGTGTCCCTGAGGGACCGCACGAGCACTGATGAGCATACATGAGTAGTGAGCGGGGCTCTGCTGGAACCGCTTTGCCTTCTCATTAAACAATTCATTTGCAGCTCTGCGGAGTGTACAGTGGAGTCCCATCTGTTGATTCTGTTGTTTAACTTGATCAAAGAGAGGCTCCTCAAGTGCGGAGAGCCAGATCTTCATCCTGGAGCGCATAGAACGGGCAGATGCCTGGGGAGAAGGTCCCGAGGGATCCCGGAGACACCTGGGGCAGGGCGAGCGATGGCCCTGAACTTAGTGCTTGCTGGGAACCCACAGGCGAGACCACATGTCTCCCAGGTGCTGGGGAGACCTCAGGTCTGGGAGAGGCAATGAAGGTCTCCACACCCAGTTTTCAAATTAGGGCCTGTGCCTCTTCCCAGGCCCTGAGGACAGACAGACAGACAGATGCATGCCCTTGAGAGGTATGTCTCTTGACCTGCATGGCTAGGGGGCCTCACCTTTTTTGGTGAGACTTGAAAGCACATGCCGCCATCTGGTAGACCTTTCAAGCTGTTTGAAGACCACTCAGGGCATGAGATACTCGTTACCCCATTTGTCACAGCTCAGCTGAGAGGAACAAGAGACATTCAGATACAAACCTGCCTCGTCTTGTTTCAAAAGTACGTCCAGGGCCCCGCGCTAGTCGGCTTCCTTGTTTCCAGGGAAGTCCCCTCCAAGCACCTGGCAGGGTCACCGCTGTCACTGTCTTGTGCTAACCCTGCAATTCTAGTAAAGGCAAAGCTGGCGACCTCCCCGGGCAAAGGCTCAGGGCCTCACGTGGTGCCTCCTGCAGAGCGCTCAGCAGGGAGGCAGGGTCCTCAGGGGGCACAGGTGGGACCTTGGCTGACGCCCAGTGCGCAGGCTCCCCCCACTCCTGAGAAAGCCCCGGGAGTAAAGGGAGGGAGAGCCTGTGTGACTGTCCCGGAATGTGGAGGCTGCTTCCATCAAAATGGCAACATGCCAGGGTCTGTTTCTAGAGAAAAAGTAAAGTGGAAACAGACTTGAAACTACAGCAGGGACTCGAGAGGCTGACGGCTCCTGTGTGCAGTGCGAGCGTCATGCGAGATCGAGACGGGAAGAAGCTGGATTGTGGATCTAGAACAGTCAGAGGTCAGGGGAGACATGGGGGGCATCGATCCAGAGTCACGTGCCAGGAGCCTCCCCTTCAGCCTCCTGCCGTGACCTTAGCTGACATCTGCCCAGAGCCTGCTGCTCTGTGCCGGACTCGGAAGAGGGTGTTTGGCTGCCTCTGTGAGGGGCTGTCCAGATGGGGGTCCCAGCACACACGCTGCCCTCTGACATGTGCTGGGCGTGTTAACGCCCGTAAAAGGGGAGACAGCGTGGTAGCCAAGGGGACTTACCACTGCAGATGGGCATGCTGCACTTCGGGACACTGCAATGGCCCTGTGCTGGGAGGAGCAGTGCAGGGCACACACAGTTCTCATCAGAGAAGCAACTTGTTTTGATGTCACCTCTAGAAAAAGTCACAATACTGACATTTTGCTTGTTCACGTTTACGTACATGTATCAGCTTTTCTTCCATTCTTTTCTGGCACACGGAGGGCACAGAGCAGCAGACCTCAGTAGTGAGCTTGTGAGCAATGCCTTTATCCGCTGTGACAGGTGGCCGAAAAGCCATCATCAGGCAAAAGCTTTGCTTTGTGTCTGCGTGGGCATGTGTGTGCCTGTGTGTGTGTAGTGTACATGTGTGTGTCTTCATATATGTGTGCTTGTGTCTGCATGTGTCTTTGTGTGTGCATGTCTGTGTGTGTCCATGTGTCTCTGTGTGTACACGTGTCTGTGTGTGTGCATATCTCTGTGTGTACACGTGTCTGTGTGTGCATGTGTCTGTGAGTACGTGTGTGTGTATGTGTCTGTGTGTGTATACGTCTGTGTGTGTGCATGTGTCTGTATACACGTATCTGTGTGTGCATGTGTCTGTGTGTACACCTGTCTTGGTGTGTGTTCATGTGTCTCTGTGTGTACACGTGTCTTGGTGTGTGTTCACGTGTCTGTGTGCATGTATCTTGGTGTGTGAATGTGTCTGTGTGTGCATGTGTTTTGGTGTGTGTGCACGTGTCTCTGTGTGTTCCTATGTGCCTGTGTGTACACGTGTCTGTGTGTGCATGTGTCTCTGTGTATGTACGTGTATCTCTGTGTGTCCATGTGTCTTGGTGTATGTGTTTTGGTGTGTGTGCACGTGCCTCTTTGTATGTGCCTATCTCTGTGGGTGTACACGTGTCTGTGTGTGCATGTTTCTTGGTGTGTGTACATGTATCTCTGTGTGTACATGTGTCTTGGTGTATGTGCACATGTCATGGTGTGTGCACGTGTCTCTGTGTGTGTGCATGTGTTTTGGTGTGTGTGCACGTGCCTCTTTGTATGTGCCTATCTCTGTGGGTGTACACGTGTTTGTGTGTGCATGTGTCTCTGTGTGTGCATGTTTCTTGGTGTGTGTACACGTGTCTGTGTGTGCATGTTTCTTGGTGTGTGTACACGTATCTCTGTGTGTACATGTGTCTTGGTGTATGTGCACATGTCATGGTGTGTGTGCATGTGTTTTGGTGTGTGTGCATGTGCCTCTTTGTATGTGCCTATCTCTGTGGGTGTACACGTGTCTCTGTGTGCATGTGTCTCTGTGTGTGCATGTTTCTTGGTGTGTGTACACGTGTCTGTGTGTGCATCCGTCTCTGTGTGTGTGCACGGGTATCTGTGTGTGCAGCATTGGCCTCTCGGATGGGCACCAGAGGCCCTGGTCCAGCTCAGGCACCCAAAGTAACAGCAGTCTTGAGCCCAGCTGTGACTTTCGTGACAACCCATTTGGAGGGACACCCACTGCTGGGTGCTTGCTCTAGCACCCGGAGGGCTCGACGAAGCGACAGACTGAAGCTCTCCGTCTGTCGGCAGCTGTATTTTTCGCACTGCCTTGAAAGGTGGGCGTTGCTTAAATAACTCAGCCTGGTACTGTGAAATGGATTTAAGCTTTGAAAAAAAGTTTCAGGAAAATGTTTTAAATGATGGCTACAAGTTCACATGAATCTCTACTGCCTTCCTCCCCGCTTCCTGTCTGCACCTCTATCTCAATCCCTGTCTTCGTTTCTGTCTCTGTCCCAACCTCCACCTTCTCCTCCTCCTCCATCTAGCCATCTCTTCTTTTCTTGGTCCAAGGTTGGGGTAAAGTCCTACTTGGCTCACTATGTACCTGACACAAGAGTGCTTGGAATTTTTATTTCTTTTCTTATAGAAATTGTCTGGTTTAATATGTCTCTTTTGCTTTTAACATCCCTACTTTGGATAAAGATGAGAACTTTGAGCGTAATTTGTGAATTGCGTGGGACTCACCATCAGCTCATTCATTTACTCATTAAACACACGTGTATTGAGGTCAGAGGTGGGCAGGGAACTGGCTCTGTGGCTCCCTCCTGGGGCAGAGCTGGTGCTCGGGTGTCAGCTTCCTCTGGACCCAGTGGGACAAGCCTGCCCCTGCGGTGGGCTGCAGTGCCCAGGTGACTTGGGAATAGCTCTCTTGGAGGGACAGAGCATTGAAGATGGTTTTCCCCATAGGCCCTGATATGCCACCCTGCAGGCATGCCTCCGTGCAAGCGTGCCGCACCGGGTGAGGCAGGCACTGGGCTCTCCTCACTGCCTTTGCTGACAACCAGGTTGCTGGTGCCGTCATCTCCACTCCTTTTACCCTCGGATCCCAAAGCTCACTCTGCTGGGTGCAGCACTTCCTGCATCTCCAACCTGGAGCTGGCCTCTGTCAGAAGCCTGCCTTCATCAGAGAAGCAGAGTGCCCCAGGCCCTGGATCACGCTGGTGAAAATGTCCCACCACCTCCGCAGGCCATTCTGTCTAGCCGTGACACCAGATTCTCTTGCTGGTCAAACAGATCTGCTGGTCAGACAGACCCACAGAGAAAATCTGGACTCTGGCTGGGGATGGAGGACAGAGACCAATTGCGGGGGTGGGGTCCCATTATTGGGGTGGGTTCAGGCTGCAGGGTTGAGGTCCTATTAGAGGGGTGGGTTCAGGTAACAGGGTGAGTTCAGGTTGCAGGGGTGGAGTCCCATGATGAGGCAAATTCTCATGATCGGGCTGAGTCCTGTTAAAAGGTGGAGTTGCCTCTCGGTACTGAGACCCCTTCTTGTGGAGGAAGCCACGCTCTGGTTCTCTGGTCTGAGCATTTTACAACCCTTTGTTCTTGCAAGGGGCAATTCAGGATGTTAAAAATGGGTGGAAAATTAATTCTCTGCAGCTTGTCAACTCTGAAATCACTACCCATGAAAAATTTAGGAGGACTCAGAAATGATTTGCTGTTTATATGAAAATTATCTCCATTTATAGTGGAGTTCAACGAGGTGCTGTGGGATCTCAGGAACCAGGCTTTGCTGGGGAACGGGCGGGTGAGAGGGAGAGGCGGGCGGAGCTGCAGCGGTGGGCCCTGCCTGCAGCCCAGCCCCGACCAGGGGACCTCTGGAGCCCTGGCTGACCTGAGCCCTCTCCAACCGCACAGCAGCCCAGCCAGCTGGCGTCCTCCTGGCCTACTGAGCAGGGCCCAGGAAGACCTGCGCCAGCTTCAAGGAGGCTCCCAGGGAAACGGCCCCACTGTGGGGTTTCAGCCTGTGCGGCCGGGCGTGATGCTGGGCTTGTCCTGTGTGCTGGGGTGTGGTGCTCTGTCAGAGGTGCCACCACCCTCCTGCCCCAGTGCTGGCAGCCCCCAGTGCTGTCCTCCTGAGGCGGCAGCAGGCATCTGACTGTGGCCTCATATTCCAGGCAGGTCAGCAGGTCTGTGCAGCAGACACTAAGGGGAGCAAGGCCACCACCTGTACATCCTGTGGTGAGATGTGGGGATGGACCAGAGGACCCTGGCTCTTCCGGACCCCTAGGGAGCACCTGCCACTCCGACTCCATCCCCTCCGGTAGCAGTCAAAAGCCCTGCTGGGGGAGGGGCTTCTTGAGGGGTTTGGTCCCACACCCTCCTCCCTCCTTCCCAGTCCTGAGCTGCCAGGGGGAGCTCTGGACAGGGGGAGACTGTCCAGGTAGCTGCACAGTCTCCCCTTTCACCAGCTCCTCACCAGCGGGATTTGGCTTTCCTGACATCATCTGGAGGACACTGTGCCAGGTTCTGTGTAGAGGGGCAGGCCCTGGAGAAGGGCATTTAGGGAGGCACCTCCAGGCCGTGCCTCTCTGCTCCCAGCTGCCACCAACCTTCCCTGCACTACATGGCACCCCTTCCATTCAAGAGCCCCTCAGGCCCCTGGGCTTCTCTTGTTTTTAACCCCTGAAATCTATGTCTCTCCTGCTTCCGCCTTGCGCCGGGGCTGGCAACTCTTGTGAATCTGACACTCAGCATGAAGATGGCACGCAGGCACCTTCCCAGGGGCAGGGTTCCCTTAGATACTTTGGTTCTCATTGAAGAGGCTGACTCGGAAAATCAATGCAGTCACCACGCCTCATTCAGGACCATATACAACGGGCCCTGACTGTGTTATTTTTATTACCTTAGCCATAAATTGCATTTTCCCCTTATTTTATTATCAAATTTTTCAAAGGAGCTCAGTACCGGTTAAATTGACGGATAATTTGTGCCCTCCCTACTGGGTTACTTTATAATCTAGAAAATGCTCACCTAGTCTGCTTTTCTCAGTTGTTAAATGAGATCAGTGTGCCTACTTTATCTCAGCATCTTGGAAATTATTTCAGAAGGGTGCTTCCAGGGAGGCAGTAGGCAAGATTAAAATATCATTCAGGCCGGGTGGGGTGGCTCACACCTGTAATCCCAGCACTTTGGGAGGCTGAGGCGGGTGGATCACCTGAGGTCAGGAGTTCGAGACCAGCCTTGCCAACATGGTGAAACCCCATCTCTACTAAAAATACAAAAATTAGCTGGGCGTGGTGGCGGGCCCCTGTAATCTCAGCTACTCGGGAGGCCGAGGCAAGATAATCAATTGAACCCAGGAGGCAGAAGTTGCAGTGAGCCAAGATCTTGCCATTGTACTCCAAGCCTGGATGACAAGAGCAAAACTCCATCTCAAAAAAAAAAAAAAAAAATCATTGATTATTCTCTCTACAACAATTCTGCAAGTGGATGAGACCTTATATGCTCTTGGATGTGAAACCATTCATATATGGAAATGGGGTCACTAGATTGTGACAAACACAGAAACAGGGCTCCAGTGACTCCCGGTTGGCTCCTGCCACCCTACCACCATCATGGCTGGCACAGGCCTGGGTGTTCTCCCCAAGAATGGAGGCGACTGGACAGGCGTGCATGTCCAACCAAGCAAGGCTCGCGTGAGCTGGTCTCAGGGTCTGCTCCCAGCTGCGAGCGGAGCCAGCGCGCGTGGAGCACGCGTGATATGGATGCTCCTCATGAACCCTTTTCATAATGGCTGTAGTCTACAACAATCGAGAACTCCAAGCCCTCCCAGTTTCCTCCAGCCTCAGGGGTGGTGGAGACCATCTGTGAGTCAACGCCCTCCTCAGCCTAAGAGATTTCCTGCCTAGTTCCAAGATCATCAGAGGAGGTTGGTTTCAAATGCATGAGCGGTTGCTCTCGGCTTTCAGAATAGAAAGGTGAAATTCTCTCTCCCTGTTCCTTGGGGCCCATTCACTTCCCTGGGTTCCCCTCCTCCCCCGTGGGGTCCATTCACTTCCCCGGGTTCCCCTCCTCCCCCGTGGGGTCCATTCACTTCCCCGGGTTCCCCTCCTCCCCGGGCAGGAAACCAGAAGACGCATGTTCTTACAGCCTCATGGTGAGGGCTGCAACTCCAGTTCCTTTGGGATTTACTCCACACGCTTCCAGATATCATGTTGACACTTGGAATCCCAGAACTGGAAGAGAATCAAGACAGTTTCTTTTATGGATGAGGAAACTGAGGTCAAAGGAGGTCAATATTTATGGAATTAAAATTGGACTGACTTTCAGAATTACTTTTTGCATTGGGAGATACTGATATATTTCTAATAACTTTTTGATGAGTTAGACACTTTTGACTTCCTAGAGTAGTTCTTTATTTTAATAATTTTTAAAGAAACAAACTCTTTTGAATGTTAAAATAAATTCCTGGGCCAGGCGCAGTGGCTCACGCCTGTAATCCCAGCACTTTGGGAGGCCGAGGCAGGAGGATCACCTGAGGTCAGGAGTTCGACACCAGCCTGGCCAACATGGTGAAACCCTATCTCTACTAAAAATACAAAAATGAGCCAGGTGTGGTGGCGCATGCCTGTAATCTCAGCTGCTCGGGAGGCTGAGACGGGAGAATCACTTGAAGGACAGGAGAATCACTTGAAGGTTGCAGTGAACCCACTCCAGCCTGGATGACAGAGTGAGACCCTGTCTCTAAATAAATAAATAAATAAATTCCTGATACTTCATTCAATGTAAGAAGCATTTGCTGGTCTTAGGGTGTGTGATGACTACATGGCATATGCCATCAACTGGACCCGCATCCTGGTGCTGCCTTTGAGCTGAGGCCTGACCCCAGGTGATGATGATACCTTTGAGTCTTCACCTTCCAGGCACTCTAGGAGAACAGGTGCCTCGGGCCTGGATTAATGACTGAGAAGCGCAATACGGAAAAGCTTCCAGGACCCTGACCCCGGGTCAGGCACAAGCAAACCCACCTCCCCCTTCTTTCAGGGAAACAGGGCGAATTGATTGCTGAGTTCCAAGAGTTTCTGAAGCTAAGACTTGCCCAGGAGATAGGACAGTTTTTCTTTCCACACTTTTCTTTCTTTTTTTCTTTCTTCTTTTTTTTGGTGTGTGTTTTTGTTTTTGTTTTTGTTTTTGTTTGAGATGGAGCCTCGCTCTGTCACCCAGGCTGGAATGCAGTGGCGTGATCTCAGCTCACTGCAACCTCCGCCTCCCAGGTTCAAGCAATTCTCTGCTTCAGCTTCCTGAGTAGCTGGGATTACAGGCATACACCACCATGCCCAGCTAATTTTTGTATTTTTAGTAGAGACAGGGTTTCACCATCTTGGCCAGGCTGGTCTTGAACTCTTGACCTCGTGATCCGCCCACCTCGGCCTCCCAAAGTGCTGGGATTATAGGTGTGAGCCACGGCGCCCGGCCGCCACACTTTTCTTAAAGAGATATTTTGTTGCCCGGTTTGACTTCAAGAGGCTGGTGTTGAATACTTTTCCCCTGGATGCCCTCCCCAGTCCCTGCGGCCCTTTGAGAGAGGAGGAGAGGAGTGTCTAATTGCTCACAGTACTTCCTCTCACTTCTTCCCCACCAGCAAGGACGGTCGTGCTGGACTCTATAAGAGCAGTGAATAAATGCTTGTCAGCTGACTGGCGTGGGAGTTTTTAGCACAGGCTTTTTTGCTTCCTTCCAGACTTCATGCGACCTTCTCAGTTCTCTTTGTCTCTCATCACTGCCAGGAGGAAAATTACATTGAAGGGCACTGGGGAGCTGGGGAGCACTTCACATCTCAGAGCTGGGTTTGATCAATAGAGGCATTGCCCAGAAAGGTATTACCGCCGTGCCTCTCTCGGAGGGCGGAAATACATTGCATGCTCCCCGAAGTACTTTAGCGCCCATGGTCTTACACTTGTTGATTTTCCTCCATAAACTAGTTCTGTCTGCCACTCAAGGGAGGAGTTTATGACAACATCATCAGAGTTTGTGGAGAGGCCCAAAGCAAAGAGTACTTAAGCATGTCAGAGTGGACCCTGGAAGTGGCCCCCGGAGAGCCGTAGAATAAGCACTTCCACGGTGGAATGGCTGACACGCAGACCCAATTATGTGTGTGAGCCCCTGGTGCCACCCACACACCTCCAAGGTACCTGCAAAATCAATGACTGTGAAAGAGTGCCGGTTATTAAGAAAACTATTTAGGGCAAGGCACAAACATTTGTCGCAGGTATTCCGGGGTGTGTGTCTGTGACTGGGGGCTTTAAAATGATCATCAACAATATCTCCTCTAAGAAGCACTCATGAGGAACAATGTAAATCCGTTTATCTCAAAAGCCAGACTTTAAGATCTGATTTTTTACAAGATCAACTGTTTTCAATATGAAAAATATCTTAATATGTTTTCTCAAGGTAATGGGGAGTAAACTAGGCAATGCTGTCATTTGAGAACAGTATTATGGGCTTACGGCCTCCTCGCAGGCTGCCAGTGTTCCTAACACAGTTTTTCACAATGTGTATTTATTTACATGCTCGTAGAAGATACAGACGTGCATTTCTGCTACTGAGATTGCTGTGTGTTTTATAGGCACCTGCCATATTGAAAACATAGAGTGTGTGGCATATAATTAAAACACAACCTCAGCTTTCCGTGCACGACCCCTCCAGACTTCCTCCCTGGGACTTGCTCTTTGCTGTACTTTAGATAAAATTTAAACCAATTCACTTTTGGCTCATTCTTAGGTAGTAAAAAGCCATCCACTCATATCCAGTCAAAAAATAGGTCTCAGAGCAGTCGTGAAATATGTGGAGTGCTGGGTCATTGAATCACCAAGTTTAACTTCCCTCGTCCCATCGCTTGGGCCTGCTTTGCGTTGGGTCTGTGAGGGCAGGGGAACGGTGGGCTCAGCTTCCTTTGTGTGCCCCCTTGTGCCTCAGTCAGGGGGCTGCTTCTGGTGTCTGCAGGATGGAGGCAGAGGGACAGAGCCCTGGGTTTTTTAATGAGGGTTCCCCAGGGCATGGCTGTGTCCCCATCTGCTTGCCCCTTTCTGTGGCATAGAGGTAGTGACCAGCTAATCCCATCTTGTAGATGAGGAGGCAGAGATGGGGTGGGGACAGGACGACCCTGCAGGATCAGGACAGAGACCCGGTGTCCAGGCTGCTTGATGACCGCTGCACCTTGACAAGAATGGGCTCTGGGAGTAATTCTTAACAGAGTTCCGGAAATCTTAATGCAATCCAGGGACTCTGCTTCTCTTCCTGAGTGACAGTAAAATATTTCCACTGTCCTGAAATCTTTTCTTGACTCAGGCTTGGTTACCTGGTTCAGTGAAAAGCCGATAGTCCCTTCCCCAAGGCCAACCTTGAAATAGACCTGTGCACGCAGCTGTCAGGCCTGAGGGCGTCTCTTGGGGTGGTCATGGCTGTATGGGAGCCCTGTGGTCGGCCTTGGCAGGCCTCTTGTGAAGGAAGAGTGTGCAGTGTAGACTCTGTGTGGACACCCTCGTAAAGTGGCAATGACGGAGGAGGCCGGCGCCCTCAGGGATCCCTGCTCAGCCTATTTGCCAGCAGCCGGCACTAAGGGCAGACCAGCCACCCAGCCCTGGGGAGAGCCTGCCCGGCAGGGCGCTGTGCAGAGTGAAAGAGGTGGACAGGCTGGGCATTCCTCCACCCGCTCACTGGATGGAGGGGAGTCAGGGGTGGAATGCTGTGTTTCTGCCTCATCCGAACTCAGCACCTCCGGGGATGGGGCCTCCGGCTCACGTCTGGGCTGCCTTAGTGTTGCTGCTCCGCACCTGAAATAAATTTGCTGATTGACCCAACTCAAATGAGGGGCTTCCTCCCAAGGGTGCTGGGGAGGGATGCCTTGCAGACCACCTGGCTCTGCAGCCGCAAGCCAGACAGGTGCCAATGCCCACGGAGGACATGACAGCTGGCCCCATGCAGAGCTATGCAAATCTCCTTCCCGGAGCTGCAGAGGGGCCCCAGTTTGCAGTGGGGCAAGGAAGAAAGGCTAGAAGGTGGGGTGTGCCAGTGGGACCCCCAGTCTTGCCTTTCACCCCCTTCAAGCACAGACGTGTAGCTTGAAGGGGCCAGAGGACATCCTTTCTATGTGTGTGTGTGCATATACGCACCTGTGTGTTGTGTGCACACACGTATAAAGTGATTTACGTTAATTCCCCATCCTTCCGTCTACCAGGAAGGAGCATACCCAGGCCTCCCTGACTGCACTGCCCAGTCTTGAGCTCTGGATCAAGCTAAACAAATCTCTGCTTCCCAAGGGTCCTGCCCTGCACACCCATGAGACCTGGCCAGGGCTTTCCTTTGAGAACTTATCTATTGTTTTAGGTTGGTGTGTGGTTAGATGGTTTGGGTCCTTCTTTTTATTCTTGGTATTAAAACAGAGCTCAACCTTGCTTTACTGTTTTTCCCTGAATCTACTTGCAAAATTTTGAGAGTTAGATAGACATTTTTGGAGAAGACAAAAAAGTAACAATCTTTGGGAATTTGCAGAATCCCTTCCTCCCCTGAAACAAGCACCTTTCCAAGTGCTGTGGGTCCGGCCCCCTGGAAAAACCAGGGCCCACCATGGCGGCCAGTAAGCCACGGTCACTGGCGGTGTGGCCTGCACATAGCCCCTCCTGTCCCCTTGGCAGGGCCAGGACCAAGGGCAGCCCATCATGGCCACCAGCTGGCAGAACCTCAGCAAGGCTGGTTCTGTTGTCCTACACTGGCCCTTTGTCCTTCTTGGGAAGGTCCTGTGTCCTATTCATCTGTGACCCACGTGGCCCAGTTCACAAGGCTTGGCCAACAGTGTTTTAGATGGCACCCAGCCTGGGCATAGATGGAGTCCAGGGCGCAGGTTGGCATCACTGGAGGAGGCTCCTGACTGCCCAGCGCACTGGGGGCCCCACAATGCGAGAGAGCAGCCCCAAGACATCCACACACCTGGGCACAGCACTCCCACCCTGGGCCCACTGGGCTGCGAGTGTGAGGGTTGTCACAGCCTCACCCTGGTGATTGTCACCAGATGGACAACAGCCAAGTCTCGGGCCTCCCACTTTTGGGCTTGTTTCCTGCTTGTCCAAGAGGCTGAGTCCAGGGTGGAGTGAACACTGCCTGCACACACAGGCACAGGAGAGGGATGCCGGGAGGTCGGGCTGGGGAGTCCAGAGGTGCATGTGTGTGCCCAGGCCTCTGGCCCCTGCAAACCCATTGTCAGGTGCATCCTCGCTTTGGGATGAGAACTTTGTCACTAGACTTCAACCCAAGGACAGGGCAATGCCACCTTTCTGTGGAATGCACAGTGTCTACTGACCAATTCTAATCTTCAGGGCCACTTTTTGTCTTTGATTGCTTAGGTTTTCCAAACTACTGTGACAAATGAAATGTTAATGACAACTGCTTTGGCCCAACAGATACAAGGACAGAGCGGGGCCGAGTGGCCCGCCCTCCTGCCCTGATGCTGCGGGCCCAGAAGAGCCGGGATGGAGACAAAGAAGACAAGGTCAGTTTCGGGGCTCGTGTGTGTGTTAAAGACACAAAACCCTGGGTGTGGAGGACCAGGGCCAGGACACCCTCACGCTTGTTTGCTGTATGGTGTTTGTGAAATGACTGCCATCTGCTGTGTGAAGCAGCAGGACCTGGCACTGAAGGGGCCAGGCGGGGCCTAGAGAGCAGGGACACAGCCCTTGCTGGTCCTGCCAGATCTGGGTCTGAAGCTCCCTGGGGGACTCTGTTGGGAAGGGATTTGGCTTCCATTTGAACTTTGTCCATTTTCAGAAGGAAGAGAAGACACACAAGGTAGTCAAACTCAGACACCACTTAGGCAAGAGGAAAGAAGAGCCAACACACTCATTCTAATTTCAGGTCTTTCTCTTCACTGGCTTGCCAAATGGCGTTTTAAAGACTGGCCAAGACAGTGCATTTGAAGCATTTCGTGTTTTCAATAGTACAGTCCTTCCTCTCAATAACCCAAGGGAGTCCTTTTTATTACTGCATTTCAAAATCACAAATCACGCTTAATTTGCTCTCATCTGTCAAATACACTGAAGACGCTGGTGGGACTCAGTTATTTGTCAACATTATCTCTTACTTCACCTTTCCAAGGTATTTCTCTGCCTAAAGCCACACTGCGAGCTTTCTGTTCTCCCTGGTTTTGCTTCCGTCTCTCCTCTGAGTTCTGTCAGGGTGTAGTCACCCTGTTGTTCACGTCTCCTCCTGAATCATCAGTGCAGGTGTTCAGTGGTGAAAATTGATCACAAATAGAGCAAATTAAACTTTTGCCCCCTGAGATATGATTTTCCCAATTTTTCCAGATTAACATCCAGGCCAGAATGACATATTAATTACACAGATAGCCTTTCTAGTGCCTTAAATAACTCCTTTCTTCATCACATGGTTCTTCGAGTCTAATTCACTTTTATGACTTCAACGTGGAACAAGAGTTTTATACCATGATTAGCCGTTTTTATCACCAACAGGAAATCATAACCAGCATGCATCTCGTGGAGAAGACCTCGGTAAGTAGCAGTAGAGAACCCCAGCCTTGCCAAATTTAAACATTAGTCCCCATCACAAATTACATCCTACTCTATTTGCTTGAATAATTGGCTGAGGTAATCTACCACTCAGAGACTTCTTGTTGAGTTTCTATTGTTCAATGAACTTCATAATGAAAGTCCCCCCTAGTTTTTCTAACTGGATTGCTAATATAAGCTCTAGTCTTAATATATATTTTTTGAGACAAGTGTTTCTGAATGCTCTGTTATGCCAATTATTTATCCTGACCTTATTTTCTCACAAGAAACAAAGATATTTCCTATTACTAGAAAACCTGTAAAAATTTTATTCGTAAACTTACAAACTTAAAGATAATGTTATAATATACATTACAAATCATGTGTAAAATACCAAAATGTCAGGATGAACATACGTAAAGAGACCACCCCTTCCTTCCTGGTAGTCCCTTGCATGATGTTCGAGAAGATGCCCTTCCCAGGTTCACCCTCACGCTGGAGACTGTGCGAGATGCTTCTGGCTGAGTGCTTTAATCTCTGTGTTTCTTGTCCTTCCCTCTGGGCTGGCATCTCTCAACATGGGCCACTCACTCTGGATAACTCGGTCACCAAGACGCAGCTTCACTCTGTTTTCCATGGTTCTGCCAAATAGCCACATTAGACAGACTTACTTGGTTGAGCTTTATCTCACCATTGTCTCTTACAGACACGCGAGATTCTTTTAATTTTTGTTCTAATCTCATGCTTCTGTGCCTCTGTAATTTAGCACTTTCCTTCCTAAGCACCCTGTTTGAAAGCAGCTGACACAGTGCAGATGGGCCTGGCCCAGCGCAGCCCTCAGGGACCCACATGTGCTGGGTTTTGGTACAGCATCCCCAGCCTCCTGTGCATGGCTGATGTTGCGCTGGCGGCTCCCCACGAGGACTTTGGAGCATTGACTTCATTTAGTTTTGGTGGTCGAATGGTTAATCATCTTCCCACCTCCACTGCCTCCTAAAGTACCAACATCAACGATGGTAGAAACAGAGATTCTAAAATTTTAGGATGACTTTCAATTTTTTTAATGAATTGAGTATTCTAATTGCACCTGCCATTCTCAGCTCAGAACCAGATTGTTGCTTTGAATAAGGCACTGGTATTTTTAATCCCACCTAATTTTCCCAGAGAGAGAACATAATCTCTCAGAGCATTCTAAGTTTGAGATTAAAACCATGGAAACAGCTGGAAGAGGAAGAAAGAAAAAAGTTTCTCATGCTACTTCATGTGAATTTATTTCTTCCTTGTAGCCTTCCAAAATTCTGGTGATACTTCCTGATTTTTTTATTTCTCTTTGTGATATATGGTTCTACTGGTAAGAATTTGGTTATTTCGGCTCAGTACTGACTGAACAAAGACCTGCGGTCTGTCATACATCCATATGGCTAAAGGAGTTCATCTGAATTGTGGGCCTCTGTTTATGTTAGAATTGTGATGGGCCATATTTTTAAATCTCAAGCAACTTTTATTTTTCTCCAAATTTTATTCTTAATGAATACTGATCAAGTGTCCTAACCATAGCTTATTTTTCTCTCTTTTTAATTTTAGGGCATAGATCTTCATTTTATTCTAGGTGATAAATTTTCTTTTTTTTTTCTTTTTTCTTTTTTTTTTTTTTTTTTAAGACAGAGTCTCACTCTGTCCCCCAGGCCGGAGTGCAGTGGTGTAATCTCGGCTCACTGCAACCTCCGCCTCCAAGTTTCAAGTGATTCTCCTGCCTCAGCCTCCCGAGTAGCTGGGACTACAGGTGCGCACACCACACACAGCTAATTTTTGTATTTTTAGTAGAGATGGGGTTTCACCATGTTGGCCAGGATGGTCTAGATCTCTTGACTTCATGATCTGCCCGCTTCGGCCTCCCAAAGTGCTGGGATTACAGGCGTGAGCCACCATGCCTGGCATTTCAAACATTCTTATTTCTTAATGGAAATGTGGACCAACTGAGTGTCAGAATCAGAATCATCCCCAGGATGCGGAACAGCCCCATGAGCCCTGCCCCCAGCTGGATGTTTGGGAAGGGCGGGAGCCTGGGGAGGAACTAGACTCTATGTGGCAGAGTCGTTATTGAGGAATATGGGTTTGTTGCCTCCTCCCGCCTTAACAGGATGTGGCAGCCCCAGCTTTGAGGCTCTCTGCCACTAAATGCTGTTGTTTTCATGGCACAGTGACTCCCACCGCTGGGTCAGCTCATTTCTGGGGATGAAGCCAGTGAGATTTTCTGTCCCAAAGACCTCAGACCTCAGATGCCCTCTCTTGGCTGCCTCTGACCGTCTCTGCTTCTGGAAAAGCAGGCAGCTTAGACAACTGGGGACAATGAGGGGTGCCTTTGTCCAGGTGATTCTACCCAGTCTGCTCTGCACTGACTCCCTGTTCCTGGCAGAACCTCCCAGCCAGGCGCTGCCGTGCTGAGGTCATTATCTCGTGGCTACTATAAGCTGCCTGCCTGCAGGAGATTTGTTTATTCCTCCCTTCCTTGCTTGTAATTGAAGATGAGTGTTTAAAATTAAAAGCCACTCCCCTGTCTCTTTCTGTTGAAAGGAGCCTCCACCGATGCTGGGGGGAGGAGAGGACAGCACAGCCAGAGGCAACAGGCCAGTGGCCTCCACCCCGGTGCCCGGATCCCCCTGGTAAGACACCCCAAAGCCTGAGAGCCACTAGCAATGGCGTTGTCTGGTCCTGGCATTTGCCTGATGTCACCAAAGAGACACTGCATGTCTCTCAGGCATCCTGTGTCTTAAAAACAATGAACTTGCAACTCCCGGCAGGTGTAATTCTGCACTGTGGTCACATTCTGCAGAAAGAAAAAAACAGCATTTAAGCGATGAGCTATCCTGCTCTGATCTGTCTGTGAATATATATTAAAATGATAATGCTGTTGCATGTCTATCAGCGAAAGGCAGTGGCTGAAGAAAGTGTAGCATGCCTTATGCTTCAAAAGATCTGTTTTCCCTCCACTCCAAGAAGAATCGTAACTGAATGGCAGTTAATTAAAGACGTGCCTGTTCTCTCTGTCGCCCTGCGTGGCTGCTTGCTCTCGGAATATGCCACACTCCAGACACCCTCCACGAGGGAGCTACAGTTTTTGGTTTTTAAAAATGCCCTTTTATAATGGAGTCATTTGGAAGCAGAATAAAAGGTTATTACAGTAAAAATTAAGTTTCAAGCCTGAAGATGAGAGTGCAGTACACAGCTGGGAGGCACAGCTAATTTAAAGAACAGAAATAACAACCACTTGTGTCAGCTCAATGTGCCAGCCAGGTACAGAAGGCAGCCGGCTAAGGAGCGCAGGGCCCCCACCAGCCTTGCATAGCGAGTGAGCACATCCCTGCTGACTGGGCCTGCTGTGCCATGCCCTGGTCCTCTGATGATTCGGGTGAACTTGGCTCCAATCTGGACAGACTGGCACCCCTGGCTTCTATGCCATGGTCAGTGTCGGTGGCAGGCTCCTGGTGCCTCCAGCCTTCCATTTGTAGCTAAAGCTCCTCTGTACCCTGGGAGTGCCTCGGGGTGAGACCTCTTTGTACTAATATTATGCTGTTTTCCAGCCACCCATTCTCCAACCCTTACAATTTAGCTCGATTCTGATGCTAACTACTGGGAGTTAGAGCCAAACCCCACAGGCTGGGGTCAGTCCCTCTGGCTGCCCTGCTTTAGACATTGGCTGCAAATGGGGCCCCCCAGCTGCCTGCACATCTGCCCAGCTGACCACAGATCTGGGGTTCCCATGACCTCCTCTCCACTTCAGTGGTGATTTGCTAGGACCACTCACAGAACTCAGGAAGCGCTTTACTTAGGATTACAGTTGTTTTATCAAGGATACAACTCAGGAACAGCCAGTGGAAGCAATGCTCAGGGTAAGGTGTGGACCTGACTGAGCTTCTGGGCCTCGCCGGCGCCACCCTCCCAGTGCTGCAGCGTTCACCAGCCTGGAAGCACTCTGAACCTCAATGTTTTAGAATTTTAATGGAGATGTAACTACATAGGCATGACTGATGAAATCATCGGCCAAGTGAAAGGACTCAGAGGGTTGGGCAGCGCTGAAAGTGACGGCCCTCCAGTCACGTGGTTGGTGTTTCTGGAGACCAGCACCCTCCCTGAAGCTACTCAGGGGTCCTGAAGTCACATGGTTGGTGTCTCTGGAGACCAGCACCCTCCCTGAAGCTACTCAGGGGTCCTGAAGTCATTTCATTTGCGCAGCCTCAGGCACAGGTGTTATTCCTACCAGGTCAGGGACTTGGTAGGAATAACAAGATGCTTTCTTCGCTCAGGAAATTCTAAGAGTTTGGGAAGCTCTGTGTCAGGAATCTGGAACAAAGACCGTATACATCCCTCTGCTGCTTAACGACAGGGGTATATTCTGGAAAGGCATCCTTAGGCAGTGGCATCCGACATCCTTTTATGCACATCACAGGGTGTGCTCACACAGGCCTGGTGGCACAGCCTCCTGCACGCCTGGGCTGCATGGTGTAGACCGTGGCTCCCAGGCTGCAGACCACACAGCGCTGACTGCACAGAGGCAGTTGTGACACAGTGGTAGGGATGTGTGTGTCTAAACACATCCAAATGTGAGAAGGTAGAGTAAAATTTGATATTATAATCTGACGGGACCACCATGGTATGTGTGGTCAGTCCATGGTTGAGAGAAATGTCACTCTGCGGCACATGACTGCATATACATTTTACGATGCCACGAACTGGTTGAGAGCTTCTACAGGCAAACTCTCCAGTGTCTCCAAGGCAGGCACACTGCCGCATATCACGCTGCAGGATGGGGAAACGTTCCCCAAGACCCTGTGGAATCCTCACACAGCTTCCGCCAAGCTCCCCTGGGGCGTTGCAGGGATCCAGAAGACTTGACCTTGAGCCCTAGAACCTTCTCACTGCGAAAGCTGCGGCTTTCTTCCCCAGCGATATTGTGTTACCATGAGCAAGGCTTCGTGCGATCCAGCAAATGAAAACGGTTCCCTGGCTGCTGCACTCCCCTCCCTCGGCGTGGGTCTTTGCCGATGAATCCTGGGTAGGTGAGGGAGTCTGTTGGTTGCTGCATGATCTCACTGGGAAGTGGATTATCCCTGCGGCAGGAGATGTTCGGGCACAGAAGCAGAACAAGGCAGCTTGGCCCACGTGGGAGGTAGCTTGGTCCACGTGGCAGACCCCATGCAGGACGAGGACTTAGCAGGTCCTTGTGGGTTTCTGAGAGTGGAGCAGCTAAGCCAGGGGTACTTGCAGATGAGGGAATGAATGGCGGGTGCTGGGCATGGGAGGTAAGGGTGGCTGTGGTCAGAGGGAGTGGCGGGGTGTAGGGCCAGGGGCTTCAGGTGGTCAGAGGGAGTGGCGGGGTGTAGGGCCACGGGCTTCAGGTGAGGTGGGTGAGGGCTTGGGCCTGGGAGCACAGAGGAAGGATGGCCAAGGTCCCACAGGACCTACAGGCCTTCCTGGTCTGCACAGTGACTGGTGCCACTAAGGCAGAGGTGCAGTGTGGATTCCTGGCCATGTCGTCTTTAACTGGCAAGCATGAGGATGAGAGGGAATTCTCCAGGGAGCCCCAGGTGGGCGCCTCCTGTGTTACGAGACGAACTAATACCTTTGAGTGGACGGAGAAGCTTCACGCTGGGAGCACACTGCTTGAATCAGATCTAGGCTTGCCTGCTGGGACCTGTGCAGTACCATAGAGGGAGGGAGAGGTGGCTGCTGCTTCACTGCGTTTCTCGTTTCATGTTTAGTCTAATCTCAGCCCCACCTGAATGCAGAGAGAGCCTAGGCTTGTTTGAGCAGCTGTTGGAATCAGGATGTGAGTATTGGCAGACCGCCACCAGACCTCAGAGGGTGGGTTTGCACTCACCCTTAAAGGTGGAGGCACCTTCGACATTGCAGAGTGAAGGGGCCTCTCCAGATCTCAGCTTCTCCTGTGGCCGCGTGCTCTGTCAAGGAGGGCTTTGTGTGCCTCGTGATGTGACATCCTCACTAATGGCAGCATGATGCACGCAGGCCTGGGAACAGCACACTCTCCTCACACTGCAGCCTGCGTCTAGGAAAAGCTCTCTGCCATGGGGTGGGGTTGGGGGGTGGCTCTATGCCTATTTCACCTGATTAGCTGAATCATCTGCTTCCGTCTCGCTTATAGAGATTTGCTAGTAGTCAGCCTTTCCCCAGAGTCAGCCAGGGTCTCATGGAGACACACTGGGAGCTCCAGGGACAGGAGTGGGGCCCTTTCATCTGTCTCATTTTCCCTCACCCATTTGAAACAACCCATGCTTAGAAAGGGTGTCTTTGCCCAGACAGAGAATGTCTCAGAGACTGTGGCCGCCGTGAACTTTCTAAGAAGACCACAGGGGGTCTCAGCAGGAGCTTGGCAGAGCCCCCAGGACTAAGGAGGCATTGGGGAGGGGCCTCAACAACAGCTTCTGCCAGAGGCACAACAGCCCATCCCTGCCCAAATAGACGACCTCCTTGGTCTTCATCTCAGCCCTGGAATACTTAGACGGAGAGGTCAAGCCCACGGTGCTCGGTAAGTCCCTGGCACATGGCTGTCAGGGCACAGTGTGGTTTGCCTGTTTGCCCTGAGCTGACAGAAAGGAGAAAGGAGCCCTCTCCCCAGGGCACACTGCCCCTTTTCCTGCCGAGGCCCCCAACCGTGAGTGAGAACCCACCTGCCCCGCAGAAGGTCATCGTGGCCAAGTGTAAAGCAGGGAAAGGTCTTGTGCTCGGGGTTCGGGGCTGCAGTGGAAGTGGGTGGGAAGGATGGTGGGCAGGGGTCGAGTCTTAGAAGGCCAGTTCAGGGTCACCTGGGGGACCCCACGGGCACTGCCAGCTGAACTGGTGGCGGGGTGAGCAGGCATGGCCGCAGAGGAAGCTCTGATGGCTCCGCTGACTCTCCTCCCTCTCGCGGCCAAGCCCAGAGCTCGCTCCCCATGTCTCAGGGAATCTCCTTCTGTCTGTCCCATGACGGTGCATCCTCTCTGCGATGGTCCGCTTGGCACTCAGAGACCAGGCCGCCCTCAGCCAGGCAGGGGTGGTGGTCCGGGCTGTCAGCTCAGGTCAGATCCCAGAATTAGATCCTCTGTCTACGTAAGTGTAGACCTCAACCTTCTCCTAAGGAAACTTGGCTTCTAGAAGTTTCCACATAGGTGGGCCGGCCAAGCAGGCTGGGCTAAAGCAGGCTCAGAAAGAATTCCTCTTGCATATCACAGAGCCATCTGGGGGCAGCTGGAATTGGGATGATAAGGATGTAAGGAGTTCTGGAATCCACTCAACACATGTGCAACAAAAATCAAATTAGTCTTACTCGTGGTTAACTTTTTCATGTAGTTATTAAATACATTTTGAATAAAACTACGGCTAAGAAATGGAGTGTTTGAGAAGACAGCAGACTGAATAAGACCCTCCATCTCCTGTGTACAGTTATAGGGAAGAAACTCACTTTCAAAGGTGAAACTCCTCCAGCATTTTTCTGATATGCACCTGCTCTTGGGAAAGCGTCTTAGAAAGCAATGAGGTGGTAGAAACTGGTTTAAAAGTGATGAGAGCAGAAGGGTGATGTTTCTCCCATTCCCTGCAGGAGCTGGTACTCCCTGCTAGAGCTCAGTGAATCCATACGGAATGCCGGCAGCGGACGGGCGGCATCCTTAGTTATTCTTAACTATGTGGGAATTTCTCTGCTGTTGTCGCTGCCGAGAGGTGGCCAGACGCAGGGCCTCCTTGAAAGCATTAATGTAATACTAAGCACTTGAGAAATGCAAAATTCACACCCTGACAGGGAATAAAAATGAAGAAAGAGCCATCTACTCACTCTTGTCTAATGGCCTGGGCCAGTGTAACCATTGAAAATGGTGTCGAAGTTCAGAGTAACTTCTGTAGCCAACTCTGCTATCTGAAAACCTATTCCACATTCTACTGCTGAGTACTTTCAAGGATACCGTGTCCCAGGCATGGTATTTTAAGGAGGTTAAAGGAAATGAAGACAGTGCGTTTACTTTCATGCCAGGTGAAATCCGGTCCTCCTCTAGAGAAGACAGAGCTTGTGTCATGGCAACAGTTGCAATGAAACTTGAATTACTTTTTTTTTAAATCTTCTTTAAACTTTTAGGCATGTTAACAGTAGAATAGCATTATTATTATTTTAGTCTCCTTCGGAATTTCTGTATCGTCTTTTTTTTTTGTAATTTGGCTTTAGACACAAATAGTAATTTTGAGGGAATTAAACCACTCCCACTTATTCACAATAAAAATGTTTTTGGAGAGTTGATGACATGGGAAAATGTCAACAGTAATTGCTCGACAAAGTGTAAAATCCATAGCTTTTGGATTAAATGACAATAAATGTCAAAAACAATGATTAATCAACATCTTAAAATCATTTAAAATACTATAGATTTACGAGTAGTTAGCTATTTTTGTGAAATTAAAAAATATATATTAAATATTGGTTTTAACATATTATTTTCTAAACAAATTCAGATTGCTACAGTGCAGGTTTTATGTCATGGTCTGTTAATAGCACAGATCAAAGTTCTTTTTAAGATGGCTTGGAAAGATACGAAAGTGCACTTTGGGAAGTTGACAATGTCAGAAGGCGCCATTTTCTGGCAAAGCTGATTCACGTTTTATCCTAAGAGGCAAAAGTCGTTAAAAGGTAAGAAGTGTGGGGCGGATTATCAAAATGAGTACGGTGCATTCCTCTGATGTTAGTAGGTGTGCCTAGCCCAGAAGCCAGGGGCTGACTGCATTTCTGCCTAAAGAGGTAAGAGCTATGAGCAGACACCAGCCTAGAGATGTGCTTTGTGAGCTGTTGTAGGTGTTGTAGCAGGATGAGCTGCAGACAACACACCGAGTTAAAAAAGGAAGGGGTTTATTCGGCCAGGGGCATCGGCAAGACGCCTGTCTCAAGAGCTGAGCTCCCCAAGTGAGCAATTCCTGTCCCTTTTAAGGGCTCACAACTCTAAGGGGGTGCACGTGAGAGGGTCGTGATCGATTGAGCAAGCAGGGGGTATGTGACTGGGGGGCTGCATGCACCAGTAATTGGATCAGAACAAAACAGGACAGGGATTTTCACAGTGCTTTTCTATACAATGTCTGGAATCTATAGATAACATAACCGATTAGGTCAGGGGTCGATCTTCAACTGCCAGGTCCAGGGTGTGGCGCCGGGCTGTCTGCTTGTGGATTTCATTTCTGCCTTTTAGTTTTTACTTTTTCTTTCTTTGGAGGCAGAAATTGGGCATAAGACAGTATGAAGGGTGGTCTCCTCCCTTAGTGTAAGCATTTTTCAAAGGGCTGTTTTGTATTTTCAAATCCCAGGGACATGCTTTGGCTCTCCTGATTTTATGCTAATGACTTGTCCTTAGTTGTGACTTCATTTTCTATTTCAGTACCCGTGGGTAACATCTTTTTGTATTAGTTCATAATTATTTATTGGGCGTGACATTTAAAAAAATGTTTCTCTGGATTTTCTAAATACAGGTATTGAGCATGTTTGACTTTTGAAAAACTAGTATCAAAATCATGTTCTGAGATGAAGTTGGTAGAACTTTTCTAAAAAGAAAGGAAAAGTTTCCCAAGACATGATACATGTGGATGATGTTCAAGAAGAAAAAGGTGATTAGAAATGATGGTGATTACGAGAGATGCGGGGCTCGGTCACATCAGCCTGTGTCACTTTCTCCCGTGCACCGTCCTCTGACTTGCAGTTGCACTCGCTAAGCTGAGGGAGGACGCATCGGTCTTCTTTGAGTAAGTAGTGCTGAAGAGAAACCAAATGTCACTTCGGCCCTTTTGCATAATTGAGTCTTTTATTATGTCAGAGAAGGGACAGGAGGAGTCACTTGTCAGGGAGGGGACTCTAATGTTGAATTAAATGTCAGTGTGGTTTAGTGAGGGAGGAGGAGTTGGCGGGGAAGCTGCCATTTAGCTCGCATTTGAGAGTTCTGGTGGGAGCAGCCCAGGGAGTGGGGGGTGGGCCGTGGGCTGTGCCACCTCCAGTTCCCTCTGAGCTGATTTTCTCTGGTCCTGAGGCCACCTTGCTTTCGTTCCCAGGCAGCCACCAGCTCCCGGACGTGCTGTCAGCCCCCTGCCTGCATGGGGCCGGTGGCAGTTCTATCCATCTTCCACTGGCGACTGGCGGGGAGATCAGAAATCAGATGAGTCCCTGGGTTTGAGGAAAGCTGGGACACTGCTGGGTGCAAGAGCAGGGTGACATCCCGTTTGAACTCCATAAAGACAGGCTCTCCCGGCAGCCCCCAGCCCGGGTGGAGCCTGGCTGAACCTGTGTGCAGAAACCTGTGTTCTCAGAGGCTGCGTGGGGCAGATGCTGCCCTCCCGGCAAGCCTCCGGGGACTTGTGTCTGTGCTGCAAGGCTGGGCAGAGCTGGCAGGGCCCCGAGTGGACTCGGCTTGACATGACCATGGAGTGGTCTTTCCCTGCGGCTCATTATTTAACAATGACAACATCCATTTGTGTGAAATAACTAAAGATGGATTGGTAAAATCTTTTAAGAGTTATGCCAAGAAGTTAACAGTGATGCCTTTAGGAGCACAGACACCTGAGCCCAGGGCAAGGGGAATTTTGTTTTCAGCCAAGAAGCCTCCGTTGTTGGTGCCGTGCAGGGACGTCCCCACCCAGCTTGTCCACCGTCTCACTTCCAGTCTCTCCCTGGCACTCTTTCCTCGTGTCTTTTTACCTCAAAGGAGGAAGTAGGGGAGCCCGTGCTCTTGGGAGGCCAAGGTTGTGTCCCCAGGCTCCTGGACTCTCACTGTGCAGCAGCCGCCAGCGCCTGGAGCACCTTCTGTCTAGAACGTCACTAGCCCTATCGATTTATGAGAAAGGACAGCAAGACAGCCCACGGCCCGAAGCGGAGAGGCCACACAGTCACGCGGCAGGTGCCTGGCCCAGGCTGCCCCTTCAGTTCCAGCACAGCACGCCTGTTGCACGCTCGTGTCCTTGTCTTGCATATCTGCACCTTCTTCTCAAAGTGAGGGTTGGTGGTGGTGGCAACCATGGCCAGACACGGCTGGGCTGGAGAACCTACTCAAGAGGGAAGGAAGGTGGGAGGGAGGTCTCCCTGCGCTCCTCCTGGAGTCCTTATAAGCCCTAGTCCCTCACCCAGCTGCCAGGTGGATGGGCCTGGGCCACTCAGTCCTGCCTAGGTTGGGCCCTTCCCAGATACAAAACCCCAGAAAAGGTGGGGAGGACCAGGAGAGGGAGAGAAGACGGCAAAGGGCATTGGGTGCGGCCCTTTCATTCTGAGAGCTCAGCCCTGGTGGCCCGGCCCCAGGGAGTGTGTGGCTTTGTCCATCCCCAGGACACTCCTGGAACAGGGCATTCAGGGGTGAAAGATGGATGGAGACAGGGATCCAGGGAGAGCCTTTGTGTAGTGGGGGACTGGGAGGGGAGCATTCCCTCCCCACCAGCCAGCTGATTTTGAAGCTTGGGGTCCTGCTATTTGCAGGATGAGTGTGGGAGTCCTTTCATACAACAAAGCAACAACCCCAGTGTTCATTCAATGAAACCCAGACCTTCCTATATTGCGGCTGCTTGGTGTGGATGTACTGTACCAGACTTAAATAATGCTGATACACTAACTATATCCTCTGGGATATGGGGACAGTTAGAAGAGGGAATATGGCAGGTATCCAGAAATTATACAGTGTGATTAAAGAAGGGGAACACATGCATATTACTTAGAATGGGCATAAAATGGTACATAAAATTAATTCTGCGTGTTACAGCTGGCCCCGTCCAGTGGAAGCCAACCGTAACGAGTGGATGGGTGGATTTCTCTGGGGAAACTGCATTTATTTACCAGCTACTCACTCTGGTTCAACTCCATACCCGCTCTGGTTCAACTCCATGCATTTCCCCAGGGCTCAGGAGCTGGGCTCTTTGTGGCCTGGATATAAATGGGTGGCGTGTTAGTTGCCGTCACTCGGCCTCCTCCTGGGTGTAATCTCTTACCAAGTCCTAATTAGCTCCACTCTTTACTGGGAATTGGAAGCTGTTTCCCCACACTTTGGGGCATTCCAGGGTGCTGGCTGCTCCCAGCATCGGAATGCACCTTGGGTGTCTCTGCATCTGAGAACCGGGGACCTAGAGTCAGTGCATCCTGAGGCACTGCACTTACAACAAATGCTGGCCTAGGATCTGGGGAAAATTTGGCTGAATATAAATCCCCAAATGTAAAGCCTCTTTCTTAAGTTAATAGCAAAGCTTGGAGGCCAGCTGGGAAAATCCCTCAGAAAGTCAATGAGAAAATGATGAGACCCAGTGGATAGGGCCGCCTGGAGCATTCCACGAGGACTCTGGAACACAGGTTTCTAGGGTCTCAGTGCATTTGATTCTCTAGGGAATGAGCACGCGGGGCTTAGGGTGAGCAGCCCAGCAGAGGAGCAAGGGAACCCAGCTTCCTCATGCTGCCCTGACCTTTGGTGAAGGTGCTTTGGTTTTCTGTGGAAAGTAGGACATCCGGGGAAATTCAGGTGGGTCCTGCTGCCCTGGCTGGAGATGAGTCTAAGCCAGGCAGCTCTGCCCTTTCCTCCCTCTGCTAGAAGAGGCCATGCACCCAGCGTCCTCACACACCACTCAGCCTAGTGTCTGGGGAGGCTTCTGTGGGACTCTCAACTCTGCTGCTCCTCTTCCTGGACCCACTAATACTGATGCCTGCCCAGGACCCCTTAATGAATTCACCTGCCCAGACTCACTGATATGGTTTGGCTCTGTGTCCCCTCCCAAATCTTACCTCGAATTGTAATCCCCATAATCCCCATGTGTCAAGGGCAGGAGCAGGTGGAGGTAATTGAGTCATGGGGGCCATTTCCCCCATGCTGTTCTCCTGATAGCGAGTGAGTTCTCATGAGATCTGATGGTTCTATAAGCGTCTGACATTTCCTATGCTGGCACTCATTCTCTCTTCTGCCACCCTGTGAAGAGGTGCCTTCTGCCATGATTGTAAGTTTCCTGAGGCCTCCCCAGCCATGTGGAACTGTAAGTCAATTAAACCTCTCTTCATTATAAATTACCCAGTCTGAGGTATTTCCTTATAGCTATGTGAGAATGAACTAATACAGTAAATTCTTACCAGGAGTGGGGTGCTGCTATAAGGATACCTGAAAATGTGGAAGCAACTTTGGAAATGGGTAGCAGAAGAGGTTGGAACAGTTTGGAGGGCTCAGAAAAAGATAGCAAAATGTGGAAAAGTTTGAAACTTCCTAGAGACTTGGAGGGCTCAGAAGACAGGAAGATGTGGGAAAGTTTGGAACTTCCTAGAGACTTGTTGAATGGCTTTGACCAAAACATAGACAGTGATATAGACAATGAAGTCCAGGCTGAGGTGGTCTCAGATGGAGATGAGGAACTTGCTGGGAACTGGAGTAGAGGCCACTTTTGCTATGCTTTAGCAGAGACTGGCAGCTTTTTGCCCTTGCCGTAGAGATCTGTGGAACTTTGAACTTGAGAGAGATGATTTAGGGTGTCTGGTGGAAGAAATTTCTAAGTGGCAAAGGATTCAAGAGGAGGAAGAGCATAACAGTTTGGAAAATTTGTAGCTTGACCACGCGATAGAAAAGAAAAACCCATTTTCTGGGGAAAAATTCAAGCCAGCTGCAGAAATTTGCATAAATAACAAGGAACCAAATGTTAATCACCAAGACAATGGGAAGAAGGTCTCCAGAGTATGTCAGAGAGCTTCATGGTAACTCCTGCCATTACAGGCCTGGAGGGCTAGGAGGGTCACCCTGCTCTGTGCAGCCTTGAAACAAGGTGCCCTGCATCCTAGCTGCTTCAGCATCAGCCATGGCTAAAAGGGGCAAAAGTACATCTCAGGCCATTGCTTCTGAAGGTGCAAGCCCCAAGCCTTGGTGGCTTTCACGTGTTGAGCCTCTGGGTACACAGAAGTCAAGAATTGAGGTTTGGGAACCTCCACCTAGATTTTAGAGGAAGTATGGAAATGCCTGGATGTCCAGGCAGAAATTTGCTGCAGGTGCAGAGCCCTCATGGAAAACCTCTGTTAGGGCAGTGAAGAAGGGAAATGTGGGGTCAGAGCCCCCACACAGAGTCTCTACTGGGGCACTGCCTAGTGGAGCTGTGAGAAGAAGGCCATTGTCCTCCAGAACCCAGAATGGTAGATTCACCTACAGCTTGCACCATGCACCTGGAAAAGCCACCATCACTCAACAACAGCCCGTGAAAGCAACCAGGAAGGGGACTGTACCCTGCAAAGCCACAGGGGAAGACCTACCCAAGGCTGAGGGAGCACGCCTCTTGCATCAGCATGACCTGGATGTGAGGTGTGGAGTCAAATGAGATCATTTTGGAAATTTAAGGCTTAATGACTGCCGTATTGGATTTTGGACTTGCATGGGGCCTATAGCCTCTTTGTTTTGGCCAATTTCTCCCATTTAGTATGGGAGCATTTATCCAATGCCTGTACGCCCATTTGTGTCTTGGAAGTAACTAACTTGCTTTTGATTTTACAGTCTCATAGGTGGAAGGGACATGCTTTGTCTCAGATGAGACTTTAGAGTTGGACTTTTCGGTTAATGCTGGAATGAATTAAGACTTTGGGGGACCGTTGGAAAGGCATGATTGGTTTTGAAATGTGAAAGGAACATGAGATTTGGGAGAGACCAGTGGTGGAATGATATGGTTTGGCTTTGTGTCCCCACCCAAATCTCACCTCATGGTAATCCCCGTGTGTCAAGGGTGGGACCAGGTGGAGGTAATTGAATCACGGAAGTGGTTTCCCCCATGATGTTCTTGTGATAGCGAGTGAGTTCTCATGAGATCTGATGGTTTTATAAGAGTCTGGCACTTCCCCTGCTGGCACTCATTCTCTCTCCTGCTGCCCTGTGAAGAGGTGCCTTCTGCCATGATTGTAAGTTTCCTGAGGCCTCCCCAGTCATGAGGAACTGTGAGTCAATTAAACCTCTTTTCTTTATAAATTACCCAGTCTCAGGTATCTCCTTACAGCAATGTGAGAATGGACTCATACAGCCACTGACCTGCCCTCAGCCTAGCGCAGGATGACAGGAGATCCACGTGTGCTATCGGGGCCCAAAGTTGAAGTCCTGTTTCTCTTAAACTCTGCAGTGGGCAGAACAGAGCTCTTGCTGGTCCCTGCCAGGAAATGGGTCATCCTCTCACCTCTTTCAGCTTCTTCTTCCCCCAGTCCTCTGGCCCTCAACTGGCTCAGGGCTCACCCCTGGGTGTTCAGGAAAGCTGGCGAGTTACCAAGTTAGGAAAGCTCCCCAAGCCAGTGGGAGGGTTGGGATTGGATGGGGCCACTCAGCCAGTCTGAGCCTGTGTCCCGAGGCCTCTGGCTTCCGGATAATTCTCCCGTGGCCCTGTTGCTTGTGGAATGCAGTATGAATGCCTGACACTGTGTGCACCTAGCAGCTCTTAGTGAACTGGAGATGCCTCAGTGAGCATCTGGCCCCTGGCTGAGTATCCCCACACTTCAGTGACTCTAGAGGAGCACACAGGTCCCCCCACCTCTGGGTGAGGCCGTTGGAGGCTGGGGGCCAGATGGCCTCCTGCCAGAAACATGGTGCTCAACAGGTCCATCTGCTGTACCCAGGTCACAGGAAGTTGTTCTGTGCTCTCCAGGTGAGGTCAGGCTCCTGGTGAGACCTTCATGGGTTTACACAACAGGTTTTAAGTCTTAAGTTGCTAGAGAGGAACACAGAGAGCCAAGGACGCTTCTAGGATTTGCCACTCAGACCAGTTGCAGCAAAACATCATGAAAAAACATCCCAAGCAATACTGTTAGAAATGGGCCCTCTTGCTGCTGGGAGCTTCAGGCTTGGGGCTGCCTTTCCAGCCACTGTCCAGTCATGGAAGCTTCTGAAGCCCTTGAGGGGCCGGATCTGGGCTTCCTCTGGTCCTGACATGCTGGGCATGAGACATACAGCATGAGGAGGCGGGCTCAGGGTTTCTTCACTCCCTGCACCCCCGCTGGCATCAGGGTCTCATCGATGAGTCTAGCTGCATTCCTTGCAAGAGGGGTGCCTGGAGACAGAGCCCAATGTCGCAGTAGTAAAACTGTCCACGTCCTACGTGTTGCCAAAGAGCCCAGGCCTCGTGGGGAGCTAATAATAGGCTCTGCCTGTGGCCCACTCACTCACAGCTCCACCCGGGAAGCAGGTCATCACCAGGTCTGCGTCTGGAGGAAAGGAGTCAGTCTCTACCCTGGGCTTATGTTCCCTATTGGCCCATGCTGTCTGCAGAGTTCATATAGTAGCTGAATTGTGCATAATTTACAGCACAGTGTGGTTACCTTCAGCTTTAGACTCAATAAAAACTTCCTATGCTAGCCGGGTTCTGCACCATAAATGCATACCCACAGCCTCCCTGCAGGCCCCAGAGGTCAGGTATCCCTGGCCTGGGCTTGCTGGGGACAATGGTCTGCCTGATCTGAGAGCAGGAAGGGATCCAGCTACCTGGGTGTGGAGTCTGCTGTAGTTGGCCAGCCTCATTTTCCAGCCTCCAGCATGGGCCTGGGCAGCACCCCACGGGCCCATGAGCCCGCTCCCCTGAGGGCAGGACCTGGCATGGGAGTGTGATACACTCTATCTTGGTCCATTTCCCTAGTTGGGTGGACTGTCCAGATAAAGCAAATTCCCATTCCACCCCCCATCTGAAGGGTTGAGGGCATGAGGCCACCAGCGAGGGGAGGCGACCTTCTCAGGGTCACCTGGTAGGTCAAGGGCAGGGCTGGAGCTGGAAAGTTTGCCAGGCAGAAGGGCAGGTCATATTCTCCCACATGGATGACCAGGCCAGCTGTGGCCAAGGCCTCCAGGCACAACACTTGGGGTTCAGGTCAGGGCTCCCAGATGCTGGTGCTCAGGACAGAGTCGCCCCGAGGGGGAAGCCCATTGATTCGTCTCCCACAGACTCAGGGCTCCAGCGACACACATTGATTCTCTTACAGTTGGGAGGATCAGAAGTCTGACACAGGTCTCACTGGGCGAAAGTCAAGGTGTGGGCAGGGCTGGATCCTTCTGGAGCCTATGGGGAGGTCCATTTCCTGCCTTTTCCATCTTCCAGAGGCCCCTGCAACCCTGAGCTCGTGATTCCTTTCTCCAGCCTCAAGGCCAGGCATCTCCCGATCTCTGTCTCTCCGTGTGTGTGTGCATGTGTGTCTCTGTGTGTGTCTACGTGTGCATGTGTGTCTGTGTGTCTGTATTTGTGTGTATGTGTGTTTCTCTGCATGTGTGTGTCTCTGTGCATGTGTATATGTGTGCATTTGTGTCCCTTTGTGTGTGTATATATGTGTGCATGTGTCTGTGTATGTGTCTGTGTGTGTTTATGTGTGTATCTCTGCATGTGTGTGTCTCTGTGTGCATGTGTGTCTCTGTATATCTGTGTGTTTATGTGTGTGTCTCTATGTCTGTGTGCATGTGTGTCTCTGTGTGTCTGTTTGTGTGTATGTGTGTTTGTGTGTGTCTCTGAGAGTGTGTTTGTGTGAAACACCTCTGCCTCCATCTTCCTATCTCTTCCTCACTGATCTTCCCACCTCCCTCTTAGAAGGACCCTTGTGATTACATTTGGGGCCACCTGAATGACCAGGCTATTCCCCCATCTCAGGGTCCTAATCCCAACTGTACAGACCCTTTGCCATGTAAGGTGATGCACACCTGTTCTAGGGATCAGGACGTGGACGTCTTTGGAGCCATCATTTTGGCTCCCACACTCATGAGCGTGGCTGGGCTGAGTAGTGGAGCCGGCACACCTTCTCAGGGTGATTTCTGGGAGGGGTCCTGGTCTGCCCAGGGTTGCCAACATGCAGGGCCCCAGGCCCTGAGCCCTCTGCCTGGCCCATGGAACGTGCCTGGGTGAGTGAAGTGTGGAGTGATTTTCTGCATGCAGAACAGAGTGGCTTCTTTTGGCACGAATCCCCAGCTCCTCCCGAACCTGTGCGAGGCTGGCGGGAGTGAGGCGTGAGTGGGCTACCGGGGGCCTAGGCCGTGCCCGACAGTACCCCCAACAGGTCGGGGGCCTCCCTCGGGGAAGTCAATAGCTAGAGGTGGGTATGTGGGTGTTCCCACCCATTCACTCCTGCACATCTGAAAAGTCCCAGGAGACTTGCGGAGCCAGAGGGACCTTCTGAAGTCACTGCAGGAAGCCGAGGCCCAGAGAGGGGAGGGGGCTTGCCCCAGGGGAACCTCCTGGGAGGTCCACACCTGGAACGGGCCTCGGTGCCAGCACAGGCCTCAATCTCTAATAGCACCCTGACACGACTTAGGGGTTAAACCCAGAGCCCCGGCCGGCCTTGCTGGCCTTTATCTGCCGCGCTTGCTCGTGGGGACAGCGCGGGGTCAGAGTGTCAGAGTGCAGAGTCTCCCGTGCACCTCCATGCCGCAGGCTCCCGGACCCGCATTCCTTAGGGAGGGACTTTTTTCCTTTCCTTCCCTCTCATTAATTTTCTTCTCTTCATTTTTTTTTCTTTTTAATCTTTTCTGATAACTTTTCACAGATAAGGGGCTTAAAAAGGGCACATAATTCCTTTTAGATGTCTTCAGTTTCCATAAATGAAAATACAAATCTTCCTTATTTGCCCATCCACAAATGAGCAGGACACCGGGGCTGTGGTTGCTAATGACAGCAGCCCTTTTAATTCTGCTGCTGCCGGAGGGTAATGACCTGTGGCCGTGCGCATTGCTTGATGGCCATGCAGAGCTCAACTGGGGAAGTGTAGGGAGCCGCTCTCCGAATTACTCTATTGCCGGAACCAGGGCCAGGAGGCGCCCCAGAGTGCTCTGCATCTGGAATGGAATTTCACTGAGGCAGTGACAGCTGGTGGGCTGGAGAGAGCTCTGCCTGCCTGTGACCTTGATGAGCTGCTTGGCTTCTCTGAATGTTGTTGTTCTCCCTGGTCTAAGGCTGGTGATAAGAATGTCTACCTGTTAATCAAATGAGTCAGATCCGTAAGGTCACCTAAAAAGGCAGGCTTTGTCTTTAGTATTCATACTATCCATAAACAAGCTTTGCAAATGTGTGGATTTCGGTCCTGAGGGGCTTTTTCAGTGAGAGTTCATGCTAACGACTTTCTAATTAAGTGTCTCCGAGAGCGACTGAGATGAGTTTTTCCACTCAAACAGGTGTGTGGTCTGGACGGGCGATGACCGAGTTTTCTTCTTCAACCCAACGATGCACCTGTCTGTCTGGGAGAAGCCCATGGACCTGAAGGACCGCGGAGACCTCAACAGGATCATTGAGGACCCGCCCCACAAACGCAAGCTGGAGGCACCAGCAAGTAACTAAGCCCTGGGTTATTTACACCTCCTTTGAAGTGTTTAAGCTGCTTATTTCTAATGAACGTAAAGTGAAAGCATGTTTCTTCTTGGTTATGTTGAAAATTGACTATTAAGGAATCCTGTGCCCGATTGCAGAGTTTAGTAATCAAGTTTTTATGGCACTTCCTGCAGAAACCTTGATCCTTCCAAGCGGTCGGCTCTGGCTGTCTTTTTGCATCACGTAAGGTGATTAACGCAGAGATGGCCATTCATTCCCTCCGCCCCTCAAAGCTTCCATCCAGCATCACTGTTACCCAGCATTTTATTCTTGTTCCAAATGTCTTATGAACGCCACTTCAGAGACCAGATGTACGCAGATGGGAGTGTGTTTTCTTCCACCTTACATTCACTTTAGACCTTTGCAGCACATTGATCTGCTGTTGTGCTTGGATGGATGCCTCAATTCCATAAAACCCTGGTCACGGACAGGGGAAGAGATTTTCTTCAGCTGCAGAGGAATGGGGTGCTTGGCAGAGGCAGTTGTTTCTGACAATGCCTGTAAATCTTGTTTCGCCAAGAAACAGAGAGGAACTTTCAGCATTTTCACAAAGGATCTTTTCCGATTAGATCTAATACATATTTTATTAGCTGCTGCGTGGGGAAAGCCCTCCTCCCAGAGCATGTGGATTCAAACGGTCTTGACTCCACTGCAGACATTTGAGAGCAGGAGCTCCCTGCCAACTTGAGAGGCAGAGATGCCTGGCTACAAGGCCAGGCCAGTGAAAGGGGAGCTTGACTCTTTGTTTTAGTTTTGTGTGGTATTCTATTGGGTTCTTAGTGGCATTTTTAATTTCACGTCATTGAGGGCTAATGCTAGATGATGGTAATTCACACTTTGTGTCAAATCCAGAGGTATTTGACTGAAGCTTCAGAAGACAGTATTATAAAAGTTTTATCAGCATTTTTAACCATGCTAAGAGACATGGTGGTAGTCTTTTAAGATTGAGACATCACACATTTAAAATGTTTATTCCATTTAAAATAGTAACAGCATTATCCAGAGACTGGATCAACTGATGTTGGGAAAAGAAAAATCTCCAAGGTCCATATGGAGTTGAGTCTGTAAAACGTTGCTGTATTTACAGACAATGAAGATTGAATTTGGCAATTGCATTTCCTCCTTTGATCAGGTCACATTCATTATTAAAAGAGGGCCTTGTACGTCTTGAAAGAGTGCTTTAAAATCATGACAGGAAGCACCCTTTCAAGGTTCTTACTCATGGACAAGAAGATGGTGCACAGTTTAGGGAAATCAGGACACCCTCAGATCCCACGGGAAACATTAAGGCACAGTTTGTCCTAACAATGATTTTATTTGCTTGGCAAAGGCAGATCATGCTGGCAGATTCCTCACTCCTTTCTTTAGCTTGCGTTCTTGTAGATAATTTGGTGCTGTTTCATTTTTCCCTCCCAAAATTGGTAGTAATGAGAAACAAATGAACTTATTAAAGGCAATGCATAGTTGCTCTCTCATTTCTATTGTTTGGACCAAATCAGGTCAGGTCTGAAAAGAGGTAGGGAGGCATCTGCAAACGCCCCCACTGGGCCACCTGCGGTCTCAGGGCTCGCCAGGACTGTGGGTGGACGACAGGGGCCTGGATTTCCTGGCTCATAGCTCGATGCTCCGTCTCCTTCTTTTAACAAGAATCTCATGTTATACTCTGAAAGGTAGAGAGTTAAGGTTTTACAACCAGAAATACCTGATTAGTTTAGATTTAGCATGATATGGTATTTTGTCTGATACCCATTTTATTATGGTAGACCTAAGTACTCTACTTAGACATTACAAAATTACATGTGGTTATAAAACGATTTTTAATCTTACTTCCCTCCTCATATAAAGAGAGGAAGAGATTTGTTTTCAACCAGTCTTTTTTTTTTTAACCTGAATCTTAAGGATATGCAAATGACTTCGATTCTCAACTTCCGGTTGCCAGGGTGCAGTTGATGTTTAAGAGAACAACTTCCCATTCCCGAAAATGCACTCAGAGAGCTTCGCAGCGACACAATTAGGACAGGAGGTGTTTCTAGAGGGTTAATTCGTGATCGGGGAGCAGAGCTGATGACCTGCAACCAGCAGCAGTGACTGGCATTCTCCCTGGCCGATCGTTCGTCGCGGCTCGTCAGATATTTAACCCTAATTATGATAACAAGCCTAGGGGAGATGGTTTGAGTGGAGAGTTTTGTTTTTCACATTTTGTTTGACTATTAGTCATTGTAGATTTGAATATATTCATACCTATTTGTAGTCTGCAATGGGACAATTAAGCATTTCAGTCGACATCCATTATTTTTCAAGAGGCAAATGAAGTAGAAGAATTTTGTAACATGGCTGCCACATTTAACTGCTCTTAGGTCTCGGGAGCGTGTGTGTATGTGTGAGCGTGTGTGCCTGCGTGTGCGTGTGTCTTCAGTGGGGATAGGAGACGTGGAAGTTGTGGCTCACAGTGCCAGGCAGCTGTGGGAGACAGGAGGCAGCGCCTCCAGAAGTGCTGAGACGTTCGTCATTCCACAGATAAGGAAAGAGTCCGCTTTGTCATTCTGTTAGCACTGCTGAAGGATTCCAGCAAAGTCTTGAATTATTTTCTAATTACCTTGCGGTGCATCCAGATTTTTTATAGCTGTAGTAACTGTGTTGTTAGTTGAGAATAAATGCCAGTAGAGCTGGAGGAAAATGAGAAGTGCCAGGCTTCACCCCCAGCCCCATCCGTTCCGTGCCATGCGGTTCTCGGGGATCTTACCAACACTTCAGTTTGGAGGGTGCTGGTGTGTTGTGTTCCCACCCGTGCCCGCGTTTCCCAGGCCTGTCAGAGGCGTGGTTCTCTCGCTGTCTTCGCCTGCAGCAGCCAAACCCTCTCTTGGTAGTGACGGCAGAAACCCCCCTGCCATCTGGCTGTGCACCTGTAGCCCCACCACCTTGGCCCGCTCTGCTTGCTTTGGCCACGGGGGCCACCTGTCACTTCACTGGGACATTTGGTGCAGCCTGGTGGGAATTGTTGGAGCTGGGGCCCTCGAGTTCTTCCTCTGGGTTGGAGGGAGGAGAGGCGAGGGAGAGAGAGGGAATACATACCCTGGCCTCTTTCCTCCTGCCTGGCTGTCTCTGTTAGTGCCTCCAAGGGGTCGAGGAGGACCCGGAGCCCTGGGGTAAGAAGTGAAGAGAGGGCCTTCTCACTGCCTTGGAGAGGGGAGGGACCGCCTGCAGGGACCCTGGGTGCGTGCAACCCCCACACTTGGTTCCGTGGACTTCCCTCCTCAGTCCCATGCAGTAGGTGCCATCAGCATTGGAGACCCCTTTGCTGCTGTAACAAATTATCACCACGAGGCTAAAAGCCACACAAGGTGATGATCTTACAGTTCTGGAGGGCAGACGTCGAGCAGAGGCCTCACTGGCATCGGCAGGGCTGTGTTCTTCCTAGGGGATCCAGGGGAGATTTCCTTGACTCCTGGCCCCCTCGTCCATCTTGCCTCTCTCTCTTCTCTCTCTGGCTCTGGCCCTTCTGCCTCCCGCTCCCACTCTGAAGGGTCCCTGTGGTCTATGGGGCCACCTGGATGACAGGATGGTCTCTCACCTCAAGGGGAGCTGTTTAGCAACCTCCATCCTTTCTGCCAGGTAGTCCAGTGTATGCACACCTTCCAGGATTCAGATGTGGACATTGCTTGGGAATGGTGGGGGGCATGAATCTGTGGCCCGTGCCTGCTTTACAGAAGAGGGAATTTAAAAAGGAGCTTATCTGACTTGCCCAGGGCCACACCTCTACTGAAGGGGAATGGGGATTTGCACCCCGGCGGGTCTGATGCCAGACCTGAGGGCAGCCTGTGATGGACACAGGTGACTCTTGGTGCGAGCTCACCAGGCAGCAGCTGCAGCAGCCGTGCACTCAACACTGTCCTTCCCTAGTCTGCGGGCAGATGACATGAACCTCACTGGGCTTAATTGCTCTGTAAACGCTTTAGCCATTTATATTCAAGACCAATGTAAATTGATAATGACATTCATTTCACCAAGTAGGATGTAAAATTGTCCGGTGAGTAAACACAGCTGTGACTGGTGAATGGGTCACTTTCCTGAGTTTGTCAGAGAAGACAGCGCACACTGGATCTATCTCACCAGGGGCCCAGGCAGCCGGGGCACTTGGGGGGACCCAGGGCCGCTGAAAACACAAATGCCAGAGCCCTGGAGGGTGGTGAGCTAGTGTGGTTCTGTCTGTGAGGATTCAGGGCGATGTGGGAGGCTCTGCCCACCTGGATCCCACCTGCCCCAGGCTCTCTGGGAGAAATCCTGGCCTTCGTATCATGGCACCCTCTGCTGGCCTCCAGGGCCTGAGCCGCCTCTTTGCACAATGAATGATCCAGGTGGCTTGTTTGCTAAGCTCCATTGTAGTGCCCACTTTGTTTAGTCTCTGTAACGTGATGCCAAGGTGAAGCAGGTGAACTGCGACAGGTGTCTCTTCCTTGCAGAATCCTGAGTTGACTGTGCAGAAAGTCGAGTGTGAGGGTGGAGCTTGCAGGGCAGCCGGTGCAAGGGAAGGGGTGAGCTGGGATGTGCGGGAGCTGGGAGAGTCTCTAGGACACTCTGATCACACTCACCCCTCAGCTTGCTGTGTTTGGCCTCAGCTGGGAGGCTGGGTGGGCAGGGCAGGGGCTGAGCCAGGCTCCTGGATGCACCAGTGAATTTGGTGGAGAAAGAGAGATGCTAGAATAGCGTTTTTCGGAGTAGTTTCCGCCAGGACCTAAGACATCAAGCCACCAACCACCTCCAGGGCCAGGAGCAAAGGAAAGAAAGGGAAGGGAGGGGAAGTTGGAAAGGAGGGAGGGGAAGTTGGAAAGGAGGAAAGGAAAGGAGAGAAGGGAGGGAGCAAGGGAAGGGAGGGAGGAGAGGAAGTTCCTTTTCTTCTGAACCAATCCTTTATTTAGGGACTGGTGACTGGCCAAGCACTGGGCTAGACACAGGACGCCAAAGATGAGCAGATGTTGGGCAGGGAGCGCTATGCCTTGTGGGTTGGGGAAGAGAAGCAAGCAACAATGGATGGGTGGAGTGGGGTGACCCCGCGCAGCAGCCAGGGGCTTCTCCCTGAGGCACGGTCACTCACACTGGACCCCAGGAGGCAGGGAGGGGAGGTAAAGGGTGTGTTTTGAGCTCTAAGGCAGGAGGAAGAAGGTGCGCTTGAGTCTGAGCTGAGAGGGATGGAGGATGGCTGTCTGGGGACAGTGAGCCTCAAAGAGTGGAAGGCTCGGGGAAGCCCTGCAGAGATCACAGCACCCGTGGTGTGGCATTTCCAAGTGGCCACGGAGAGGTTCCCCATTATGATTATTGACCAAATCTAGAACTTCCTCCCTGAGTTTCAGCTGGGAGCCCAGGCCTAGCAAAGCAAAGTGGCCGTGTCAGGTCCATCTCCTATTCGGGGTAGTTGCAGCTCTGCTGCGGCTCTTTCTATCCCTAAACTCCACACCCATCAAATTTCTCTCATAAGCAGGATGCAATCTAGGAATACAGAGAAGTCCAGTTTCAGCATCTGTGAGCACCTGGCTGGACCTGTTGGTGGAGTGGGGTGGATCAAACCCGGCCCCTGCACAGCCAGGCCTCTTGCCCTCCAGTGCAGGCGGCACCTCCACCACCTCTCCTGGCAGGAGCTCAGCCCACAGGACCCTGCTGCCCTGAGTCATGTGCCTTGCCCTCTCCACCAAGGGCTCCGGCTCTCCATCTCGTCCTGGTGCCCGCCCTTGTTTGCCTCCTGGGCATCCCTCGCACCGCTGCCTGCCTGTGGATGAGTTCTGGCCCAGTCCCTGCAAGGTGCTCTCTGGGGTCTTGGCCCGTGCAGGAGGACCCCCCACTGTGCCCCTCTTCGTGCCCAGGAAAGCCACAGTCCTGGGAGAACACTGACTTCTCCACAAAGATGCTGAGCCTGAGTGCTGCCTAGATGGGGGGGACCTGAGGTTAAGGCGTGACCTGGGGTTCACATCCAACTCACAGGGTTGAGTGCAACTGTTCTGGGGAGGGAGGATGACACTACCTTCTAACCTACCAAGCCCCATCCTCCTCAGGACTCAGGATCCGAGCGAGTAGGGTAGGACATCGGACAGGATGCGGAGCAGGAGGCCCCATCAGAGAGGGCAGAGCACACAGCTCAGGGCCACTGGGCAGCAGGGTCCTGTGGGGCTGAGCTCCTGCCAGGAGCAGGGGTGGGGGTATCACCTGCACCGGAGGTGAGAGGCCTGGCTGTGCAGGGGCTGGGTCCACCAGCAGGTCCAGCCAGGCACCCACAGGTACCAAAACTGGACCTCTCTGTATTCGTAGGGTGCATTCTGCGTATGAGAGAAATGTGATGAGTGGGAAGTTTAGGCGTGCCTAGGATCCCATCTGAATGCGAATTTGCCTTACACACCAACATTCAGCTCCTGTGATTCCATAGTAAGTTTTACCAAAGGTTGTGCCTACCCTCTCTAAGAAGACTGACAAAATTAGGTATATTCCCCACCACTCACAGAAAGGAAGACATTTGACTCAGAGACTCAGGACTTTTACTACCTGATGCAGCCAGCCACATTCCCTGAACTCAGTGACTTACAAACACACTCAGACACACACACAAATGCATATATACACGCACAGACACATACACAGAGACACACACAGATGCATACACATACACACACATATACGCACACAGACACACAAGCACACACAGACACACATATACATACAGAAACACACATGTACACATACAGACACATACACAGGCACACATACACACAGACACACACACACACACACACAGACACACACACACATATGCATAGCCTTGCTGGCAAATGCATAAAAAACAATACATTTAAAACATACATAGATATTGGTGTGTGTGCATTAATAAAACATGTTAGAGATTGACATGCTGCTGCACAAACATGTTAGAGATTGACATGCTGCTGCACGCTGTCTGCACCGCACCTGTAATGCGTCTTGGCTATCTTTCAGACTCAGAGCCTCCCTGCCTCCCGCACCCAGTTCCCTCTCCCTCCAATCCCCTGCTTTTCTCTCCTATCCATCTCCTGTCCCCCTACCCTTGCCCTGTCTGGATGCATGATGACTTCCTCAGAGCCTCCTCTTGGATGGACATCTGGGTCATGTGCTTTGTGCTCCCACACACAGTGCTGGAAAGAACATCTTTGTACCTAGGTTTTTACCTTAGGAGTGTTTCTGCAAACATATCGATTGTGTAATTTCACATTATTAGAATTGTTGGCTCAAAAGGTACGTGCATTTTCGATTTTGGGCAGGTACTGCCGAATCTTCTCCCAAAGAGACTGATCAGTTCACACTTGTACTGGTAGATTCTGCATGATCTCCTTAGCACTGTAGAGCATGAGACTTAATTCTTAAAGCCATTCTTTGCTTCAGTTGGCATTGCTTTAATTTTGAGTGAAATTGAACAGTTTTTCACAGGTTTGCTGGCCATTTGTTTTGTGTTTGTGTTCCTTATCTTTCTTATTGAGTTACTTGGACTTGAAGATCAAGGCTAACAGTGTTTGGCTACAATATTATTATAATATTTTACTGGTCTTTCGATTTTTTTGCCATAGAACAAGTTGTCCTTGATTTTTTTTCTCACTGTGGTAAAATATATATAACATGAAGCTGACCGTTTAACCATGTGTAAATGTACAATTCAGTGGCGTTCAGTATGTTCACAATGTTGGAGAGCTGTCAACACTACCTATTTCTACAACTCTTTTCTCACCCATAGCAGAAACTCTGCAATGATGAAGCAGTGTCACAACGATTTTCCCCTTATGTTTTCTTCAACAACCCTTATACTTGTAACTTGTACAGTTAACTCCGTTTGCATTAATTTTTACACATGGACTTCTTCAGGGATGATTTCTATCAAATATCTTTTATCAGATGAATTGGCCCTACTTTCCTGGTTTTGCATGCTTTTGAGTTTTTTGTTGAAAAGTAGATATGCTAGGCATTGTAATGGGGCAACTTTGGTGGAAATCAGATTCTCTCACTTCCCAGAGATCGCTGATGTGGGCTTGTGCAGGCTGGAGCCATCCATGTGTGATGCCCCTGAAGCCTGTATTCCTCACCGTGTGTGGTGACTGAAGATTCTGTTCCCTTGTCTTTGCAGTCAGCAGAGAATGGCAGCCTCTCTAGTGCTATTCTTTATTTTTCGGTATTATTATTTGAGACAGAGTTTCACTCTGTCACACAGGCTGGAGTGCAGTGGCGCCATCTTGGCTGACTACAGAGTTCAAAAAATTGAACTCTCCCGGGTTCAAAAAATTCTCCTGCCTCAGCCTCCTGAGTAGCTGAGATTACAGACATGTGCCACCACACCCGGCTAATTTTTGTATTTTTGGTAGAGACGGGGTTTCACCATGTTGGCCAGGCTGGTCTCGAACTCCTGACCTCAGGTGATCTGCCCACCTCTGCGTCCCAAAGTGCTGGGATTACAGACATAAGCCATCGCACTCAGCCTCTAGCATGATTGTTACACCAGCCCTAGCTGTTGTAAGTGTCTGATCTGCTTCCAGAGAGCTGAAATACTTACTTCTAATCCCCCTACAGCTTGACGGCAGTCTTGGTGGAGACCCAACCAGAGAGCTTGCTATGCTGCCGTTGTGCACGGCAACCCCTCTGGTTTTGTATTCTCTAAGTCTGTTAAATTTATACATATTTTTGTTTATGAGTCTGGATCATAATTAGGAAAGCTTTGCCCATGTTGAAACTATTCAAAACAAACCAATGTTTAAAACCCTAAAAAATTACCAATATTATACACATGTACTTTAAATAATATGTGTGTAATTGCATGACCTCATTTTTTAAGTTTTAAGAAATGTGGATGTTTCCCCCGTGGCCTCCCTGGGTACGTTCTGGTGTGGGTGGAGGAGAGGTGCCACTCCCATGCCTTCTTCCAGGCAGAGCTGGAATGCTCCCTCCCCTGGACACGGCAGGCAGGAGGCACACCTTGGAAAAGATTTCAAACGCCACGAGGTGCAGAAAGGCAGTCAGGCGGAGGGCCCGGGGAGTTGAGAGAGCCTCTGTGAGGCCCCGGTGCCTCCGAATGAGACGGCCAGAAGGCCCAGTGACGCAGGGAGGAACGACCAGGAGGGACCAGGGAGAAGCCAGGGCACCAGGGAGGGAAAACCGGGAGGGCACAGTGAGAGCTCGGGACCCAGCGCCCCAGCGGGAGAGGACTCAGGGGCACAGCCGAGGAGTACTGCACTTCCTTAGAGGGTGTTGGGGTGGAGAGGCTGAGGCAGGGAGCAGGGTGCCCAGGGTGCCCTCGGTTTTTTGTTTGTTTGTTTGTTTGTTGTTTTTTGAGACAGAGTTTTGATCTTTCACCCAGGCTGGAGTGCAGTGGCACAATCGCGGCTCACTGCAACCTCTGCCTTCTGTTTTCAAGTGATTCTCCTGCCTCAGCCTCCTGAGTAGCTGGGATTATAGGCACCTGCCACCACACCCGGCTAATTTTTATATTTTTAGTAGAAACGAGGTTTCACCATGTTGGCCAGGCTGGTCTCGAACTCCTGACCTCATGATCCACCCACCTCTGCCTCCCAAAGTGCTGGGATTACAGGCGTGAGCCACTGTGCCTGCCCAGTGCCCTCAGTTTGAATGGGAAGAGCAGGTTCCCACAGCCAGGAAGTAGAAATGCCTGGAGGTGGCCCGGCATGGTGGCTCACGCCTGTAATCCCAGCATTATGGAAGGCTGAGGGGGGCGAATCACTTGGGGTCAGGAGTTCAAGACCAACCTGGCCAACATGGTAAAACCCTGTCTCTACTAAAAACACAAAAATTAGCCTGGTGTGGTGGCGGGTGCCTGTGATTCCAGCTGCTCGGGAGGCTGAGGCAGGAGAATTGCTTGAGCCCGGAAAGTGGAGGTTGCAGTGAGCCGAGATCGCACCACTGTACTCCAGCCTGGGTGACAGGCTGAACATGGAGAGCCTCTGAGGGCGGGCCTGGGCGAGGCACTGCTGGGGGCCACCCCTCCCTGGGGCAGCAGCCACGGAGGTGGCCCCAGTCTCATGGTTTCCTCTCAAGAACATGACGTAGAAGTGCTCACCCCAGGCCCTCGTCCTGAAGCTGGGCAGAGCGAGACTCCGTCTCAAAAAAAACCAGAAATGCCTGGAGGTGCTGGGCTTGGCACGAGTGAAGCTTGGGAAGCAGGGGGCATAAAGTGTGTCCTTTGGGGTCCCAGCCTGGAGGGCTGTGTTGGGCTGTGGAGCACGCGCAGAAGGCAGCCAGAGAGGAGGAAGTGGATACCCTCCAGTGTCCTCTCTTCCCTTCCATGGCCCCCCAGTTATTATCAATGGTGTTGGCTCTAGACCAGTGGCTCTCAACTGGGGAGGGCAAATTTACCCCTGTGGACATTTGGGAACTTCTGGAGGCATTTTCGTTAGCATGGTGGGGAGGGGGCAGGGATCAAGGAGGCTGAGAGACGCCTTCAGGGCACAGGGCGGCCCCCAGGGCACAGCAGTCCAGCTCCGGAGTCAGCACTGCCAGGTTCAGGACCAGGGGCCGCTGAAAAGCCAGGAAGCTCCGCCCGGGCTGTGGCTCCTCCGCCCTTCCGGGGCCAAGTTCTGCTCATCCCCCGCTCTGCACTGCCCATGGGAATTCCTTCCTCCTAGGCCTACATCCTTTCAGAAGGGTGGAGCACCCACACAGGGTGTGCATGATGGATACTGCAGCCTTGCTGGAAGGTACAGGGCAGATACATTGCACCCCGGTCCCGCTACAGCAGCCTCTGTGGTCCTGTGGCTCGTGGGCAGGGGTGACCATGAGCTGCCTGGGCAGCTCAGGTGGCGGAGGCCCCACAAGGATGATGCAGCATGACTGGGATGAGCCGGGGCTTCCAGAGCCTGACCCTCTCCTCTTACCAAGGGCCCCACGCTGCACATTGAAAAGAAGCCTGTAAATAGATTTGAACTGTGAGCTGGTAACAGAGCCATTATTGGGATTCTAAAAACAGGTGTAGGGAGAATTGTCGGGTTTTATAGAAAGAAAATGTGCAGAGGCCCCTGCGATTGTTGAAACTGATGTCTTTTCTCATCAACTCTGGGCTCATCCTGAGCTGAGCGCTGTTTTCATCGCAGACCCTCCCAGGAAGGAGGTGCAGGCTCAGCGGTCACTGGGAAGGTGGCCCAAGGCTGGATGGGAAGATGGAGGGAAGCTCTGCCCAGCCCAGACTAGTTCAGCCTAGCCCAGCCCAGCTCAGTTGGCCACCCAAGCTGGGCGGGGCGGAATAAGCCAGAGGTAGACACAGAATGAGAAGCAGGTGATGCTTCTCTACCAAAAATACAAAAATTTTTGGTCTGGATGACACTCCAGACCATCTGCACGCTTATCTTTCCTCTTCCCTCCTGGAGAACCACAGGAAACACCAAAGCACCTTTTTACTTTTTCATTCCAAAAGTTCATCAAACGTTTTCAGGGCTGACTGCCTCAGAATGGAAATAAGGGATCATGTCTTCAAAATCAATTTGGCTTTTGGAAGTAGATGGGCGTCCATAGTGAGGCATGGCCACATGTGGGGTAGGGGAATCTCGTTATCTGTTGCAGTGGATGGAGAGGAGCTGAGCGTGGGCCTGTTGGAGGTGCTGCTGGGGGCCACCCTTCCCTGGGGCAGTGGCCGCAGAGGTGGCCCCGGTCTCATGGTTCCCTCTCAAGAACATGACATAGATTTGCTCATTCCCAGGCCTCGTCTTGAGGCTGAGCAGAGGCCCACCTGTAATTCTCCACCCCCCAGCCCCTCTGGAAGGCCCAGCACCTGCTAAACAGACAGTCTCTAAAGAGGACCTCTCTGCAGAACAGCACAGTCAGATTTCTGTTCTGCTGAAATGTAAAAGCATGTGTGCCAAGAGGAAACTCGTAGGATTTCACATCAATCTTTAAGAGAAGCCTGTTGTCTTAATTTCTAGATAAGTCTACTTGAAAGTGAGTGTCACCTGGTGGTTTTGCCAAAGCCCTGAGCTCTGACAACTCTAACCCTGTTCATCTGATTTTCTTTCAGCTGACAACAGCGATGGGTCCAGTTCTGAAGACAACAGGGAAGACCAAGATGTGAAAACCAAGAGGAACCGGTAGGTGGCCGTGCTCTTCCCCAGCAGATCTTTCCCTACTGTGTACTCAGGTGGTGTAGAAAGAAAAGGCATCATTTTGACCACATTGACTATGAGCAAAGAGCTAATTCAACCGCTAGACAGATGGTAAGAGGTTTCAGGTTCTGTCTTAGCAGTGTCCTGGGCACCTGCCGAAGCAGGTATCTCGGAGGCTTGGGGCACTTCAGACACTGTACACAGGGCCTGCCACCCCCAGCCTACCCAGGCGCCCACATGCTCAGCCCTGCTGTGTTTCCAGAGTCCTGTAGGAGTGGTCATGGGGGCCAGGTGCATAGGAGGTGCCATGTGCTGTGTCAGAGGTTGAGTTTAGGGGTCAGGCAGCCCTGGCTTGGTGCTGCAGCTCTATGTCTTGCCTGCTGGATGACTTTGGGCAAAGTCAGCCAACCCTGATCTCAGATTTCTCATGTATAAGATGAGGCTTTGCAGAGGCCCCAGTGGGTGTTGGGACAGGTGGAGGAGATGATGCCTGCATTCCTGCAGGGTGCACACAGCCAGTGGGAAGCTCTCCTTCCAAGTCGCTGGTCACGGTTTGATTTTGGGAGTTGCCATGCACCGAGGTAGGGAATCCCTGTTTTCCATCAAGTTGGGGGTTGGCTCCTGCCCTTTAACCCCTCCTGTGTGGCTGCTGGTCTGCCCTGCCTTGCCTGTGAGTTTCAGATAAGGGGGTGAATGTGGAAGTGTGTGTTTAAGTTCCCCAGAACAGGGAGACGGAAGGAATGTTGTGGCTGCTGGGCCCCATGTTTGGTAGAGAAGGGTGGGGAGGACCCTGAAAGGCAAATCAATAAGGGACGCTTCCCAGGCTCTTCCTGAGCTGGGCTGTTATTGGTCCCATGATGCCTGGACGTTCCGCTGGACCCTGGGTCCTGCCACAGCCCACAGGTGCGTTCATCCTGCACCAGGCTCCTGCATCAGCCCTGCTCATGGGATACCCTAGGCCTGCAACAGGAACCCAAATGAAGTGGTCAGGAATCTCAGTGTCGTATGCGTTTTCTCTTTTAAAAAATGTACTTTTGCAATAAAAAGTATTTGCCACAATGAAGGGAAAACAAAATCTTGACTCAGAGCCAGTGTGCATTCTCACATTTTCAGTCCTTTTGACTTTTTAGCAAAGGACAGAAGGATGGTAAGGAAGAGAGGGGAAGAGGGAGCAAGAGCTGGGCTTGAGGGTACCTAGCAGGCCCAGCAGCCAGGGCGGTCAGGGCAGACTCTTCTCTCTGCTGGGTGCCGATGGAGCCATGAACAAAACACGTAGAACTAGACCTGAGTGGTTCGATAATAGGCAGACACCACAGAACTTTCAGAAACAATGCAAAGAAGAATAACAGTGTCTTCCCCAAGCCAGCGAGGTGATCAGGTAGGAGGTAAAGGGCTCTTCTCCCCCAGTGCTCCTGCCGCCTGGCCCCACAGCACGTGGAAGCCTGTGAGCCACTATGTGGGGAGGTCTAGGGCCGCACGTGGCAGGGCAGAGGCTCACTGGCTGTGGAGGGAGGACGCCTCCCACCCACAATCTCCTGGGCAGCTGTCTTCTTGCTACCCCAAATCTCCTCCTTAGAAAGTCACTTTTGGGGGCCAAAGGATGCTGTGTGGGCCACAGGGGATGGACAAGGAGCACCTCTGACGGGGGCCAAGGGCTCCAGGAAAGAGCCCAGTGCAGCCTCTCTGATTTCACCGTCACACGTGGACCTCAGCTAAGCTGGTCTCTGCTGATCTTTGGATATGTGTGCTAAATTGAAAACACAAGATGAGCTTCCTGAGGCACAGGAAACGTGGAATGTGGCCATGATTTGATGAATTTTGAACTTGTGTGGGAGGCGGGATCCGAAGCAGCTGGGCTGTCCGCCTCATCACCCGGCTGCACTCCCATCCCGTGGGACTGGCCTCAGTTCCCAACAGTTGGCATTTCAACAACATTGAAACGCTAATTTTAGTTTTAATCATCTGAATGACTTCCGTCACTGAAAACCAACTTTGAAACATGCACGGATGTTTTGCATGGAGCTGCCTCCGTTTTGGCAGCTGTTCATTTCCATGTTGGTTCCAGCCTTGAAGATTCCGTGGGAGAGGAAGACTCTCGGGGAGGCTGGGGCCCCCTCAGATCTGAGAGGAAATGCTTTGGCGTTTGTTCTGCAGTCAGCCCGAGGACTGAGCACGCCCATCCCGTCCTGCGCATTCATTCATGAGCCGGTTTACAAAGCCATGCCCTCTGTTTGGAAGCTTCACCATAGGGCAGGTTTTCCCAAAGCTCTTCCGAAGCACCAACCTGCACGCCTCCTGCTCAGAGCGAATCGCCCCAGGCCAGGTGAACCATCAGCATCAACATGGCATTTTGATCCCTCTTTGGGAAGGTTATTGTCAATAAGTCCATGTACTCCTCAAGCTCCTAGCTGCTTTTATGTATTTCTATGTCGCAGAATCTGGCCCAGATAGTTAGAGAACATGCCTCCAGGGGGCCTGCTGAAATCTGTTCATTTGGACCTGCGCTTTTTGTGTGGATAGCGTAATTTTGCCTCATCAAAGAGCATTTAAAATTCTCCTGCAATGTGTGACTCATCAGCAGCCTGATTATGTTGTTTAAGAAACAAGCAAATAAGCTGTGATGATGATTGTTTTGGACACCGGCATCTACTCCCCACATTTCTTGTGAACCCTGGCATAATCGATACACATTTTGGGCACTCATGCACAGATGGAATTAAATCGATTGTGACAGTGATTCAGGTCCACATGAAACTTTTCCTGAAATTCTCTCGGAGGAGAAATATGTCACAATGACAAGCATTCAAATTACTGAAATATTCTAATCTACGTGGTGAGTGTCACTTCAAATAGCTTGTTATTTACTATTTAGAGGGATGCATTGGCGAAGACGATGCATCTTCCCTGGGCCTGGAAAATAGATTCATGACCGCTCGGCCCCTTTCTGCTCAGGGCCTGGAGGTGCTGCCAGTTTCTGATGAATGGGTCTTTTCATAGTTCAGACCTGCTTTGATCTTTGGTCTTCTGACTTTATAACTCTTTCAAATGGGCTCTGGGGAGCATTCCCGTGAACAGTTCCCTCCCTCCTATCCCTCTGACCTCACGTGTGCAGGGTGGTGGTCTCTGCTGAGTGGTATCACTGCAGTTGCCTCCCGCCTTCTCCCAAGAATGAACGCCTGAGCATCAGAAACCTGGACACCGCGGCTCGAATCACACCTGTGATTTCTGGAATTGCTGCAGTGTTTTGAAGTGGAAATATATTTTCTTAAGTCATCAGATTGTTTTGTGCGGCTGTGGCCCAGGGCTTGTGAAATGCACAGTGTAGCTTGCGTGGGTGCTCACGGGAATGCCCCACCAATTTGCTTCCTCTCCAGAAGGTGGGCATGTTTTCAGTACTCTTTTCATATAATTCAGTTACCCCATATTTATGGTGTCATTAGGGTTTGCCGGGGGGTTGATGCCCGTCCCTGCAGGGATGCAGAGATCACTGGGGGAGTCAGTGACTCCGCCACTGAACTGACCTAACATGTTGTATTAGTCCATTAGTCAGTGACTCCCCCACCACTGATCAGTGGGGGAGTCAGTTTCCCCCAAAACTCAGTACTTTCTCCACAAGGCTGGTTGTCAGATATTTGGCTCACTGTATCACTACTTGGAGGTATAAATTTATCACAATCTCAGGTAGTTTCCTCTCCCGTAAGAGAACGTATTTGTTCTGTATTATGAGAAATGACAGGTTAACTCTTCAGCGTGATCATCACTTCTGTGGTAAGAAATGCTCAACTTGAACGAGGAGGAAGAGAGGGTCAGAGCAGATCACAGGATGACAGGCAGAGGGACACAGGGGCGTGGGCCCTGAGGGGACAGCCAGGATGGAAGAAGCCAAAGAGGAAATGGTCACATGAGGGGGACACAGGTGACGTGATTTTCCTCTAGCTGTCCACCTAACCCTCATCTGGAATTGTAATCCCTATGTGATATGGTTTGGCTGTGTCCCCACCCAAGTCTCATCTTGAATTATAGCTCCCATAATTGCCACGTGTCATGAGAGGGACCCAGTGGGAGGTAATTGAATCACCAGGGCAGTCTTTCCCTGCCTGTTCTCATGATAGTGACTAAGTGTCACAAGATCTGATGGTTTTATAAAGGAGAGTTCCCACGCACACACTCTCCTTGCCTGCCGCCTTGTAACATGCGTCTTTCACCTCCACTGTGATTGTGAGGCCTCCCAGAACCGTGGAACTGTGAATCCGTTCAACCTTTTTTTTTTTTTTTTATAAATCACCCAGTCTCGGATATGTCTTTATCAGCAGCCTGAAAGTGGCATGTGTCAGGGGAGGGGACTTGTGGGAGGCGATTGGATCATGGGGGCAGTTTCCTGCATGGTGGTCTCATGATAGTGCATGAGTTCTCACAAGATTTGGTGGTTTAAAAGTTCGTGGAAGTCTCCCCCATCCACTCTGTCTCCTGCCACCATGGAAAACAGGCCTTGCTTCCTCTTCAACTTCCGCCAAGATTGAAAGTTTCCTGAGGCCTCCCGATCCATGCGCAACTGTGAGTCAATTACACCTCCTTTCTTGATGAATTACCCAATCTCAGGTAGTTCTTTACAGCAGTGTGAGAATGAACTAATACAACAGGTTAGGTCAGTTCAAAAGGTCCCAGGAGACGAGTGATTTCCATCAAAGACAAACAGTTCCATTGTGATAGGAGAGATAGGTGGCGTAAGATGGTCCAGTGTGTGCTTAGCTGCCTGACACTGGGTTGAAAAGGCTCTACAAATATATGAAAAAACAAACATACCCAATTAAGGAGTAATTGTTATTTTACCTACTTATAACTTTTTATTATGGAAAAGCTCAACATAAAAGCTGGAATAACACAGTTCGCCTCCACGCATTCATTTCCCAGCATCAGCTCAACGCCAGCGTTTTTCTGCTTTGGTCAGTGCCCCTCTAGATTAGTCTGAAACAAACCCCCGACATCATATAAATCTTACTTGTAAATATTCTAGAATATAATAGTACAATATAAGGAATTTTAAAATATAAGCATGGTAACATAGTCACATCTTAAAAAACAAATAATTCCTTAACATTATCAAATGGGCTTCCAGCCATGGTTTAAATTTCCTTGACTGTTTTCTTTTTTTTTTCCTCTTAGAGGTTTGCTTTCATATCAGGACTAAGTCAGTTTCAGGTATTGCCCTCTGCTTCTCTCTCCTAAGCCTCTTTTAACCTGCTGATGTTTTCCCTTTCACGCTTCATTTTTATTTTCTTCATTTGTTTTTGAAGAAGCAAGAGATTTTTTACAAATGTTGCATTTCCCATCATTTGGACATAGATCATCGCATTCCTGGAGCATGGTTTGGACATAGATCATGCCTGGGGCATGGTTTAGGGGCTTGTTCTTCTGTCCCCTGTATTTTTGGTAAATCTGCCGTCAGAGCCGAGCTTTATCAGGGTCAGGTTTGATTAGTGCTCTGGCAGGACTAATGGTGGCTTTGAGTTCCTTCCATGAGGAAGCAGGTGATGTCGGCTCGTCTGTCTTTTCGTGATGCAAGCAGATGATCTATCTTGATCTACGACTTCCTTAGAGATTGCTAAGTGCTAATCTCTTAATTCTGCCATTTTATTCACATTTACTAGCTTGCCTACTTTTATAAAGAGAAACTCACCCTCATAAACTATTGGCTCCCTCAAGGTATCGTTTAAACTGAAAACACACAATAAACACTTGATTCTTTCCTTTAAATATCAATTTCCAAAATACTGCATCGGTTCCCCAGTATCCTCGAAAGGTGACCAACTTACTGTGAATTGGATGTAAACACAGCTGATGTTTTAGTCGATTTTAGTTACTATCTTTATCCTTTAGAAGACAATGATAGAACTAAATCTTGGTGATTCTTGGTTCGTTTTCCCAGATATGAGGTGTATCTTACAAAAATGTAGGTGGAGGCCTTTCTTCTGTAAGGGCATTTTCTTGAATTGCTTTCATGTCTGTTCTGTTTCGTGGCTTGGAGTCACCTGTGAACTGTTTGGTTCTCCCTCGGCTTCCTCCTGGGTCGCCTCCTTTGCACGCTGTTGACGCTTCGTCATTATGCTCTTTCTGGATTTCCTCTTCCCTTCCCACTTTCTATTCCTTCTATGACATCATTTATGACATTTATTCACTCTTGGGTTCATTCTAGTTTATTCTTCATTTCCACTTTTTCCCTTTCATTTCTAATTATTTCCCAGATTTTCTCAGACTGTTTTTCAAGTCTTTACTTTGACCAATATTCTTTTTTACTCATTTTAAAATAAGACATATGCTGATATTTTATAACATCTATTTTTTTCTTTTACTATTTAGCTTCTTTTTGAATAGTCAGCTGAATTGTCATTCAATGTCTGGGTATGCTTCCCTGTGGTTCCTCTGCCACCTGGGGGTGTTTCTCTGAGCATCTGTCCCTCTTGGTAGTGGTCTTGGTAGTGGTATGTGGGCTGGGACCGTGGTGGTTCTCTGTCATCCCTGTTTAGATGAGACGGTGACAAGAGCAGTGGCCCCGGGCAGCGTGCCAGGTCTGTGGCTCTGGGACTCCATCCTAGAGTCTGCTGTTGTGACACGGGCTGTGTCTTTGGGGGACCTGTCTCCAGGTCTGTGGTTCCGGGACTCCCTCCTAGAGTCTGTGATTGTGACGGGGGGCTGTGTTTTAGGGACCTGTCCCTTCGCTCTGCATTGCACTCTATCTGAACCTGCCCCTCCATTCCCTGGCATCTCTGTCTGTTGAGGCAGCTGCTATACTGAGCTCACCAGTCTGTGTTTAGGGCCCAGTTTTATCTGGCATGAGATACTCCCAGGCCCTGCCCTTTCGAACTTCCTGGGCCACCTGGGCTTCTCCGAGGTTTGGACCCCAGAAGGCTTCTGCTCACGTCTGCCTCTGCTTCCCATCAGCCTCTTAGCCGCAGAGGCCCGGGGGCTGCCTCCTGGCCTGGGAATGCTGCTCATGACAGGGTCACGGGCTGGCTGGTGCTTGGGGCCTGGGACGTGCCTCAGTCTCTGTCTCTGTCAGGGTTTGGCCTGGAGTTGCCCACGCACACTGGTGCTCCTGTGGGGTTCTTCACTCATCAGTGTGTGAAGATGTTGTCTATGGGCCTTTTGTTCTGTTTCTCTAACAATTCGGTGTGCTTAGACTCTGGGGAGATAAAAACACTTCCCCTCTGCCTTTGTGGTATTTAGTTTCCTGCCGTTTGTTTTTGTTTTAAATCTTAGAATTCCTTAGAATCCTGTGTCCTGAGATGCCTGTGACTGGGCTGTGTCTCCTTCAATATTACCTAAAATCAACACCTGGAGGCAGCAAGTAGAGACAAGAAAATAGGTGTTTGTTGTTGTGGGTTTGCTTTTTCAGTGATTAATCAGCCTCGTCAGCTATGCCCCAAATTCTCAAGTCAAGGTGCCCTGACCGTCTCCCTCAGCTCTTGTCTGGCCCCGTCCAGAGTTTTGAGAGCTCTGAGACCAAGATCTCAGGTTGAGAGCTTTGGTAATTTTGCAAATGTTACCAGAAAACTACCTGCCAAAGGACAGGACGTGGCCTGGTGTCTGTGCTGCCCTGGGTGGAGGTAGGTGCTGCCTCTCTGGAGCCACCAGCGTGAGTTCCCACATGAGGAGACTGCACAAGTTACAGGTGCAGAAACATGTCCTGGGGAGGTGCTCAAGGGCCTCCTAATTAATTGCTGGGGAAGCCTGGCAGCCGGCACTGAAGCTGGATGAACACGGTCCCCAGCAGAGTCTGTCGCAAAGCAGGAGCTCAGGCCAGAGCTGCCGCCTAGCAGCACATAGCTGCCCTGCCTCCCGCAGCTGAGAGCTGGCTCAGAGCCGGAGCTTGCTGCTCACTGGGATTCTGCCCCCAGCCAGAACGAGGCCACCAGCAAACCCTTTTCAGCAGGTGTTTCACCTTCTGAGTGGCTCATAAACCTCAGCTGGGAGAGACTTCAGCTCTTCCCAGGCCTTGGTGAGCCTGCCTCTCAGCATGGTGGACGGTCCAGGAGGCCACAGCTCCCATGGCCTGATCACTCCTCATTCTGCCACCTCTCCCCAGCATGGCCCATGTGCCACAGCTACACGGACAGCAAGTGCACACGGGACAGATGAGTGTGGTCACACTGAAGACTGGGAGTGAGCTGTCCAGCCACGGTAGGGCCTGTCTGGCCTTAGGCAGAGCCAGGAATTGGTTTGTGATTCCCGGAAGAGGTGAAGCGAGCAGGGCAGAAGCAGGGGTGCTAGGCAGTCAGGAGCTGACCAAGCCGGAAAGGCCAACAGTGAGTCTGTGGCTGGGGCACAGGTCCCTGGAGATTCCAGGCAGCCCAGACCCCAGCTGGGAACTCATGATCGCTCCTCCAGGAGGATTTTGCATCTCTGCCCATCCTAGAGCCCCATCTGTGTGCACTGGCCAGTGTCATCTCTGCATCTCTGTGCACTGGGCAGTGTCATCTCTGTGTAAGAGCAGAGGAACAGCTGCTCCTGCTGAGTTCACCTAGCTGCCTGCAGGGTTCCTACTCAGGGCCAGCACCAAGCCCCACAGCCAGGGTTTTGCTGGTGGCCATGATCCATCCTGGGGAGGCATCCATCTCGATGCCATCATTGGCTGTGAATCCTGACCATCCACGTGAGCAGAGCAGAGCTGGCGGAACCGACACCCCTGTGCTCCCATCTCACCCAGGGGCCTGCAGCCCACCCTGATGGATGTGCCAATCTTCCTTATAGCTGCCAGAGGCACGTTTCTGCACTGCACAGTGTCAAGGCTAAAAAACTAGAGAATACAGATCTTTCAAAGTTTGTCTCATCTGAAGACCATTTGTCACAACCACACATTAGAATGTCTGAGGCCCCATAAGGCAAAAGATTCACAGAAACTTTGATTCCTGCAGAATTTCACATTGTGTCTAACACCAGATTTACAGTCTGGCAGTATTTTGATGATAAATTCCCAGCCCTCTTTGCTGGAAGAAAGAACAGTTTCTTCCCATCTGTAAAACAAAAAATAATAATAATGAGATGTCATCCAGATGAACAGAGGGCTGGAACCCAGCCTGGAGAGAACTGATGTGGATGCTCAGAAGCTGCCTGAGATGATGAAGGTGAAGAATCATCACCACCACCATCATCATCATGTTCATCACCATCATCATGGCCATTGTCACTATATCATCATCATCATCACCACCACCACCATCTTCCTCACCATCATCACTGTGTCATCACCATCACCATCATTGTCATCAAAACTATTTCTAGACCAGCCATTGTGTTAAATACCTTAAATGCATTAAGTCAGTTTTTCCACCTGGACAGTGGGGTTGTGCTGGTGATGAAATGAGGAGAAGGTTTGACACAGTGAGCCATCAGTGGCTATAAGGGATTCTTCTTATTTCATTTAATTCTTACAAGCAAATCCCAAGTGGTTGCAACTATTATTATTTCCACTTTCTAGAGGAAGAAATGGAGGGTTGATGAAATGAAGAGACTTGCTCGAGAACACAGAGCACACAGTGGGAAAGCCCAGGTTCCGAGCTCAGAGACCACGCATTTTATTAGCGCCCAGCGTTCCCTCCTCAGGTCACCCCTGCGATGCAGATCCTGTTGTTGTTGTTGTTGTCATTTGGGGGATAAAGAAGGTGGAGCTTGTAGAGGCCAGTGCAGTGCACATCCACGGACAGGCAGCGATGATGAGCCAAGCCAGCCGGGGTCCAGCCTTGCTTGGGTCTCAAAGTCTTGCTCTCCGCTCCTGCATGGCGTAGAGCTGAAAATATCAAAACCGTAGCACACTTGCAAAAAGTCACCTTGTTTTATAAATTTTTCTGACAATTTTGTTCAATGAGAGTAGAACTCAGTGGCCACTCATTCAGAAGACTCACAGAAATGTGGCAATAATTCCATGCTGGACAAATTCCAGAAGCATCGCTCCGAAGGGCAAGGTCTGCGGTGCCAAGACAAAGGCTGGGGTGGGGCCAGCCTTGGGGACGGGGACTCCCTAATGGTATGAGAGGAAGGCTAGAGACCCTGGAACCTTGTTCTTTTGGAAAGTAGAATCTGGAGCTCGGCTGCATAGGATGCTAGTGGGTCTTAGGTGGGCCTCCCGCAGCTCAGGAGCCTGGCAGCGGGTCCTGTAATTACAGCCTTGGAGACCTGTCAGAGGCCAGAGATCTCTGGGATGGTCCAACCCTGACCAAAGGGCCAGGCAGTGTGTGCAGATGTGCATCATCTTGTAGCATCAGCAAGGCAAGGAAAGGAGCACCTTGGTCTACGCCACAGTGATTGACAGAAAAGTGTCCCCCACTCTACAGGAGCCTCTGCTGCGGGGACAGCCTGATGTCATGGCTTTACCTGGTCAGGCATCTTTTCCTCCAGGTGGCCTCCACCCACTCATGCCCTACCTGGAACAACACATGATGTTCAAAAATCCACCAAGGAAATCGTCACGGGGCAGTCTTGGATGTCCAGGACAACATTTCTAAAATGCATTTGAGAAGACAGGGGCAGGGTCTCGGCTCCGTGGGGTCCTAATGGGAATAACCGTGCACTCCAGAGGCAGCTCTGGGCAGGAACCTGCTCTCACCCTGGCTCCCCGGGTGCTACCAGAGTTGTCTCTGCACTCCAAGGCTCAGAGCGGCCCCTGGCCGGGCAAGCAGAGAAGCGAGCGCTAAGTCAGGACTCAGGGCAGTCGGAGGCCAGGATGCGTCACTCTGCTCAGAGGCTCTGGGCTCCCATGTCCCTGGGAGTGAAAGGTCACAGCCCTGCCATGGATGAGGAGACATCAGGATCTGCATCCTCGCAGACCTCTGAGCACTGCCCCCCACACCCTCCCCTCACTGCCTCCTTGCCACTGTCTCTAGAACATTCTTAGATGCTCCTACCTTAGGGCCTTTGTATAGCTGAGCCCTGAGTCTGGAATGTTCTCCCAGATACCCCCAGGGCTCCTCACCTCTTCTCAGGATCTGCTTGTGGGTGTCCTGCCTGCCTTGTGATGGTCTCAGACCCTCCCCTCAGCTGCATTCATTTGTTTGCTTTTTGTGACTTCCTGAGCATCCAGCATCTTTGATTACACCACCCAATTTACTTACTTGGTGGTATTGGTTATTGTTACTCTCTGTCCCTGCCTCTAGAATGTGAGCCTGGTGAGGGCAGGGGCCTGGGATCCTGGGGTTTGGAGCAGGGCCCGCTGCAGACATCAGCAGCCGCGTGCTAACCAAGGGGCCCCATGCAGCCCTCAGCAGGACCCTGCAGGTGAGCAGTGCTGTTCAGTCTCATGACAGCTGTGTGGGGCCGGTGGGTTCTATAATAGATGAACGACCTAGGAGGCTCAGAGAAACGAGGCAGGTTGCCACAGTTGGGAGGACCCCTTGGAAATGCCTGCTGAATGCAATTGAAGCAAATTTGATTGCACCCAAGTTCTGACAGCAATTCTCTGACACCAACTGGGTGTCCTACAATTAAGTCTAATTCTGACACCAACCACCCAGAGATACTGCAGACCCCACAGGGGAAGGGCTCAGCCCCAAGAAGGCCACCCCTACCTCAGACACCAGCTGCAAGTGGGTCCCCAGTCTACCCTCACATCTGTCTGACTTGGTTACAAATTATGGAGCTCTCACCACCCTCCTTCAAGTTTGATAATTTGCTAGAATGACTCAGAGAACTCACAGAAAGTGATATGCTTACGATTACAGTTTTATGATCGAGGTGACAACGCAGGAGCAGCCAAATGGAAGAGACTCATGGGGTGAGACTGGGAAAGGTCCCAAGGGCAGGAGCCTCTGTCCGTCTGCATTTGTCTTGCTGCCAGTATGCTAATGTGTTCACCAACCAGCGCAATCCTGAGCCTCACTGTTCAAGGGTTTTATTGGGGTTTTATTACAGAGAAATGATTGATTAATTTATTGATCATTGGCAGGAAGATTGAATTCAATCTCCAACCCCTCTCCTCATCCTGGATGTCAGGTGGTGGGTGGGCCTGGACATTCCAACTCTCTAATCTTCAGGGCTGGTGTTTCCTGACACGCCAGCCCCTTCCTTGAAACTAAGAACCCAGTGAGTGGCCTCATTAGTGCAGCTGAGGTGTGGTATGGTGGAGAGGTTTCCTTATGAATACCAAAGGTCATTTCTAGTGCTTAGGACGTTCCAAGAATCTTTTGGAGCTCTCTGCCAAGAACTGGGAGTAAAGACCAGATTAATTATTTATTATATCATAGGCCTAACATTTTAGGTTCCGAATCCACTCTTCCCAGCAAACCATTCTGCCAAAGCGCCCTTGGGGAGGCTGGCAGTGTGTGGCACGGTGCGGTCACTTGTTAGAAGTGAGGCTGCAAGAGACATCATTTATGATAAAACAAAACTGGAGTGAGGGCTGGCACAGCCTCTGGAACCCTCCACAGACTGTCTGTCAGCGGGGACCCCTGATGGTGGTGTGGTACCTGCAGGCTGAGACAAGACTATACGAGAGGCAGGCCAGGGCTGAGGGGGCATCTCTCTCACTGTGCCCACACCTGGGCCTCACAGCTCATCACCAGCATGGGTGTGTGGCACTGTCCGTCTGCAGGGCTGCAGCTGGGCGACCTGGCACCTGCAGACTGAGACAAGACTATACGGGAGGCAGGCCAGGGCCGAGGGGGCATCTCTGTCTCTGTGCCCACGCCCAGGCCTCACAGCCCATTATGAGCACGGGTGTGTGGAGCCGTCCGTCTGCAGGGCTGCAGCTGGGAGAGCTGCTAGAGGCATCTGTGTGGCGCTTCCTGTGGAACATTTTTATGAACAAGCTGGATGAAGACACAGGAGGCCTGTTCATCAAATTTATAGGAACTGCAAAGTTGGGAGGCAGAGCTAATAAGTTGATGGCAGAGTCAAGATGTTTAAATATTTCATCAGGATGAAATTAACAGGATCACATTTGCATCATAGAATTGCGGTATTGCGAGGCATTTTCAGATCATCTGGTCGGAAGCATGTATCTTACCATGAGTAAGGTCCAGAGAGTTTCCATATTTTGGCCAAGGTTGTACAGCAAGTCATCCTCACCTGTAAGGCTCAGAAACACCTTGACCTCATCACATCTGCAGACAGGCCTCTCCAGAATCAGGTCCTCAGTCACATGTCAGCACTTTCCCCACATCACATGGCAGCACCCTGGCAGAGTGACGCCATCTCAACCTGTGTCAGCGTCTATGTCTCTTCCCTGCTCATGTTCTGTCTTGGAGCCATGGTCCACTAGAATGTCTGCTGTTTCTGCAGAGTCTCTCAAATGATTGTGTTAGCGGGAACACCAACCAGAAGCCCCTCTGGCACTGACAGTCTCTGCACTGTGGATTTCAGCCCTGACACACCTGTGGCAGCTGAGGCTTCGCATGTGTGTAACTGTTTTATACATGTCCCACTGGACTGTAAGCTCCTTGGGCAGTGAGGAGCTCCTTGTTCCAGCTACAGCCCCGCTGTGCCCAGTATGGGTGGACACACCGCACCTGCAAGCTGGAGAGGGAGGGAAGGAGTGAAGGAGCAGGAGGGGTCGCTCCGAGAGGTCGATGTGGACCATCTCACTGAATCCACGTGACAGCTCTAGGTGAGTGCTAGGACCACCTCAGGGGAGCATGCTGGGGCTGAAGGCATCAGTGCATTTGCCCACATAGAGGTTTGGATCTTGATCCATCCAGCTGGGCTGTCTGAGCCTCCATCCATCTGGGTAGTGCTGTGATGAGGCACCTGGGTGTCAGCCTATGAGGGAATGGGTGGGTGCCTCAGCCTGGCTGGGGAAACTGAATATCACACATCCCATTCCTCTAGCCTGGAGCCAACAACTACTTGGTGTTTGTCATTTCTCTGCCAGGGCAATGGTTCTGACCTCAGGATGGTTCTGCAGAAAGGATCTGGGTGGAGAGAAGTGCCTCTGAGGGTTTAGAGGTGAGCTCTGTGCCCACAGCAGGTGTGCACAGCCCAGGGCCTGAGTTCCCCAGCCTCAGATGGATCATTAAAGTGTCTTGTTCACAAAGGGAAAATCATGGCGGGGGTTGCAGTGCCCAGAACTCAGCTCCACTGGGTCTTGGATTTGTGCATTTTACCGGATAATGTGCTGCCCTCTGCACATGGGCAAAATCAGAAAACCTCAGCTTTACAGACTTACCAGCATGGGACAGATGCACGCATGCGCACACACACAAGCTCACACACACACACACACGAATCATTAACAGATCGATTGGCAAGCTCAGAGGCTGGGGGAAGGGACAGAACCGGGAGAAGAGAGCACCCCTGCTTAGGGGTAGGATGGTCACCACACAGAAGGGAAGAAGGCAGGGAGGGGCGGACCCTGGGCGTGAGGGACCCCCGCCCAGGGCTATGGTGCCCAGATTTCAGGAGCACCTAGCCTGGTTAAAGGTTGGCCAAGACCAGGCCCCTTTCAACCTATACATTGGACCTGGGAAACTTCCCAAATCCATGGGTTCCCTTAACGAGGCTTCTGTGATGCAGTAAGGCTACCTCCCTGGCTCGCAGCCTGCAGGGCTGGTGCACACCAATTAGTGTGTCCTCGGGGACGCTGCCTCTACCAGCAGGAAAACCGTGGGTTGAGCTATCTTTACTAAAAGTATTAGAATTTACTTTTTGTTAAAGGTACAGAACTCATTCAGCCATAAGAATATCAAAAATATATTTAGCTAGTTTGCATTTGCTTTTGACCGATTCTAACTGAACGGATAGCCATTTGGAAGGCGTGCGGCAGCCCTGCACAGAGTATTGTGCTGAATAAGCTCCAACACACCATCATCGCGCAGTCAGAATGCGCCTGTTCTTATTTCAAGTTGCAACAATACAGGCCTTGTTTCACATTTCTATTTTTAACTAATGAAAATTTATTACAGGGAAATCCTAATTATACCCTTTGGAATATGATACAATTGGAAATCCACTGGTAATATTCTTTTCTCAAAATTCCATGTAATCACATAAGAAGCAGAGAATGTAAATTCTCCTGGAATAGTGGGTCTATAAATACAGTTCTCTAATGGGCTGAGCAATCTTTTTGTTTCTTTGCACATTTTGTATTCGTTGGGATTAATCCATATTACAGCCCCTGTGAATGAAAACCTCTTGTTAGACATAAGGCATTGCATATTCTCAGTACATCCTAAACATGGTACTAATGAATTTCCCAGGACCTTGGACAGACCTGCCAAGTGAGGAAACACTTCTCACTTGGCAGGTGTTGGGAGGCCTGGACGGCCGGGTCTGGCCACTAGATGACCTTTTCCTGTTTGCCACCTTACCTCCTCTCCAAATGAGGAAGTAGTGTAATCTTTACCTAGCATCCAAACCTCCTGGGGGAGACCCACTTGGGCCACATGAGCCTGCGTGGTGGGGGCTGTCCTGTGCATTGCAGGACATTTCACAGCATCCCGGCTCTCCACTCCCAGGTGCTGGTAACATCTCCCCAGTTGTGGCAGCCACAAATGTTTCCAGACCTTACCAAATGTCCCCTGGGGCAAAATCATCCCCAGTGGAGAACATGGTGCTATCGTCAAAACCAGAACTGGACAGTAGTTAAAGCCGTAAAAACAGATTATATTCAAGACTGTTGCAAAGGAGGAAAAGAGACCAGGCTCAATTCCAAATTTGGCATGGAAAAGCAGGATTTGATAGCCACGGTCAGGGTTGGGGGTCAGTGGATGGAAAATTACCAAGAGCAGACCTCAGGGATCGGGGGGTTTTGGCTGAACCAACCTCAGCAGATTCTTGCTGAGTCAGATCTGGGGCATGGCAGAGGATGAGAAATCTGGTAAGGTGTCCCGGTGAGCAGATTAAGGGAAGGGTAGGGAAGACTATGGCTAATCAGTTTAGCAGGACCGTTGCTCACATTGGGCAATGCAAAGGTGAGCATGAAGTTCAGAATCCTAGGCCTACTGAGAAGTTCAGTGGAGCTTGGGGAGACTGTGGCCCAGGAGAGACTCTTACCTCTAGACCAAATCAGAAAGCCCAGACTACGGTTCGAGAAACTCACAATCCAGATCCCAGGGTGAGCTGGTTTTGAAAGGAGCGGGTAAGGCCCATGCCTTTAGATGTACATGCCATTCCTACATCTCCGAGCACTTAGGGAGCTCCCAGAATGTAGGAGGCCCTAAGCCACTGCTTGTGAGCGGACTGCTCTTCATGATTGCTGGCTGAGGTTGACCTAAGTGCAGCTGAAAATAAGGGAGCTCTCAAATGGGTGGTCTGATGCCGTGGGCAGGTGTGGGAGCAGGGCCAGGCCAGGGAGCAGGCCCACGAGGGCTCAGCATGGTCAGAGTGAGGGTGCGCCAACCCAGCGCGGGTTGAGTCTGCCCGTCCTGGAGAACAGGCTGCATCCTGAGGGGCGGGTGGCAGCCGACGGACCTGCCCCCAGGCAGGGCCAGGGTTGGGAGGAGGGGAAGCCAGACACAAGAAGAACGGCGTCTGCATTTGGCCAGACACATTCTTCCAGCAGCAAACATTTCGTTTTTTCAAAAGGATATTTCTAGATGCTTCTTAGAATCCAGTGTAGAACCATAAAGATCTATCCACGTGCAGTTAAAATAATGCAAGGGGGAGAGTTGGTACTTGAAAAAGGCAGGCCTCTAGCATTTCTTCCGTAGGAGTAGGGTCCAGCCTCCCTGCCCGTGTGGTTCGGAAGGGAGTGCTGGTGAGCTGCCCAGCCCGGCATGGTCAGCTCGTGGGGTCCCTCCCTTCCTCCCCACCCTTGGTTCCACCTTGTGCAGCTCCTGCTGCTGCCCACAGTGTCCGGGGCCTTGGCAGGGGCCGCCCCTCTGCTGTGGGAGGGAACTTCTCCAGGGCCCCTGGGTGATCCCATTCTCCACTGTCCTCTGTGCCTGAGGAGGGGTCCCAGCCTCCTTCTTTGTCACTGAAGTTTCCCTTTGGGGTTAGATCTCAGGACATAGATGGTTCTGCACATAACTATCTTCCAGGCATTTGTCCAGAATGAAGGGGCGATGAGTGAGTGAAATGATTGTTCGGATGAAAAGCCTGCTCCTTACCCCTCCATGACCCCATCTCTGCAGCAGCACCTGAGGCCTGGCTTCCCTGCCGTGGGCCGTGGGCAGTATGAGGACCTGGAGTGAGGGCCTGCCCAGGAGACATGCCGGTTGGCAGCCAGTGTATGTTTCCACCTGCACTTGAGCTGCAGCTTCTCACAGCCGGGCCCGGGGCTGGGGCTTCAATTCCAGCCTCCCACCCTGAACACAGCCAAGCCCCGTGCCTGCCAAGAGCAAATGTGCCATCTTTGCGAGGGAGACCGCCTCAGGCTTTATAAAGAGTTGTCAAGGAGACTGTGCTTCTGAAAGAGTTACCTTGAGGAGGGTTTGTAAAGGTTGCAATAAAAACCAGCTGGGTCCCCACGAGTGTGTCTAACTCTGCGTCTTGTGTTCCTGAAGGACCGAAGGCTGCGGGAGTCCCAAGCCAGAGGAGGCAAAGAGAGAGGACAAAGGCACAAGGACGCCGCCCCCGCAGATCCTCCTGCCTCTGGAGGAGCGTGTGACCCACTTCCGAGACATGCTGCTGGAGAGAGGGGTAAGGCACAGCGGCTGAGGGGCTGCACTCCTACGGCAGACCCGGGGGAACAGCAGCTGAGTGGCCGTCCCTGCCTGAGGGTCGCCTCCTCACTGAGTTCATGATCAGGCTGAGTGACTGTCCTGGCCTGAGAGATGATGTGTCCTCCTTACTGAGTTCCTGTTCAGGCTGAGTCGCCATCCCAGGGCCTGAGGGATGCCTCCCCCTTACTAAGTTCCTGATTGTGCTGAGTGAGAGGCAGGTGCTAAGTGAGTGGAGGCCGAGGGGCAGCCAAAGTGGAGAGGAGGTCCTGCTTCTCCTCTGAAAGGAGAAAGGTGCCTTTGTGGTTTCTCCTGTGGGCGTGAGGCCTGAGAGGCCGGCAGGTGGGGTCCACCGGGAGGCCGGGTCCTGGGTGGCCTGAGGGAGCACCCACTGCACAGATGGGGTTCCTGTGGGAGCTGGGCCAGTCGCGGTGCCCGACCTCACTGTTTAGCTTCCCCATGGGGTTATCTATCCATCCTACCTAGTGGTACTCCCTCCCTTCAGATGAACGTGACTGTTTTTTAAATAAAATTAAGATATCTTCAGTGTAGCTGATTTCCAAATCTCACTTTGACTTGGGGGTCGGGGGGATTTTGTATTCAGATCTCCTTTCAATGACTATCATTTCCTGCTTTGGCTTTGGGTATAAAATGAGCCAGAGGCAGTATTTCAGCCCAGTTGGATTTCCTTACAAAATAAGGCTGACTGCAGGCGGCAGTGGTGGGCCCCACGTGTGAGGATGTTTATAATGAACACGCAAATGGCCTTTCAGACTTCAGAGCAGGTTTCCTCTGCAGCCAGCACCCACCCCTCAGGCTGCTTCCTCTCCCTCCCACAGCTGGTAACTCCCAGGGTCCTGGAGAGGGGGCAGGGGTGGAGCTGCCATGGGGACCCAGCTCCCTGCAGAACAGAGAGGTCTGAGCAGAACCCTCACAGGGTTAGTTAGGGCTGAGGTGCTGTCCTGGGTCTGGGTTAAGCCTTGGGGGAACAGAGAACATTGAGCAGGTCCTACCCCTTAGGAATTTTATGGAGGAAGGAGCTGGTCCCACCCACCCCTAGGGACACCTCCCCTCCAAAGCCCCTTGAATTTGAATGTGTGCACCTGTTTATGTATTTCATCATTTACTCAAAGGCGAAACACAGCCCTGGGCCTCAGGGAACCAGAAGGAAAAGTGGGGGTGTGAGCTGGTGACTGCAATACCCCGTGTCAGGCCTGAATTAACACACGTGCTGAGAGGCACAGAGCGCGACGTGGACGCGCGCGTGTGGATCCGGCCCTGGCGCGATGTGGACGCCTGGGTGTTGGTTTGTTTTTCAAAAAATGTTATTTTAAAAGCTATTTTTACTAGGCTCAAATTTTGTTTGAAAACAAGACTTTAGTCCCTCCCTCTTCTGCCCCTGGGGCTTCCTGCCCTCCTCCTGCTCTTGGCATGAGGGTCTTTGTTGTAGTTTCTCCCAACTTGGTCTCTGCAGAGTGGTGAAAAGCTCTAGCCCTGCCCCGAGGGGCTCCAGGGGAGGTGCTGCCGGGTGATCACCGTGTGCCTTCACGGACTCTTCTTTATCCTGGTGGATGGCCTGATGTCCAAGTGTCCAGCCAGTGACTAGGCGGCCCTCTCACAGGAAACTTGCCTATATCGGCACATGCCCTGGCGGCAGTGTCTTACCAAAATAGCCACCTTCTAGGAGAGCCCTGCCTGGGAGCAGGGTCAGGTTCAGGGGTGTCATTGGGCGAGAGGCAGGAGAGGCCGTTTTGTGACCCACAGGTGCACGTGCAGGCAGTTTCCCGGTCCTTACTGCTGTGTCCCTCGGACTGCACGGCCCTTGTGGAAATGGCCGTAATTCTGAGTTTCTGAATAGGCCTGGCCAGGCTGGCCTGGTTGGATTATCGGGCAGGAGACATGACTCGTGTTTGCTGAAACATGATGGCATCGTGAACATTTGGGAAAGAGGAATAAACATTCCTTTTATCTTACTAACGTCCAAGTTTTTCATCTCTTTGTTTTGGAAATGAGCCAGGCCCAATTTACCAACACAGTTTTAAACTAACCTACCTGCTTGAGAGGCCGGCCTTCCCTTCCCGGGCAGGGATGCTATCAGACTCAGTTTACATGGCCTCTTGAATTTCTCTAAATGGCCTTGGTTGAGAGATTTTACTAATGAGATTTTCAGGGCCTTTTTACCCCGTTTAGGGTGGGTGGTTCGTTTCAACTTTTTCTTCCCAGGTTATTATACAGGAATCAGCAAAATCATCTGAACGTGAAGCGGTAACCACCAGGTTGTGTGTTTACCCCGAGAGAAAGGGACTAGGGTGAAGCCTAGTCCCGTGTCTTATGAGGATTTTCAGGAGAGGCCCACATACACAGACCTCATGAGTAGAAAAGATCAATCCAAATTTACTGCTAATATTATAAAGCAATGCCACCATTTATGACTTTTCAGCTTTGTAAAATATGCTGGCAGATTTGCTCAGGCTGAGGAGAATTTGATAGCTAAACCCATAAGGTTTCTAGCTGCTTAACAATGAGGTATAGAAAGGTCACTTTTTCATGGACTGAGTGATTAATAAGATTTGTTATTGCATTTGTTCAATACTTCCGTTCAGAAATTCATGTACTTGTGGAGTGATGAAGGACGGACCCTGCGGTTTTTAGTAGTTTAAAAAGGGCAGAGTTTGGGCCCTGCCACGGGGATTGTGCCCTGGGGCAGCGGGATGAAGGTTTTGTGGTTTTGTGGCATGTAAATGATGGTTCAGCAGAAGGTTTGTTTTTCGTTTTGTTTTATTGTGTTTTTCCTTGCTAGTACAAATCCCAAAGAAGCTTTCTTTTAAAACTTTAGTCCATCAGGAGCAAGTTTAATTGAACAGCAGGTTATTAATTTAATCCTGCTGCTTAGGTAAACACATTAGAGACATTTTATTGAGAACATTTTCCTTCTGTAAAGTATCTCTCACAAGCAGGTGATGCTCACCCAGGGGCCAGGAGAGAAAGTCCTTTTGAGAATACTCTATTTTGACTTAGGGACTCAGGGGCTGTCCTGGTCCTTTTCAGGGGTCCCTTTGCAGGTGATCCTGGGCCAGCTTCCCAGCAATGCCCAGCCTCGGGGACCCTGGCTGGCACTGTGGTGGGCTACACAGGAGAGCCCTGGTACCACGTCTGCAATGGAGTGAGGGATTCACAGAGCAGGGTTCCTGCAGGCTTCGCTGTGACGATTTCTCCTTGTGCTAAGATGGGTGTTGACAGCGAGGCTGTGGGGTGAGTGGGTACAAACCAGACAGAGGCCTCTACAGTCCCAGGCAGAAGGAAGGGCAGCCTTGCCCTGTCCGTCTCCCCGGATGAGTAACATCTGGTGCCCTTCCCTCCCCTCAGACACAGGCAACTCTGCCTCCCAGGAGCTTCACCAGCCTTCAGCCAGGGCACGCGTGCACAGAAAGGGCTAGGCTGGCCACCAGGGAAGGGGAGGTGCCTGTGCGGACAGCATCCTTGAAGGTGCCTTTGGGGAGTTGGCACTGCCCGCTCTAATTTCTGGAATGGGATTATAATTACGCTTAATGTGAAAGTAACCCTCAAAAGTAAGTGAAATCAGCTGGCTATATTGTGGGATAACCGTGTAAAATTGCATTTATTCACCAAAAATGAAAACAAAAAGCTGGTAAAATACTCTGAGCACTGAAGATGGGGGTAGGCATTGATGTGCCGCGAGGTAGGGTAACGCAGGGATGCAGAAGGAGGCCTTGCCTGCAGGCCCAGCCTCCCATCCACGCTCACCCACAGTTACCCGGGTCCACCCGGGGCCACCTGGACTCACGGGAACTCTGCCTGTGCTGGCCACTCCCACCTCTAAACGCTAGGGATTGAACACCCCAAGGGCGACCCTCAACCGAGGAGGGACGGGGGTCAGTAGGTGAAAACCCTGCTTCCCAGTCCTTGGTAAGGTTACCGCTCGGCAAATTTGGGCACCTTCCTCACCCCACGGCCCACCCTCCATTACTAGCTCGTCTCCTTCCGTGTGTCCGTTCCCAGGACTGCCTGGAATCACCTTCCAAACAAATGCCTGCAGCCGGGCCATTGCCATACTGTTTCTTTAGGGATCTGAGCGTAAGGCAATGGCCTCATCTTCAAGGATGAGGTGGAAGCCCGGTCATTCCACCCTGGGCTGCCGCGTTTTTGACGGTCGGGGACTCTGGAGCAGCCACAGCCACAGGCTCCAGGAGTGTTCCCCATCCCTGCGAGCAGGCAAAGTCCAGAGGCCAGGAGAAGAGGGCCGCAGAGTGGGGCAGGTTGAAAGGGAAGAATAGCCAGGCAGTTTCTCAAAAATGAAGGCTGTCCACATGCAGCTGGCATCATCATTAGGGCTTGTGGGAGGCACAGTGGGGGCCTGGGGGACAGGGGGAGAAAGTCCTGGGAAGGAGCCCGCTGGGGGTAGGTTGGGGCATCTGGGCCCAGGAGGGGCCGGGTGGGCTGCAGATCCAGACAGGCATCTCCAGGACAGTGTGGGAGTCAGAGCTGGAGAAATAGAGCGGGCACATCTGGACAGAGCTCGGGGACAGGGGCGTGGCCCAAGTCTTCAGCCCCCGGCCCTGGAAGCAGAGACCCTGGGCTCAGGCCCCAGGGAGATTTTTGAACCCTCTTCATGTGGCCACTGGGAGTGCCGTGTGGCCGGGCCCATTCCCCCACTCTCAGGGGTCTTGAACTTCTACAGCCCCAGCGGAGGCCTTTGGTCAATTTTCCTGAGACCAGGGGAGGCAGAAAGAAACAGGAGAGAGGAAGATGGCAGGAAGGGAGGGAGGGTCCTGACACTGGTCAAGCAGCCTGCAGCCTGCGCTGAGAAGAGAGGCTGGGGGGCAGGGCCCATGACTAGGGACCAAGGGACCTGGAGATGCCTTTCGGCTGCCGGTGTCTTATTTGGCAGCTGCAAGGGCAGGCCGCCCTCAACACCTTGGAGCAGTCTGGCTTGTCTATCTGTCTTCTTGTGTTTTCAACACAACATGAAAAAATATAGTGTTACCTAGGAGCTTTATTCATTATTTACATGAGTGAATTCCACGCAGGCCCCAAGATAACTAATCGCAGCCTGTCCTCTGCCCACGGGGCGTGGACGAGGGGAAGGTCAGGCTGTGCGAGGAAATCGTGACCGTATTTCAAAGGTCCAGCTGCAGGGTCATTGAGAGAGGGTAATTGTGACAGATTGCTTCCTTCCTTAGGACGTTTGCACTCATAAAAGCCAGAAGGAAAAATCACCTCTAATTCGATTAACACTTCATGCTCCCGGTCTATTATGGCCATTTTAAGGTACAAGGAAGTAAAAGTAAATAAATACATTTTGTTTAACAGTCAAATTTGGTCAAAACATTAGCTTCCAGGACTTTCGCAAAAGTAACCAGGTTTGTGTTTGAGATGGAAGTTCGCCATGTTTGGGGGCCCTGTATGACCCAGCTTTCCTTGAGGGGCAGAGACTGCAGCTGCTGTCCCTGGGACACCCTGAGGACCACAGCAGGGAGCCATGAGGGTGGGTGGGGGCGGACGGTGCAGACAGACAGACACACGTTTCTGCAGATGCACGTGAGTGTGCCCGGCTGAGCCCAGCCCCAGTGTCAGGGTCGGAGCGGGCATGGCTCCAGCTTTCCTTGGAGAGGCCGTGGACTGCGCCCCTGATCTGAGGCCCTCTCAAGGCTGGGGCTTTATCCTCCAGTTCAGGACTCGGCAGGTGCCATCCTTTTGCTAGCTTTCGCCCTTTTCTCTGGTCATCAGGATCGCTGGCCTTTTCCATGATCCAGGGATTGAAAATTACTTGAAAGAGCCTTTTTTTGGTTTTAGAGATGGAAGGCAGCGTTCTGCTTCTGTCGGAGGTTCCCTGCCAATCCAGTCGTGTCCTGTCCGTGATAACCTCCGGGAGCCATCACACGCATGGGGCACCTCCAGGACTTTGGCGTCCCACATGTGGCTGAGCCATCCTCGAGCTCTCAGCCACTTTACTTGAATTGAACCCCCTTTTCTCAGGGCTGACGCGTCCACTGGAACAATGCACGATGAGTTTCTCAGTCTCCAGAGAGGCTTTTGGTGAAGCCGGGACTGAAGTTAGATCTAGTTTTCCCTGGCGTTGTTTTATAAATGGTGACCTTTTTCTTCATGCCCAAGGTCTTGGCTGCCTTCCCGGGGCTGAGGTGCCCCATTTCAGGCAGGAGCTCACCCTGGCCCATCCACAGCAGGAGGCGTGGACAGTGCTGGGCTCGGGCCGTGCTTTGGGGTCTCTTCCCTGCTGAGAGTCTGCTCAAGCTGCTGTGGGTGCTCAGGGTAAACCTGGGGCTCCTGGGAGCCACTCACAGCTCAGCTGGCCAGAGAAGCTGCCCCCTTAATGCTGGGAGGGAGCCGGGGTGAGACCACCAGGGCCACAAGCACTCAGCTGAATTGTGGACTCACCTGAGGCCTCAAGGAGGAGAAGTTTTAGAGGGTGTGAGTTGAGGGAGGTGACACGGCAGGGAGGAGGGTGGTTAGGAGACAGTTGTGTCTGTCTCAGAACCAGATGACCATGACCAAATGCTTTGCCCGCGTGGTCTGCATCTTGCCACTTGATCTGGAAAACACTTTTGGGTTCTCCAGACCACGTCCTTGTCACTGAGAGGATGTTGAAAACCGCTGTGAAAGGGACAGTCCAGTTCCCTTGGCTGTGAAGAAGGTGCAGTTTCCCTTCCTGAACCTCAGACTCCCGGTGCCTGTCCACTCTCCAGCGAGATGCCTGCGGGCTGGGACGGTGCCACACGCGACCTGCAGTCAAGGACACCTGCTGCCAGCCGGCCACTATCTGCAGAGTGATGCTTGGGCGATGTCCATTTTGATGAGGCATCTGCCGAGTTTGGAAACTGCCGCCCTGGCCTGCATCCACACCGCCTCCTCTGCAGCTCCTTCTGGCGCCTGCGTTTCTAACAACCAGCTCTGGCTTCTTCCACTGTGGAAATGGGAGGGAATCTATTGCAACCCAGACACTAATGAGGGAACAGAGGAGCTCCAGCCGGCGTGCCCAGGGAGAGAGGAGAGTCCCGCTGCAGGAGGCTGAGAGTGGAAGAAAGGGCACAACTCCAGCCCAGCCCAGGTGACCTCCAGTTCCCACTCTCGTGATTCAGACAGGGCGGAGGGACAGTCCTGAAACAGCGATCAGATGAGAATGTGCAGTGAGGGACCCGCAACACGGTCCTCGGACAGAGTCAAACACTCTCACTCCAGCCGGGGGGACAGAACAAGACCCTGTTGTTCTCCCACTGAGGCGGCTCCAGCGTTCACAGACACAGCCACAGACACAGACACAGACACAGACACAGCCACAGTCACAGACACAGCCACAGTCACAGACATGGTCACGGTCACAGACCCAGCCACGGTCACAGACACGGCCACGTCATCCACAGGGGGACAGACAACAGGCGTGCTGAGACGGGCACCAGGATCACTGTCACTGTTCGTCAGGGCGTGATGTGACGATGTACAGCGGGGTGAGGAAGGGGGTGGATCACAAACTTCTGCAGGAAAGGGTCTGAAGTTTACAGAAGAATTCAGGTCTTTAAGGATCAAGTCACAAATAAAATGCCAAAGAATCAAAGAAGTGTTAGGCAAGAGGAGAGAGAGAGATCTCTGCTGAGAGAGGAACAGCGTGTCCTGGTCTCGGGGACGTGCTGGGCAGATGGGGTTCTAAGCACCACCCTCCACCCCCCCCACCCCACAACACTGTGCTCATCCTGGGTGGTCCTCTCCTTGAGCGTGGACGGGGCCCATGTCACACCCGTGGCGATGTTGCACTGTGTTGTCTAAGACTCTGCCTTAGCCAGGGGGAGATTCTCTCACTGGCTTGAAGAAGCTGCCCCACTGTGGGGGCCCTGGGGCAAGGACCTGCAGGCAGCCGCTCGGAGCCAAGATTGGCTCTTAGCTGGCTGAAGACATGGAAAACTTCAGCCCTGCAACCACAAGACCTGAATTCTCGCAACATCCAGTGAGCTTGGAAGAGGACCCCAAGCACCAGACGCGAGCAAAGCCCCTGCCGGCACCTCATCTCAGCCCAGTGGGATCTGGGCTGAGGAGCCCAATGCCCCCATGCTGGACTCAGGACCCACACAGCCCAGGGAGTGATCCGAGGTGGTGCTTGTGACCCGCTGAGTTTGAAGTCGTTGCTTATGCAGCGATAGAAACTAAGATGTGAAGGAGATTCACTGGGCACTGGTCAGCCGCCTGTGTGAGGCTGCTGAGACAGAACACCCACGCACACAGCAAATCATCTGAAGTGGGTTTATTCCCCACAGACAGGAAGCAAGGGTGGTAGAAGATGAGCAGCAAATCATCTGAAGTGCGTTTATTCCCCACAGACAGGAAGCAAGGGTGGTAGAAGATGAGGGTGCCTTGTGAACCAGTCCCCCAGGACCAGGAAAGCTGCAAGGAGGGGACGGAGTCTCATCTACCCTTCGCTGTAACCGAGGAATCCCAGAAAGCAGCCCACAGTGGTTTTCTACCCTGGGGTCCTGTGAAACGCTGGGCTAAAGCTTGAAGGATGTCTTATTTCTGGGGTGGGGCCCAAACAAAGCCTGGCTGTTCTCAGTCTGTTGCATTCCCAGTGCATTCCAGTCATTCTGGACAGGTACCAGCCAGAAACAGGGAGAGCCGGTTTTGTCCACGGCCACTTAGAGAACAGTCCCACGACATAGACGGACTTAAAAGAGATAGGCAGCTTGCTGTCTACTCAGTTGACGGGCTTTCTTCCCCTGGTTGTTCTACAATGTTGGACTTCCTTGGTGGTGGTAGTGGTACTCTGTGTGTGTGTGTGTGTGTGTGTGTGTGTGTGTAGGCACACATGTGCATGTGTGTATCAATGTGTGCATCTTTGTGCGTATGTGTGCATTTGTGCAACTATGTACATGTGCATGTGTACATGTGTGCCTGCGTATGTATATCTTAGCGTGTCCTGGGTGTGTTCATGTGTTTGCATGTGTGTGCACCTGCATGTGTATATGCACCTCTGTGGATGTTTGTATGTGTGGTGTGTGTGCTTATGTGTGTGTGTATAGTCACACACATGTGTGCAATCGTGGCCCCATGGAATGTACTCTCTGGGCATCGTAAGTGTTTCACGCAGGCTCGGGAACAACAGGCTTCCCTCAGGAGCAGTTCATAGGACTCCTCGTCCCCATACCTGTCAGGACCCTTTGGGAGAAGTCCTGCGCCCACCTGGAGGGCAGGGAAAGACCCTGTTTCACACATGGCTGTGCGGCCTTCACTTCAGCCCCCACCTCCATCCCGGGTCCCAGCCACTGTGCTCTCACCCTTCCCTGAACTGTCCCTGACATGACACAGTTGGTTTTATCATTATGAGTTGTAATCATTGTAGAGATGGCTTATCTGACCTTCTATAGAGATTATAAATCCCTTCGGGGGCAAAAACTACACATCATTCATTGAAAAATTATTTTATTATACTTCTAGAACTCCAACATTTTCCAGAAACTGGTGTCGTTATGCCACATAGGGTCTAATCCTCTCTCCCTGCAGAGCTGGGACCATCGGGCTATGCACAGGTCCCCGTGAGGTGGGTGTGTGCCATCTTATTGGGCTGAGTGGTGGCTGCCCATAGCTTCTCTAACGGCCCCAGATGCTCCCGGGGGCAGGTGCACTAGTCAAAGCTAAAGGGATCCATTCTGCTTGGAGACCCTCCCAGAGTTGCCACCTCGCCCTGAGTCCCAGCAATGGCACTCAGTCGAAGCTAAAGGGATCCATTCTGTCTGGAGACCCTCCCAGAGTTGCCACCTTGCCCTGAGACCCAGCTATGCTTCACCGGGTTCTCACTCTGTGGAGGAGAATCCTAGCTGGACCCTGGGTCATCCCACCCAATAAAAGAGCTCGTGGGTATTACAGAAAAGGCTTAAATTTGACAGTTAAAGATAGAAATTGCCAGTGAAGAAAATTCATCTCTTATAATATACAAATAAAGCATGTGTTTATTGAAATAGTACCTCTATGAAGAATATTTTAAGAATGTGAATGGGGTTTTGTTTTTGTAAACTTTCAATTACCTTCCCCTCCCTGACCCTGCCCAGGTATTCATCTGCCCGGATCCCAGGGTGGCCTTCCTCAAACGTACGCCCCATCTGAATTTTCTTCTCTCCTGTCTCTCAAGACAATGCTCAGTCTCCTAACCACATCTCAGACTGCCCTACACTTCAGCCTCTGTCTCTGCTGCCACTTCCCTGCACCTTCATTGGCTCTTGCACCCCCAGGCATGTTCAACCTCTTGCAATTCCTGCATTCCCCATAGTTCATGACCCAGCCTTTGTCCCCACCACCAGCTGGTCCTGGAATACCCCCCAAGGCTCCTTTGTGAACCCTGAGGAGTATTCATGTTCCAAAGTCACAGCACTCTGGAAGCCGCCTCCCTAGGCTGCTGTGGGTCTTTGCTGGGTCCCACTAGTGTCCAGGTCTGTCTCCGCCATGGCCCTAGTGCCATCTCAAGAGTCTGTTAGCTCCTAGACCGGCACTACCTTAGACCATGGGCTTCCTTGATTTATTTTCTCAAGATCCTCAACACCCAGCTTGGGGCCCAAGGCACAGTGAATACATAGTCCATGTTTTTAAATGAATGCATTTATGTTCTAAATGGCTTAAACATTCCCTTGCTTTGTCAGCTGAGAGAGTCTAGAAGCAACAACACCTCACTAGCAATGAACACACCAGTGCCTGGATCTTGGTTTCTAACACCGTTCTAGGAAAGGAGCCAGGGCTTCTTGGAGAATTGACTGATTCAAGGGCAAAGGTGGGACATGCAGAAGATAAGCCTGGAGCATCTTTAGTAGCAGAAATTAAGGAGATGCCCAAAAAGCCAAGTGATGAGCACCTGTCAGAGGCACACAGGAGCCGGGAACCCACCACGGGAGCTCGCCAAGGCCAACCTCAAAGAAGCTGAGCAGGAAAAGAAGCAAAGTCACACTGGAGTCCAGCCCAAGCATGGGCTGAGTATCCATGAGTCCGTAGCAATATAAATAAAAGATTGAGTACATAAGTAATGTGGAGGCATGAACGAGTATTCCCACCCCCCTCCGGAACATTTCCCAGTCACTCATGACTGGAGTCCAGCCCTAGCATGGGCTAAATATCCATGAGTCCATAGCAATATAAATACAAGGATGAGTACATAAGTAACATGGAGGCATGAACGAGTATTCCATCACCTCCTGCCTCCAGAACATTTCCCAGTCACTCATGACTGGAGTCCAGCCTGAGCATGGGCTAAATATCCATGAGTCTGTAGCAATATAAATAAAAGATTGAGTACATAAGTAATGTGGAGGCCTGGAGGAGTATCCCCCCCAGGACATTTCCCAGTCACTCATGTAGCTACTTCTCCTCGGAAGTGGAGCACAACCTGTACCCCTAAGTGTGGGCTGTGTATGGCGATGTCCTTCCAGAGAGGACAGCATGGAGAGGGGGACTTCACAGTGGGGAGACCTCAGCCAGCCGACCACGGCCACCACTGTCAGTGAAGAGTCATGTCAGCAGTGTGTGTACCCTTGTTATGACATGATGAGAATGGCATTTACCTGTGTGGTCTTCCTCCCCAAACCCATAACCCCAGGCTATTTACGAGGAAAACCTCAGACAAATCCCAACTGAGGAGTGTCCTGCAATGCACCTGACCAGGGCTCCTCAAACCATCAAGGTCATCAACGGCAAGGGCCATCTGAGACCCTGTCACAGCCAAGAGGAGTCCAAGGAGATATGGCAGCGAAATGTGATGAGGTCCTTGGCAGAAATGGAAAATTGGGTAAAACCTAAAGAAATCTGAATAAATGCAGACTATTGTTAGTAATAATGCGTCATGGTTAGTGGTGACGAATCTAGCCTACTAATATGTTAACGACGTGAGAAACTGGGTATGAGTATATGGTAACTTTCTGTAATATTCTTGCAAATTTTTAGTACGTCTAAAACTATTGCAAACAAAATAATTTATTTTTAAAATGACCTACCTAAAAGAGGTTAAACTTTGATTACAAATCACCTAAACTCAGCCTGTTTTCAAGACATTACTCTTTGTTATGGTCTGTGGGGGTTCTGAAAATTTTTACCAATATAATTTCCCCTTTTGAAATGGGTTGTTCCAGAATGCCACGCCTCCACAGGTATAATTGGGGTTTCAGATCGGGGGACACACCCCTGAAAGATACCCAAGAAAGAAATAGTCATGAGTCTAGAAATTAAATTTTCTGATGTTCTAGTATTGGTTTTCTTGGAGCATCTGACATGTCTAACACTTATACTGCACCACATCACGGAATCTATTGTACTTTAATGCTGGTTTTTGTTGTTCATTTGTTTTTAACTGTGGATCATTTCAGGGCGGCTTCAGGCTTAGCATTAGACGCTAACAGCAACTCTATTGAATATCTTTCTTTAGGTATCAGCATTTTCTACCTGGGAGAAAGAATTACACAAAATCGTGTTTGACCCACGCTATCTCCTGCTCAACTCTGAGGAACGAAAGCAGGTAACTGGGTGGGAAGGCACTTTGACTGCAGAGACATGGCATGAAAGCGACTGTTGCATCCTGGATCTGGGGAGCTTTTCATTGCTCAATAACAGACACCCATGTTGTAAATTTGGCCAGTGGCTTGCGAGCTTGTGAACAAAAGAGTTAGAGGGACTGAGGAAGGTTATTCTGGTCATTATTCTTACCTCAGTATTTGGTTATGACCCTGGAAGACAAATACTTTTAAAGATGAACATGTAAATTTTAGGAACATTGACCCTCATTCCAAATGACTATAAATCGTATGTTAAAAATATGAAATACTTAAGGTATTATATAAAGATAGTGAAAGAGGTGGTCTTACATAAGACCTTAAGGTTTTATATGCTTAAAATCTTATATAATATGAAAGTTGTCAGAATCAAAATGAAGTCACTAATGTTAAGAAACCCCTAACAAATAGAATGGAGGAAGGCCATGAAGAGAGGGTTCTCATACTTGTATACCTGATAACTAAAAAGACTCTACAAGAACCACAGTCTTGCACACAAGGCCGTCAAAACCTTTTATTTTATTTTATTTCATTTTATTTTAGACAGGATCTGACTCTGTTGCCCAGGCTGGAGTACAGTGGTGCAATCTTGGCTCACTGCAACCTCCACCTTCTGGGATCAAGCCATCCTCCCACCTCAGCCTCCTGAGCAGCTGAGACTACAGGCTCCAGCCACCACGCCTGGCTAATTTTTGTACTTTTTGTAGAGATGTGGTTGCTGTATATTCCCCAGGCTCATCTTGAACTCCTAGGCTCAAGCAATCCTTCCACCTTGGGCTCCCAAAGTGTTGGGATTACAGGCGTGAGCCACCGCACCTGGCTCATCACAACCTTATACACACAAAAAGCACTTCTGCAAGGACACCTGCCCAACAACTGCCTGTCCCTCCTCAGACTGGCTTCGTCCTGTTATGGATCTCTGTAGCCAAAGATAATTATGTCAAAACAATGATTTAATCCTCTCATTTATTTTTCCTTAAAAATTATTGCCTTTTTTTTACCTCCCTGAATATTCTTGTCATTTACGATGGCATGTGTATTCCCATTGCAATGCTCTCTTCCCAAATAAGCATCCATTTCATTTCAGAGAGCCTCTTTCTGCTTGTTCTTCAGGTTGACAATAATAGTGATGAAATAGGAGTGGTCCAGAGAACACTAGCAGCACAGTGAAGGGTGGAGTTCTACAAAACGCCACCCAGAAAACACGGAATTGATTAGAGGGGGTTCTCCGGGGACTATTTTAAGGAGAGACTTGCCAGGGCTCTGCCCTAGCTTTTCACAAAGTAGGTCCCTGAGCCAACACTGCTTTCCATATCAAACAGACGAGGGACAGATGGTGTTGGCTCACAGGAGGGGCCTGTTGTTGCTGGGAGAGGGACCGATGGTCTGACGGCATCAGCGAGCACAGCCTGGGTTTGTGTGGCCCGTGGATCACGTCTGAGAAGGGCCCTGAGATAGACTCTGGAAGGTCCGGACTTCCCTGCCCCAGTTAGACTCCATGTGTGCGGTCACGTCTTGCCCTCTCTTTGCCCTTTGAGTTCAGAAATGATGCACGTGGAAGGGGAGCTATCAAGAAGAGCCGCTGAAAACAGAAGAGCCAGAGTTAATTAGGGGAGGAGGGGTTCTGTGACCAGGGGCCCCCATGTTGGTGTCCACTGGATTTCTCACACCAGCAGAGTCTGATAAAGCCCCAGACGGAGGGTATGGGAATTGCCATTTTATTTTCAATTCTGTCCTCTGCTCATAAAATCCCTTTAAGCAAATGCCTGAGATGGTGTCAGTGAAGCACGAACCCACAGAGTCTCAGTCACATGGACCCGCGTTGCTCGTTGTAACCAACTCCCGCTCTGTCCTCACTCCCGTTCCCAGCCCTCGACCCACCACTCTGCTCATTGGAACTGGACCCTCTCCCTGGAGCAGGCTCAGGGGTAGGCCGGGCAGTGTGACGTGTTCCCGGGATTGACTGCCTTGGAATACAGAACTTGAACCTTTCAAGAACTTGGAATTAATAATATTTTATTGTCTTCTAGCTGAGTTTCATTTTCTATAAAGAAATATTTTAAAATATGTGAAATGTGTCATCACAGCCTCAAAAAATGCTACAATAGAGTTAGCTGAGTTTGGGTGTTATATAATTTTTTCCTATAGCAAAGGAAAACCATAGACATTAATAACTGGTCATATTTCACCCTTTTGTTGCAATTTTAAAAATCAAAAATTTCAGCTATGGGCTGGGCATGATGGCTCATGCCTGTAATCCCAGCCCTTTGGGAGGCCGAGGTGGGCGGATCATCTGAGGTCAGGAGTTCCAGACCAGCCTGGACAACATGGCAAAACCCTGTCTTTACTAAAAATGCCAAAAATTAGCCAAGTGTAATGGTGCTTGCTTGTAATCCCAGTTACTCAGGAGGCTGAGGCAGGAGAATCACTTGAACCCGGGAGGCAGAGGTTGCAGTGAGCCGAGATCACGCCACTGCACTCCAGCCTGGGCAACAAGAGCAAAACTCCATCTCAAAAAAAAAAAGAAAATCAGCTATGGAGAAGCATAACAAGGAGCCTGTGATTTTATGTGACAGAATCACTGGAGGGCATAGGCAGGAGCCATAAACCGGGCAGTGTCTAAAATCATCAGTACATCTGGGGCGTGTGTGGCGTGTGTGGCATGTGTGCTGTGTGTGGCGTGTGGGTTGTGTGTGGCGTGCGTGGCACGTGCCACGTGTGCCACCACCAACTTGTTTGCTGTTGCCAGTTGTTCTCTCTCTGTGCCATGGATACCTTTTGAGGCCGTTAGTCCCTTTAAAAAACATTGAATAAGTAAGATCATTCTCACCGCAAAAAGAAAATTCCAACTTATGATCAAGCCCCTTCCAAATATTCTCGTTTACATGCTACGGCACATCTCTTAGAACAGCTGGGAACACAGGGGCCCAGTCTGCTTGCTGGATGGACGTGGTTCATGGGCAGGGCAGCGCTGGTCCCCTGATGTCTGGGGGACATGGGCATCCCACCCAGGGCTCATCCAAGGGAGCACTGTGAGGCTGGACCTTCCTCAGGCCATCGTCAGAGACAGCAGATGCCAACCCTGATGGAGTTGGGCCTGCCTGGGCTGGTCCTCTGCAAATAGATGAGATGAGAATATAGCTCATGCTAAGTACCCATTGCCTGGGGAAAACCTTTAAACGTCCCTGTGACATCACCCAGAGGAAACTGTGGGCCTGTCCTAACGTCCTGCAACTTGGTCCCAGAAGGTCCAGTGGGAAAGAGGAGGAAGCAGGCCACGCCATAGCCAGTGCACTGGAGGGTCCAGAGAGCGCTCAGAAGAAGTGCCTGCAACCTCATCAAAGGGGAGCATGGCAGCTCGTATGAGGAATGGGATGGAAAGAAATCATAGCTGGACCCCATCCAAAGACCACAGTCCTATTTAGGAAGAAATTGGGTTAGAAGTATCAGACATAGAATCTGTACAGGACCTGGTGTCACACAGCGTTTTCATGGGGAAAGCTAAGGCCCCTGGTGTGAAAATCACAGCCCTTCCTCTGCCGGGGGAGCTGCACAGGAGAAGAGGGTGATCCTACACAGAATCAGGGTCGAGGGAGTGTGAATCAGGCCTGTTTCTATGGCAACAAATAGTGTTTTGTTTTTTTGCGCTAGAACATACAGCAATGATATAACAGCCAGTGGAATCTCTTTTGAAAAGTCATGCTCCACTTTGGATGAAGCTGGTATAATTTGTTAAGGATGAAAAACAAAACCTGCGATGTTAAATTATAGCAGCATAAAATAAAGTAACAGAGCAAAGGGAGAGGAAAGAGAGAAGCATTTGATGAGATGGAGAAATGGTTCTAGGCAGAGAGAGAGAAGCAGGCATTTCTGAAGAGCCCTGACCCCACGGCCAGCCAGGCTTTCTCTCTAGGTCTAAAATTAATAGAGCAAAACTCTAGCTAATGATGGAGCCACATGCTTTTATTTGGATAATAACCCTGCATTAATTTTTTATTAGTTAAATATAAGATAACTAAGAACTTACATTGCTATTTGCCTTGAAGGCATAAGAAGCCAATTATGGCTTGGCGTGGTGGCTCACACCTGTAATCCCAGCACTTTGGAAGGCTGAGGCGGGTGGATCACCTGAGGTCAGGAGTTCGCAACCAGGCTGGCCAACATGGTGAAACCCTGTCTCTACTAAAAGTACAAAAAAAATTAGCTGGGCGTGGCGGCACACACCTATAGTCCCAGCTACTTGGGAGGCTGAGGCAGGAGAATTGCTTGAACCCAGGAGGCAGAGGTTGCAGTAAGCCAAGGTGATGCCATTGCACTCCAGCCTGGGCAATAGAGCAAGACTCTGCCTCAAAAAAAAAGAAAGAAAAGAAAAAAGAAGCCAATCATATTCTTACTTACATATACATGCACATATTCTCAATTTAGGTCATATTTGTGGATGTTTCATTTCGCTGCTGTATCTTCAGGGGACCAGTGGCATTTTGTATTCATAATCCTGTAAAGGTTTGCCACTGCTGACATGGAATCTGAAACAATAAGACAAAGTGGGAAGAAAGCCACTCCGGAGAAGGGGCTGAGCAGTGCTGGGGTCGAGGCTTTCACCTGCCCACCCTTGCTTTCTCATCCCCACTCATTTGGCATGAGTGTAGAAGAAGCTGCCTGCTTGGTCCTCGGTCACATTCTAGGATCTGCCTGGCCGTTGGTTGGATTGGTGCCCAGTTGCTATTTATTGGCCTGATAGGATCCTATGTGGACTTTCTCTTGATATTTTTATTATGTTTGCGTAAACACTTATCTTCAGTTTATTTTTAACGTTCTTGAGTTTGGGGTAGCATTAGGAATGAAAGAACTTTGTCCCTCTTTGACTCCGTAGTCTATAAATGACCATTTTTCGCTGGTTAGAACAATGATCTATCTTACCCTGACAGAGAAGAGGTTCTGTGGCCTGTCACAAAGAGATTGCATCTCGTTATGCGGGCTGCCAGGTTCCAGGAGAAGTGCCCTGGGGCCTTGCCCAGAATTGCCTGCCAGCTGATGTGCATGTCCCTCCCATTGAGGAGCAGGGTTTTCCTGTTTGGGGCAGCATTTGAGATGCATTTCTGGTCAGATGGGAGTGCCCAGTGCCCGAGGGTCAGGCCTCCTGGCCAGTTGTTTCCACACTGATGACCCAGGCAGCCTGGCATCCTGTGACCCCCTCAGAAGAGACCACTTATGCACCCTGAGTCCTCCCCAAGGCACCAGACGCCCAGGTTCACAAGTGGGGATCAGAGATGCAGAATTTACTTTCTTTCCACAAGTTAAGGTCATTTTTGGGAGACTCGAATGTCAATTACGTCACCCTAGGAAGTGACTAGCACGAACTAAGTGCTCTGCTGTGTTCTGGTGCCACTGGCCGTGATGAGGCAGTGGGAGGCCGCGCGTTACAGATGCTGCTCAGAGGGCACAGTGAGGACCACTGCAGCCTACAGCACGGGTTCCAAACCGCCACTTGGTTCCAGACGCCTGCAGAGAGGGCAGCCAAGTCATTCTCCGGGTTTCTCCAGCAGGGCTGCTTCACGTTTGACCCAGAAATGGCGCCTGCATGTAGAGAAATGCCGGGCCGTGTGGGCACCCAGGTTTAATTATTCAGACTGCTTGGATCCTTGAGAGCTATGCTGAAAGGCTGTTGCTCATAACTCCAGCAGCTGTAAACAAGAACAGCTTTTGCCATAGATTCTTGCTGCTTTCTCATGTTGTGCTTGGAATACAAGATTTCATTTCTGATATGCAATTTCATGATGTTTTTCTTCTGTATCTGTGTTTTAAGATATTTGAACAGTTTGTCAAGACAAGAATAAAAGAAGAATACAAGGAAAAGAAAAGTAAATTGCTGCTAGCCAAAGAAGAATTCAAGAAACTTCTAGAGGAATCTAAAGTGTCTCCCAGGTATGGAGAGAGAAATATACCGGATGATTTCTGGGGCTGGGAACTTACCAATGACAAGAGGACTCTTCAGGTTTGTTTTTGTTAAATCGTGTAACCCAGCCTTCCACAGACACGAAAGTGTGAGCTTTGAAGACCTGCCAGTGAGACCAGCCTGGCTCCCCTCTATCATGCTGCCTGTCATGAGCCTCCAAATGTCCCTCTCATCAGTCCTGGGAAAGTGGGCTATTTGCTAACCAAATGCATCACAACCATTTTATTCCTACCCTGCATGCATTTCAAACGTCAGCAGCCCTGACTGACCCAAATAACCAATCAATACGTGAGCACTCATGAGATGAGGTCTAGTTTCTGATCTAATGATCAAGAAGCAAAAATGCAAAGCTGACTACAAACAACAGCACCATAACCCCTACCACACCCCTTGGTTCCAGATGTCTTAACAGTTGGTCCCAGAGTAAAATGAAGATTTGATACACCGGACAAGTGAACTGAGTTAACTAGGTTGCCAAAACTTACTAAAATAATAAATGAGGCATTATTTCCATGAAATAAGACACACTTACAAGAAAATAGATGTTAGAAATTGGAAGAATACATAAGCTTAACTCTTTCTTAAAAATTAGCTTTAATTGACTGATCTTTAAAAAGTAATGAACATGGGCCGGGCGCGGTGGCTCACGCCTATAATCCCAGCACTTTGGGAGACCAAGGCAGGTGGATCACGAGGTCAGGAGATCGAGACCATCCTGGCTAACACGGTGAAACCCTGTCTCTACTAAAAATACAAAAAATTAGCCGGGCGTGGTGGTGGGTGCCTGTAGTCCCAGCTGCTTGGGAGACTGAGGCAGGAGAATGGCGTAAACCTGGGAGGCGGAGCTTGCAGTGAGCCTTGATTGCACCACTGCACTCCAACCTGGGCGACAGAGTGAGTCTCCGTCTCAAAGAATAAAGAAATAAATAAAAAGTAATGAACATGTACTACTTTTAGAACTATAAAACTGTAAGTTTCGTAAGCATAAAAATGGTTAACAATGTATTTTTATTTTAGACTGGAAGATGCAGCATCAGTTTTTTGTTTGTTTCTTTTTTTTTTTTTTTTTTTTTTGAGACAGACCCTCGCTGTGTCACCCAGGCTGTGGTGCAATGGCACGATCTTGGTTCACTGTAACCTTTGCCTCCGGGGTTCAAGCAATTCTCCCTGCTTCAACCTCTCAAGTAGCTGGGATAACAGGCACCCACTACCATGCACAGCTAATTTTTGTATTTTTAGTAGAGATGGGGTTTCACCATGTTGACCGGGCTGGTCTTGAACTCCTGACCTCAGGTGATCCACCCACCTCGACCTCCCAAAGTACTTGGATTACAGGCGTGAGACACCATGCCCAGCCAGAATCAGTTTTTTCTTTCTTTTTTTTTTTTTTTGAGATGGAGTCGCTCTGTTGCCCAGGCTGGAGTGCAATGATGCAATCTCGGCTCACTGCAAGCTCCGCCTCCTGGGTACATGCCAAGTAGCTGGGACTACAGGTGCCCACCACCACACCCGGCTAATTTTTGTATTTTTAGTAGAGAAGTAGAGACGGGGTTTCACCATGTTAGCCAGGATGGTCTGGATCTCCTGATCTTGTGATCCACCCGCCTTGGCCTCCCAAAGTGCTGGGATTACAGGCATGAGCCACCGCGCCTGGCCTGCATCGGTTTTTAAATGGACATTAATTGATGCTTTCTATGAAGGCATAGGCCCCCTTTGTTTGACCTGTGATTTGGTTGATCAAGAATTAGGTGACCTAAGTTAGTGCTAGTTACACAATCCTCATAAAACTTCTCTAGCTATTCTAAGGACAGGTACTTTCTGAATAGGGAAAAAATAGCATGAATTATCTTCATCACAAGTGCTAATGTAGACAAGGAAATGTGTGTCCTGTTGCCTGCAACTTGTGATTTTCCATTGTTAAAGCAGTCATGAGAATGCTGGGTTCTAGCCATGGCTTAGCTGTGTCCACCCACCAGGTGGCCTTGGGACAGAGGCGGAGGAGGCAAGGGCTCTGGAAAGGTGCTGGAGCCCCTTCTCTGCCTTGGTTCACAGCCTGGCCCTGGCCCATCTTCTCCTGGCCATGGGGTAAGTATTGGACCTTCCTGTGCTCCCGAGCCCTCCTCCAAATGGGAGGATGACCACACACACCTCAGAAAGTGACGAGGAGGATGGCGTGAGGAGTTGCAGGGAGGGACCCCGACGGTGCCTGGCAGGCAGGAGGAGCTCCGAAAGTGGTAGCTGTCATTACTGCTATTGAGACCATCATTACTGTTAAAGACATCTGGCCAGCATTCTCTATTGATAAACTAGCAGCAATAAGCCACATACTCCCCTTCCCATGAATACATCATGAAGACAACGGAAAAAATATTCGGAATGCATTGAGCCATTTAAAAAAGATGACATACACACATACACGCACACAGAAGGAAAACGAGTGGTAGAAATTAGAAGGGAGTTAAACGGACTCTTTTTAAAATGAGAGTTAATTGCCTGCTATTTTTTAAAATAAATTTTATTGTATATATTTAAACTATACAACATAATGTTATAGGGCACATAGAGATAAGATGCTTACTATAATGTAGCAAATTATTTTAAAATTTACACTGGGATATATTGCTTTGATAATTATAAAGCTATTTTTTTCATTTTAAAAGTAGCTAAGTTTTCAACATTTCAAAAACTTTTTCCAGATCTTCTGTATACTTTTCTGTAGGCATCCTAGTGAAACATGTACAATTCAAATGACCACATGCTGGAGAGCCAGGCGCGTCCCCATGCAGGCGACGTGGGCCTCTTAGAAGCAGCCTCCTGAGGCTGTGTAGCCTCCTGCAGCCATACAGTCCCGTCCTGGTCGCCCGTCTCAGCCTCGGTCCTGAGCAGCCTGTGGGAATGGTGGCGACGGGACAGTCCAGAACACTCCTGGACAGCCCCTAGCCCCAGCCCTGCCCGCCTCTCGGGAGAGCAGCTACCGGGGACTGGGTCCTAGCCAGGTGGGGTTGGCCGCCCGGTGGGGTTGACGCCCGGTGGGGTTGGCCGTCCGGTGGGGTTGGCCGCCCGGTGGGGTTGACACCCGGTGGGGTTGGCCGCCCGGTGGGGTTAGCCGCCCAGTGTTCCTTCCTGAGAGCTGCAGCAGCCGCCTCCTTCATGGCAGGCTGGCCCGAGTCCCACTTAGCAGAGGGAGAGCAGAGATCCAGGGCCTGTGAATCAGCTGACCTTCGTGAGTTCACACCACAGCTCATCAGCATCAGCAGAAAGCCGGTTGCTGCCCCTTGGCATGGCTAAGGGGCCACGGAAGCGGGAGGCTCCCTTTCTTTTCAGGGACTCTTCTTTTCAGAGAGGCCCAGAATAGGGCCTGTCTAGCAGCTGCCCCTGTCCAGCCCCTAACTGAGAATGTGTAGATGCCTGTCTAGCCAGGGGAGCGTGGAACAAGCCCAGGCAAGTCTGACCGTTTGACTCATCCCCCGCAGGTCGGGGTGGAGTGTGGCTTAGCCAAGGTACACCAAGGTGGTTACATCAGTAAAGGAAGGAAGGGGGAAGGAGGGAGAGAAGGAAGAAAGGAACCGGGAGAAAAGGAGGGAGGGAGAGAAGGAAGGAGGAAGGGAAGGCAGGGGAGAGGGCAGGAAGGAGGGAGGGAGGAAGAGGGAAGCCAGAGAGAAGCGCTTTTCTTGCGAGAGATGTGTAAACAAGCACCCCCACAGACGGAGAGCAGGAAAACGGCAGCGCCTTGGGGAAGGAATGAGACGAATTGTTCAATGACAGAAATGAGCATGAGTCTGCTAATTATTTGTCTTGTCTTCTAACAGCCATGTCGGCATAATCTTGTTGTTTGTATATTTCAGAAGCTATTAAGTTATAATAATTTAACACAATAATTCCGTGTCTGCAAGGAAGTGTAAAATTCTCTGTAAGGAGAAGTGGGAGGGAATAAGAAGAATCCCCCGGACAAAGAATGTCCACATTTTCCGTGCACCCCAGAGCACACTGCCCAGGCCAGGCCCTGCCCGACTGTCGCTGGACAAGCGAGTGCATCTGCATAGGCCAGCGGCTCCAGGCCTTGGTCCCTCTACCTCTGTCCCTGTCCCTGGCTTCAAGTTCAAGGCTAAGAGAACAGGAAGTTGCGGGGCCCGGTGCCTGCGAAGGTCAGTTGGTCACAGCAGAGGCGCATCCTGTTTTGCCCTCTAAGCTGCCGTAGCCTTGAGAACAGCCTTGCTGCTCTAGGCTGGGTCGCTCGCATTTTCTTACGGGGCACCACCTGGCCTGGCAGCTCTGATTCGCTCCATCAGTGTTTGGGGCTCACTACTTGCCAGGCACTGGGCTGGACATTCAGGGCATTTATTGGAGAACGAAGCAGATAATGTCTCCCTCATTCGAATGTGGGAGTCCAGTTCCGCAAGTGAGGTTTAACAAGATCACCACTGTGAAGAGGGCTGTGATGGAGTCACAGTTCTCTGAGCCTCTAGATAGGGCGAGTTTCCCAAAGAAGACCCCCTGGCCTGGTTTCTCATGACGAGCAGCTCTAACTGGGGGAAGAAACAAGGGAAGGGTGTACCAGGCAGAGGGAACAGTGTAAGAAAGACCGTGGCAGGCAGAGCCTGGTGGCAGCAAGGGAGGGGCGGAGGAGACCTGGCCAGCAAAGCTGTGATCGGGGCGGCTGGGGGAGTGACAGCTGCATGAGACGGCTGAGGAGGCTGGTGGGGGCCGCTCATTTCCGGAGACCACTCAGAGGAGAGACAAGGGGGTCCTGCAAGTGAGGGTGGGTCAGGGCCCTGCAGGACCCGGGTGAGGAGCAGGCACGGCTGGTCAGAGCCGCTCACCCACCGGGTGCCCTGCCACCCACGGCCAGGCCTGGTGGAAGGGCTGGATGCTTGCTCAGGCGGTGCCGCTGCAGGATCTCTGGGGAGGCCAGAGTTGCTCTCTGGAAGGTGTCTCAGGAAACTCTTTCTTTTTCAGGACCACGTTTAAGGAGTTTGCAGAGAAATACGGCCGGGATCAGAGGTTCCGACTTGTTCAAAAAAGAAAGGACCAGGAGCATTTTTTCAACCAATTCATACTTATTCTTAAGAAACGGGACAAGGAAAACAGACTAAGGCTGCGGAAAATGAGATGAGTTTGTGAAAAAATGCAATAAGCCCGGGGGTTGACCCTGGGCGTGCCGGGGGCGAGGGGGTCACGGTGGAGACGGACACGGGCGTGGGGCGGCCGAGACCTGCACGGCCCAGCGGGCACCGGCACTGCGGGGTCTTCGTTCTCAGAGGATTACTGTTTCATATTGAAGCTCTCTCTTTTGTACATTCAGAGTTTGATGCATTTCTAATCACCGTGATACGTCGATCCCTTAATTGTTTTAATTATGCAAATTACTTGTAATATACACAAATTATCAATCCACTGCAGGACTGTGGGGAAGCAGGAACGGGAGCCTCTGTAACAATCTCAAGGCATTTGTGTCATCACCTAAGACGATTGGCGAAAACTTTTCTGAAAACCTTTGTGAATTACTTCGTTTCTCCAGGATTCCCGCAGTGTTGAGGAATTCCTTACTCTGTCCCTAGGTCTCAGTCTCGTTTCTGAGTAGCAGCAATAGGGTTTTCATCATTCATCATAGTGACAACTGTGAGCATTCCACACCTGGACCGTGGATCACTTACAGGTTTCCAAGGGTGGCCGCGCGTTCCTCCCAGAGGGGCGTCCCGGCCTGGAGCAGGGAGCCGTGTTGGTTGCCACCGGTCCTACTTCAAAAGAATTATTTTGTACAAAATCATCATATTAATATTTGAGTTATTTTTATTGTATGCCCGGAGTTTGCATGAGATTTTTTCTCATCACCTTTGTATAAAAAATTTTTAATTTTTTTTAATCAATAAATATTTTAAACCAGTGTGTGTATGTGTGACTAAGACATTCCCCATGATCTTAAGCAGCAACATTGTGTTTCAACTAAAGATACCCAGTTTTGAAAGATTCAGGGAGAAAAAAAATCCCGATGATTGCAATAAGGGCCATGAAAATGCCACTCACACAGAATCTCACTTTTCAACATACTTAGTAGTCCTGGGTGGAACCACGTTTGGCAAAACCTTCACTAATTAATTGCATTCCTTAAACTATTAAACATCCATTCATTTATTTCAAGATTTATGGAGTTCTCTGTTCAGATACAATGTCTTTGTCCCCTAGTAAACAGTGACACAGCCTCCTCACCTACCTTCTTCTTAATTAGTTCCCATGAGAACACTTTTTTCCACACTTATTAGGATGTAATTGGGCAAGGTGGGATCCACTCTCCACTGAGCTCAGCCCTGGTCCCGACACTGTCGCTGTTAACACCTCACCTTCCGTGTTGGGTGGCCCCTGGGGGTTCCAGGGCCGTCGCTCAGCTCAGGCCATTTTTGACACGAGCTGCCCTCCTACCTGGCCATGACCTGTGGAGTTGGAAGGACCTGTGACGGTGCTGTCAGAGCCAGACTCCGGAGGAGCAAGTGCCGATTGTGGATCAGCGAGGGGCTGTCAGGAAAGCGAGACTTCCCTGTGATTTGAACAGGGATCTATTAATGGATCTATCAATGGATGACTACCCCAGGGGATGGGAGTCTGGAGGCTGCTGAGTTCAGATCACTGAATAGCATAGGGATAGCAGGTGACAGCAGCAGCCAGCGCCCCCAGGGCTCCAGAGAGCATCCAAGGAAAAGGCCTCTCCACCAGGGCGGAGGGCTGCAGCCCTTTGAAGAAGGCATAGCTGTGGCTTGGCGCAAGGAGACGTGTAATTGAAATGCTGTGCGATGGGACTTGCTGGAAACCCCACCCTGGGGTGCTGCGGACAGTAAGTGTGTCTCATTAGGAGGACTCTGCCCAGAGCCACCAGGGAGGGATGTCGGGGTGGGGGAAGCTGCAGGCGCTGAGTGCTGCTGGCACCTGTTAGGGCGGGGCTGCAGGATTGAAAGGGAGGAGCTTCTGGGGACCCTGTGGGTTTTGCAGGAAGGCAGTGCCCTCTCCTGCCACCCACTGTGATCCATTTGCAAAGCCGCTGCTGCTGGCTTCTTGCCCTGGTACAGGCTGACAACCCGAGCACAGAATACCCAGGGACTACAACCTGCGTGGCCCCTGGACTGCTGTCGGATCCACCCTACACGAAACCACAGGTGCACAGCAGCATTTCACTTACAGTGGACACAGCATGGGCAAAGCAGGCCCTGACCAGTCCAGGGAGACTCAATTCCTGGTCCCAGCCCCACCCCTGCCCACAGTACTGCCTACTGCTGAGCTCCTGGTCCCAGCCCTGCCCCTGCCCACAGTGCTGCCTCCTGCTGAGCTTCTGGTCCCAGCCCCGCCCCTGCCCACAGTGCTGCCTCCTGCTGAGCTCCTGGTCCCCCGCTGACAGAGGAGGGAAGGTGCTTGCTAGGACTCATGGGGGAGCCCCCAGCTCTGCTGGCTCCAGACACCAGTCATGGCCTGGTCCGGAGTGGTACTGATGGCCATTGTGAAGGAGGAGTCTCAGTGAGTGGCCTCTGGCTGTAGAAGCCACCACTTTGTAAACCTTACCCTCCTGTCTGTGAAAGGGGAGCACCAGCTTATGGGCTGGGTTTACTGAGTGTCTACTTCAAGCAAGAGATGAGGAGATCTGGGAATTGTTGGGATGGGTGCAGAGTGCAGCGATCTTCAGGTCCCATGTGCTTGGGAGACCCCCTTCACCAGGCACGCTCTAATACCAGGGGAGAAGACAATGGTCCTGGGCCATCAGCCCGTGTCTTTCCCTCACTACCCTGATTCTTACCCACTGGGCCAACTTCAAAGTGACCACAGGGCAGGGATGCAGGGTCTGCATGGGCTTTAGGAGAATTGCTCAGGGAGAGGGTGGAGCTACTGCCACAAAAGGCCAATGTTCAGTCTCATCGATGGCCCCTTTGCTGGGTTGATCATGTGGAATTGTCTCATTAATGAGGAAGCAATTTCTTCTCATTCGATTACCTCCCCAGAGGCAGATGTTCCTTCCCGGCCTGAAGCACTTCTACCATGATCACGACCCGATTCCTGCAGGATGGCCTCCATCTCCAGGGCTGCCCGCAGGATGTCTTGTTAACCAAGGGATTCATTGCAAGTGAAAGCCGTTGCAACAATGAGCTCAGAGCCACCCGACTCAGTGGTGTTCCCATGTGCCCACCCCCACAGCAGCTGCCTTGATGAAGTCTGGAATGACCTGCGATGGCCTGGATGCGGTGCCGCCTGAGGGTCTGGTGCCTGCGGGTTATGGTGCCCGCCTGAGCCCAGCAGCCTGCAAGAGGCTGCATCTCCCCTGGAACCAGGTGCAACGAGGGGAGGTGGGAGTGGCCCCTTCGGTCATTCGACTCAGTAACCTCCTTAGGGAATCTTTATGTCCATCCCCACAGCCCCGAGCTGGTGAGTGTGAACAGCTTGTTGCCCAAGAGCAGAGTTCGCTCACCATCTTGGTTCTGCTCAGTTGGAGGCTGTGGCAGCTTCCTGCTATGCGGACCCCTCCTGGCTCTGAAGCAGGAGGTGGAGAAGGTGGCCGCTCTACTGGCTGGGGCGAGTTCTCCCACTTCCACATAATGAGGACTCGGAGAACCATGACTGGACCCTGGGGGATTTGCTGGGCATCTTCAGTACCACTCAATGCTTGGCACTGGTCGGCAGGAAACTCATCAACTCAGAAAGTCAGGAGTGGAGAAGACTTGGAACCCACAGAAAAGCAAGCTTGGCTCACCCATCACGTGGTTTTGGGTAAAAGGAGCCTGAGACGGAGGTGGAAGCAGTGATTCTTGTCTGAGGGCTCACGGCTGTCTCTGGAAATAAGACCCGAGCAGCTGAGCTTTTCCGTGGATCACGTCTCCCCCTTCCTCTCCCCCGTTATCTCACTCGGCCCACTGCCCCGGGTCTCTGCTGGGGACCGTGCGGTGTCGCCTCCATGGATTCTCCCACGTTGGGGCTGGGGCCCATCCTCACCAATGCCTGTGAGTGCGCTGCGGGGTGAGGGGCCCGAGCACCATAGTTTCTATTCGTCCCCAAAGATCCTCTCCCAGGGGGTTCTGCCCCGCCCTGTGGCCCCCAAGTCTCCCACGTCGCGGCTCTGGGCTCTCTTCCTTCCTGCTCTTGGCTGGTTCTGTCAATGGGAGGCAGCGGCAGGAAACAGTGGGGCAGGGGGGCGGGGAGAGAGTTTGGGGTGTCAGTTCCCCCTCTCCCCTGCTGCCTGCCCACATTGATTCCTTTGCCCAAGGCCACAGCTCTGGTCAGGGAGCTGTTCCTACAGCCACAGCTCACATGGACTTTGGCAACAGCGGCCTTTCCCGCTCCTTCAGGCCTGGGCCAGAAGCAGCATCTGCGGTGGCTTTTCCCAGGTACTCTGCCCTCCCTGACTTCCCTCAGCTCGGCTCCAGTGTTCGGGGTCACACTCTGGTAAGCCCTCCTCCGTCACCTCTAGCGAGTGGCCATCTGTGGGCCATCAGGGCCGTGACCCCTTCCCCGCCATCATTTCCATTGTCGCCCGGATGGTAATTATCGAATGCTCACGCCGAGACACAGGGACACCGGAAATGACGTCAGCGTGAGCGCACGGGGAGGGCGCCATCTAGCTGTTTTCATGAACGCGGAAGGATCCGTCTCTCTCAGTGCTTAGGGAGACACGAGTGCCCCCGGCCTGGAGGAAAACTCCCAGGTATTTTTGCTTTTCATCCAAATATTCGGGGGCCTTGTATGTTAGTTCATACAGCCATGATTATGAATCTAAGAGACTTAAATGATTGAAAGTCTTGGCTACCTGAGTGATGGAGCTATCTCCACGCTTATGGTTGTATCTACCTGCACGCCCATCTGTGGGCCCATCGCAATGCCGTGGAGATGAAGGCGGAACGCGGGTGTAATTAGGGACGTGTTCAGGGAGAAAACGAGCTCTGAAACCCCACGTGGTGTCTATAGGGAGTGCATTTCCAATGGTCTCCTACTTTGGGGGCTGTAGATATAAGTAACCTTTTTAGTTTCAGTATGTATTTAAGATATTATAGAAAAACAGTATTAGGTTGTAATTTCATTTTTCCATGTTACACTTTCATTTTAAATGCCACTAACATAACTTGGATGATCTTGATAATAACCTCTTAGGATTTAGCAGGAAACTAAAATATTCTATTAGCGTGTCCATCAGAAGTCACTGAATCCCACTTAGGACCAGCAAGAGAGCGGAAGGAGAGGCAGTCGCTGGCCCTAGTCACGGGACAGAAGCTTCCCTCCAAGCTCCAGAGCCCAAGAGCTTCCTGCGGCTGTCGGCTGGCTGGGCCCACCCACCTCTCACCTTCCTGGGGCCCTTGCCTTTCACTAACACCTGCCACCCTCCCCTCGCTCCTCCTTCATCCTCCTCTCAGACTCTGCCCTTCTCTCGGACTTGCCCCTGGGGTCTCAGCTCAGGGGTTCTCTGCCCACCCCGTCCCCACCCCGGCCACCTCTCTCTGCCTGGGAGTTCTCAGCTCCTCCTGGTGCCGCCAGATCTGCCAGCCCCTCCGCACGTCAGAGCATGCCCCTTGCCGGTCACCCGCTCCCCGGCACCCCCTGCTCTGTGGGGAGGCCCCCACAGGGAGGATGAGGGGGCCCTGGGCCTTCCTGGCCTTGAGCAGTCATGACCAGAGGAGGAGCGTGAAGTGACGGAGCTGGATGAGCCTGCGCGGACTCACGCCCCTGCCGTTTCTTCACAGGTGGTCAGGACGCATTTCTTTCTCGTGGTTCACTCAGTGTTCTGTTTGTTTTCTTACTAAATGTTTATTATTGCTACTGTTTATTTTCTTGTTGCTTTGTTCAAATGATCTGCTTCAAACAATCCATTAACAATAATAAGAGGAAATTGTATTGCCCCCAAAATACTTGCTTTTTCTTTTTTCTTTTCTTTTCTTTTTTTTTTTTTTTTTTTTTTTTGTTTGTCTTTTCTCCATTAAGAATGTGAAGCGTGTTGCAGGAATGTGAAGCGTGTTGCAGGTGAAAAACTCCTATTTGTAAAATGCTGTCAGCATAATGAAGTCGTGCCCTTGGCGGGCCTGCCAACATGAGGAGACCCTTGAAGATCGGCATTTGTAAAGTCACTGTGCTCTTGGGCACAGGCAATGAGGAGGGAGGGCCGTCCCCGTGAGAACAGGGACAGTGGGGGACAGAGGACAGCAGTGGGGTGAGGGGGCACAGACAACAGGGATTCGGACAGCTGCTCGGGAGAGCAGAATTCAGAGCAAACAGAGAATTGTTTCCATACAGTTTTAGGGATTTTGTCTTCAATTGAATCCATTCCTGCCTCCAAGCTCTATTTTCCAAGACTCGATCTTTAAAAATTGCATTACACTTAGAAATCATTTGGGGATCTTAAAGTCATGCGTATTTATTGTATTGGAGGTGAGGGAGTGGAAGCCATGTGGAAATAGCCTCTTCTGGGGCTCCGGTGGCTTCTCCAGGCATAGGACCAGCAGTGTCTATCTACACAGTGCAGGCTGTGCTCCCCCCTCACCACTGCATGCTTTACAGAGACACATGGACATACCCCACAGTCCACGTGCTCCCCTTGCCATGGCCATGACAAAGGGTGGGGTCTGGGTTCCCTCCCCGTGAATCCAGCAGGGACTGGTGACTTCTTTCAACCAGAGAGCACGAGGAGGATGCATGTGACTTGCCAGGCCAGGCTCTGAAAGGAGGCAGCCTCTGCCTGTCTCCTCCTTGCCCAGGACATTCTCCTGTGGGAGCCACCATAGTGTGAGGAAGCCCTGGCTGCATGGAGAGGCCCCAGCTGAGGCCTCAGGCGACATGAGCTAGTGCGGGAGACTCCTAGGAGCCCAGCTCCCAGCCCTTGAAGGCACCTTCTGACACTGAGCTGGGCGGACACCAGCTCCACACTGAGCCCTGCCCAAAGCGCACACCCAGGAGCAAAATCAAAGGGGTCATTGTTTTAAGCCACTGTTTGCAGGTGATTGGTGCACAGTCATTGTAAGTGGAACATGCTCCTATGTCCAAATGACCATGACCCGTGATCTGTAAATAATCCGGATACTAATCATAGTGAGTAATTGAGCAAATGCTCATACTAGACCAGTGTGGAGCTCAGTCCTTTCTTCCTTGACTCATTTTGTCCTCTCAACAGTCCTTTGAGGTAAATCCTATTGCCACTCTCACTTCACAGAAGACTCTGAAGTTTAGAAAGAGTGAGCAATTTGTCCGAAGTCTGGGTAATAGGGACACAGCCAGAACTTGCACAGAAGTCTGTTTGACTCCAGATGCGCAAACCACACCCTGCACTGGACCCTGGGCCTCTCCCAGGGCACTTGGGGCTGTGGCTTTGTGAGAAGTAACGTCCCTTCCTGCAGGCGCTCATTCCTTTATTCCTTTGACGTGTGCTCTGCGTCTCCTGGGCTGGGCACTGCTGGAAGGGAGCCTCGGAAGCCTGGTCTTCAAGCAGCTCAGAGATCATCAAGCCACTGACACACAGGGTGGCACATGCTGCCTGGGAGTGTGCAGGGGGACTGTGGGAGGGGAGCAAGTGGGGAGAGTGAGGGGGACAGACAAGTCCTGAGGTTGAGCTGGGGGAACTCAGGAGCAGAGCCTTCCAGGCAGAAGGGGCCGCTCACACTGAGGCTCTGAGGACAGTAACAAGATCTGCCCAGGGAACTGCCAGCAGCGGCCATTCCCTCAGGGTGCGTCTGGTCGGCTGCATCTTTGGTGCTCTGCCTCTGAAAGGCACGGGACCCATGCTGAACAGCTGAGACATGACACAGGCCAACCAGGGGCTTCTCAAAATCCCTTCAATGTACGTCATGGAGAGCGAGACAATATAGTAAGTGTCACATTCCTTCATTTGTTCAACAAATACTGATGAGTTCCTAAGATATGCCGGGGCACTGTCGCCAACACAGAGGCTCCAGCAGGAAACAGGATGGCGTGCGTCTTGCTTTCGGGGAACTTGGACCTGGGGAGGCAGGCGGAAACCAGACGGGCAGGTGCACAGTGCTCCAGGCTGCTGTTACCCCTTGCCCTACCCTGGGGTGCTTAAAACCACAGGACTTTAATTCTCACGGTTCTGGAGTCTAGAAGTCGAAGATCAAGGCACCGGCAGAGTTGGCGTCTGGTGAGGGCCCCTTCCTCAAAGACGGGGCCCTCCTGGCTGTGTCCCCACAGGGCAGAGGGAGCGAGGGAGCTCTCTGGGGCCTGTCTGATAAGACACTGATCCCATTCCTGAAGGCTCCACCCTCATTTCTTAATCACCTCCCAAAGGCCCCACCTCCTCACACGATTACCTTGGGGTTTGGTTTCACACGTGAGTTTTTGGGGGACGTGCTCAGGCCACTGCAAATCACATGATTCGAGATGAGGATCACGAGGCGAGCAGAGGCCGGGACGCAGGCGCCTGTACGTGGCTGCCGGGCAAACAGCGTCTCCAGGCCTTTGCCCACGAATCTCCTCCTTCCTTGAGTCACCGGCTGAGACAATTGCTCTGGCACACCCCTGGGAGCTGCGGCCCGTCCTCATGACGAGCCTGAGTGATGATACGGGCATCTCAGACAAAATGCCATCGTCAGACCTCCCTCCTGGAGGTGAGGGGCCAGCCCACATCATCCTGCGCTGCTGTGGTCTGCCCAGGGCCTCGCATGGCTCTGGTAAAGGCCTGGTAGTTTCCGCTGTTGGTCCTGGGGCTGGAGAGCCTGAGCTGCGACAGCTTGTCTGAGCCACCGTCTCCCCATCTGCGCGTTGGGTGCACTCACAGCTCTGCCTCTTAGAGGGCGCTGGCGAGCGTGATACAGAAGTGTGTCTGGAATAGCCCAGCAGGTATGGCGGACACGAGGATCCTCTTCAGCTTCTCCCAAGGCATAGAGAAGGAAATCAGGTGGAGCACTGCCCATTGCACTGCAGAGGTGAGTCCCCTGGAGACCCCAGTCACCTCTGCCAGTGTCTCTCCCAGGGGAGTTGAATTGATGGGGGTCTGGCCCCTAGCTGGACAGGCAGGCAGGGGACCGTAATGCAGCTGCCTCCTGAGAGTGGCTCTGGCTCTCCGGGGATATGTCCCACCACACTGCACTCAGAGCCAATGTACAATCTGACTGCTTCCTTTCCGATGACGAGGCCGGTGGCCTGGGAAGCAGAGGGTTTGCCCTGACCGACGGCTGCTCAGGCGTCTAGGGGCAGATCCCCACGAGAAGACAAGGCCCACCCAGAGGCTCTTTGGCAAGCAGAGCTCAGAGCAGAGACAACACCTCCTGTGAGTCTCCAGTCATCGCAGAGGAAGCTGAAGTCTGGGACGTTCGTCTCTACCGTGTGGGTGGCCCTTCCCACGAGCCCATGTCCTCAGGGCCGTTGAGCCAGTTCTCTTCCCCAATCAGCAGTTCAGTCAGCACTGTGGACAATTGCCCTATTTTCTCCCTTATTTTTCAAAGCTCCCTCTTCCTGTTCTCATTGGTGCCTCTCTGCTTAGATACACGAGCACCTCCTGCCTCATTGGAACCGAGTCCTGCAGGTCACTAACCTTTCTCTCAGCAGTGACCTGGACCATCTCTTCTCTGATCCATCCCATCCAAGTTCATGTCATGTTGAGTTTGGGGAGCAGTCGTGGGGTCATTCTCGCGTTTGACCCCTGCCCTGCATCCCATTACACAGGATCTATTCCCTGTGGTTGGGATGTCAGCAACCTCTTCAGCAAGAGAGGGCACATGAGTGATTGAATGGATCAATTGCCTGAGTGGGGAATGTGTGGCCAGATGGACACCACACAGCCTAATTCCCGATCTAACAAACCCCTGTCTGGAGCGGGATGGGAATTGTAAAGCCAGTTAGCTGTGTACCATCTCTCCGTCGACTTAGCACACAGTCACTGGGGTTTTCCAATGCAGTGTGTGTTGGGCAGCGTGTGAATGTGCCGCAAGGGCCCAGGCCATCCTGAAATGATGAATTACTTCCAGCCCAGTCACCTCGTCCAAATACTCTCAACCCGCCGCGACCTTGGTTTGCAAACCACAAATGAAAACAGCTGCTCTCTTGCTCTGCCGGCATATCTCCTCCACACATAAAAGTTGGTAATCAGATGACTTTGCCAACTCGTTCCCTTCAAAGCCTGGTGCAGGCATTTTGCTCTGGGCACTGCTAGAATAATCCACAAACAGAGACTGTGCCGATATGAAGCTGTTCCATAAATGAGCAGCTCAATAGCAACTTCCTCTCTATTCTGCCCAGGTCAGTGGGCAGCCTGCCCAAACGCGGACAGACGCTGCGCCTGCAGCACCTATGCCCACTGAACTCTTGGCAGCCGGTCTCTGAAACCAAAGCAGACACTTTTAGAAAAGGCTGAAATGATAGCGGGTATTCTCCAGGCTCCCAGAATTTGGAGGAGGAGCTGAGATGGGGCTTAGGGGTAAGACGAGTGTTCCTACATGGGCAGGCTGAGCCTAAACTACAGGGCTGCTATTTTCCATGTGGCCATCCTGGATTTATCCCTGGGCTGGTACGATGGGGGAATCTGAGGTGTCCCAAGAGTGGAAAAGGGGGTTTCCTTTGTAGAGATCAGCCTGACACAGGACGCAGTCCTCTCCCTGCCGCCCCACCTGCCGCCCCTCCGGCCTTGGGCCACAATCCCGCCACTACTCACGGAGAAGCTCTGTGTCCGGCCACTGGTTTTCACTCCCAGCATCCCATATGCCCTCATTCAGAGCAGCTCAGAGCTCCCACCAGGCAAAGGGAGCAGCATCCATCAGGCAAAGCCTCAGGCCGGGGACCCTGTGACCACAAGTCCAGCCTCCAGCCAGGTGAGTGCTGCCTTCTATACTTCCACCTGCCCCGCCCTGACCCATGCTGCCTTCTACACTGGCCAGTCCTCCTCCACCTGCCCTGCCCTGACCCATGCTGGGCAGCCTGCAGGGGCTCCGTCTTGGGGACAGCATAGATCTTCCAGCAGCTTCTGACCTCAGGCAGAGAGGTGCCCTTCCTGTTGGTCGGGAGGTCCTGACCGCAGGCTCCAGCTGGCCACCCTGGCAGGAACTGGCCAGTCTGGGGACAGGTGGCTGGGTTGCTCTTTGGCCACTGAACTTGGCCATTTGCTGTTTTAAAATTTTTGACAGAATTGAGGTAGAGAGGAAAGGAAAATAAGAAAAAAGTAGCCGTGGTCAGATTTCTCATTTTCACGAATTGCCACTAAGCTTGTTGGAACAGCCCACGTGACCATCCTGCTATGCAGGCCAGGAGCCCAGTGTGCCCACCACATCTGCCTGTATCAGAGGCACAGAGACTCAGGCATTGTGTTCCACACTCCCAGTCCTGTCGGCCCAGCAAGCCTCACTCCAGCTCTTGCCCTGCAAGGCCGCCCAAGACTGGTGCCCCAGTGTGGGGGCCACTGACCCTGGGATGCCCTGTGGACCTGCCAGGCTGAGAGACCCTGCTGACCGTCAAGGTCAAGAAGGGTCTGAATACTCCCCCCATGCTGGAATCTCTTCCTGCTGCCCAATCCAAGCCTTGTCTCCTCCAGAGCCTTTCCAGCCTCCATCTGCTGGGAGAAGATAAAACAAGGAACGTTGGCCTTGGCCTTGAGCTCAGTTCACTCCTGGGCAGAGCTTCTCCCATTGCAGAATGTGTGCTCATGTGAGTGCACCCCTCTGCTGGAGTTCCAGACACAGGGGTCACAGCAAGACTTCCACTCAGAGGTCTGTAGCAACTACATAAACACCAACTGTCCCGCCCACCGAGAATGCATGCCTTGCTCAGATCAGGCAGAGAATGTTCACTCAGAGCGATGCTTGTTTCCTGGTTTTGGCTTTTTCTCTGCTCTTATGACCTGGCACATTTCCTGTGAGGTGGTTGTCTGTAAAGAAGGAAGCTCACTGCACACAGGCTCGGGGCCAAACTACGACATTTCTGCCACCTGCTCCAGCATCCCACCCTCTCTCCTGGAACTAGGATCCAGCCCTATCTCCTCTGCCCACCAGGATTGCAAGCCAAGATTGTCTAAGGAAAAAATGTGGCAGGGGTCATATTGGCCAGTTGGAGCAAGAAGACGTTCTAAACAGAACTTTTTATTTCAGAAATGCTTTTGTTGGACTAGCAAGAAAAGAATGTCCTCTTGGGTTTATGTGCCTTTGAGGGCAGGGCTTGGGATCAAGCACTCTGCATCCCCAGCCTGATGGGAGAGCTCCCGGAACTGAGCTGGGGCCCAGAAAAGCAGTATGGAGCCACTGGGGCTGAGCCCCTCCCTGCTGATGTGTGTGTGTGTGCGTGCACATGTGTGAACATGCACCATATGGGGGTGTGGGTGTGTAAGTGCACATGTGTGTATGTGTGTATGTGCATGCACTGTGTGTGTGTGTCCCTGAACAGCCCCATTGCTCTAAAATAGCCTGCCTGTCTCTACATACGACCCCCAGTGGCTCCTATTCAGGCAGACCCTCCCCTGGGAGGCTGGCATGAGGGTTTATATCACAGACAGAACGCATGAGAGCCTCCACATTTCTGAATCTCCAGCAACCCTACCTGGATGTGTCAATTCCGTAAACTCCTGTCCATGACTCATTTCTGGGGAACCCGGTCTTGGGCCTGCCTGGCATCATTTGGGGAGATAATCTCTACCCCAAGCAGTTAGAAGTCAAGGAAACAGAAACAAACTGGATGATTTTTCCCACCGGAGGACAAATTCTTTCTCTAGACTTTTAGAAAGAGTGCAGCGTTGGCTTCAGTGGGTGATTTTACTTGATTCATCTCCACGTCCATCCGAGATAGATCTCTCCATTTCAGTCCTCTAATTCTGCCTGAGAAGTGGAGAAATGTGGGCGTCCATATGCTTTTTAAAATAAATCACCTTCTGGCAAAGTGTGCTGAGAAATGAATCATTTCTACTACCATTTCAACTCCCTCCACTTCTCCAAAATGCACATTTAATAACAAAGTCAGAGATATGCACCCTCTATTTTTTTTGTAGCTCAGGCTAACGGAATTGAAATGCTCTCTTGATTCCAATGTATTTGTGAATGCGCCGTCTTTGCCTACTTCATCTTTTATATAATACACTGCCCTCTGAGATATGAGAACAGGAGTCCTCATCTACTCGTGGATTCTAAGGGCGGAAATCAGCGTATTGCATTCGGTGGCTGTTTCCCTGTATGTTGAGGTGCCACCCGTCTTTGTCCTGACTGTTTTCTGTTTCTCTTGGGTGGGGCTCCCTCCAGGACACTGGCAGAAAGACAAGCTCTGTGCATGGCTGTGCTCAGTGTCAGAGATAGCTCCATTGTAGCTCATGTTCACTGCCACCAAATTTTGGCTAAATCACAAGACGAGGACCATAATGGGAAGACATAAAAGAGGCCCACAAAACACTCACAATTTTGGGGTTTTATTTAGGACATAAAAGAAATATTTATTGCAGTCCTACACATATAGTAAATATCTCTTGCCATTTGCATCATCACTTTGCAACTTACACCATATTTTAGAAATGGAAATGGCCCATAAAGGCCCCAACCGTTCCGCTATGAATGTGTCGACATAGCTCAGTGCCTTGGAAGTGGAATGAAGTTTGCTCTGCCCTTGCTCCACAGCCGTGGGTGCTCGCAGCCTGGCAGTAAATTGCGCCTCATCCTGGCCCATTCCATCCACTCTTCCTCTGCCAACTGGGACTTCAACAGCCTAGACAATTTATCAGAAAGGCGGGACAGCAGACCCAGGGTGCCAACCAAGGGAACTGCTGTCCAGGTGGGGTCACTCGGCTGCCTGGAATCCAGGAGAGGTCACCTGGCTGCCCGGACTCCAGTGGGGTCACTTGGCTGCCTGGATTCCCTGCCTCCACCTCATCTCCGTCTGTGATGGTCAAACAACGGGGTTGCACATGGCGATTCAGCACAACAGATACTGAGCACTGACCAACGCCAGAGCCTGTTATGTTCTGGGGTCAGACATGGAGCTGACTTGGCTCCTGCCCTTGAAGAGTATAAAGTAGAGCCAAAGCAGACATGAGCACTGGGCCGTCCTAGCTCAGCAGACGTGAGCACTGGGCCCTTCTAGCTCAGCAGACGTGAGCACTGGGCCGTCCTAGCTCAGCAGACGTGAGCACTGGGCCGTCCTAGCTCAGCAGACGTGAGCACTGGGCCCTCCTAGCTCGGCAGACGTGAGCACTGGGCCCTCCTAGCTCGGCAGACGTGAGCACTGGGCCCTCCTAGCTCGGCCTGTCCAGCCTGTGGCAGTGGGACACCAGCAGCGATGCAGCTCAGCAGTGCAAAGGCCAGCCCTCTGCCCGGCGGTTCTCGAAGCGATCAAGGTGTTTACTTAGGTCATCCTCATGCACACCAGTGGCACAGTCAAGGGGACTGCCCCATTATATATACGGGCGGAATGAGACACAGAGAGGCAGTGATTGCTCAGGCTAAGACACGGACAGGCTGCCTCGAGGACCCGCACATCCAGCCACTGCTCTCGGCCCCACAGCAATAATACGAGAGGTGCAATCCCCAGAGACAGCTTCCTATGCACAGGCACCGGCTGTGTCCATCCACAGCCATCAGTCCTCTCCTCCAGCGTTTATGATGCTCTGGGGGCCGTTCATATGCCCCGCTGAGGCTTAGACAGGAGAAGCGACTCACCCAGAACCACCTATGTAAACCTCAGTTTTCCCCCAGAGCCCACGGATGAGTCAGAGTTGTTTAGAAGTGGAGGCTGTGGGGTCAGAGAGCACTGGTGGTTCTCAGGGGTGCTGGGGTAAGTTCTTTAAACTTTTGGAAGCTCAGATTCTTCTCCCACTGGGAAGGGTGCCCATGTTAAGGAGGCTGCAGGAGCAGGGTGAGGAGTTTCCTGTGGAGATGGCTGGCACAGAATGGGCTCTGCGGTGCTGTGCACCACGTGGAAATCTTGTCCCCCAAGGGGTCATCATCATTACCTGAGAAGGGAACCAGGCTCTGGGCAGTGCTGGTCACCACTTGGAAAGCTTGTCCTCCGAGGCATCACCATCACCTGGGAAAGGACCCGGGCTCTGGACAGTGCTGGGCACCGCGTGGAAAACTCGTCCCCCAAGGGGGTCATCGTCTTTACCTGGGATGGGACCTGGGCTCTGGGCAGTGCTGGGGACTACATGGAAATCTTGTCCCCCAGCATGTCATCATCATTCAGGAAGGGACCGGGACTCTGGTTCCACAGTCTAGGTGCAGCTGGCACCACTGGGGCCAGGAGGCACAGGGTGGGCAGTGACGGGGGAAGACAGTGGGGAGTGGACAAAAGGTGCCCCAGGTGCTGGGATGAGGAGCTGGGACCCTTGGGATGCATCTGTCTCTTTCTGCCTCCAAGACTGCAACCTGGAGAATACAGCTGAGCTGCGTGGATGCTGACGCTCTCATCCCAGAGCAGAGCAGGTGCCTGGCCCAGAGGACAGGTATACTGATGCACGGAACCAGGGCAGGACCCTGGGCTCTGGGCTTCTTCAGGCGTGGCTGGTACCCAGGGCCTGTGGAGGGGATGGGGGATGGGGAGCCAGCTTCAGCCATCCTGAGTGGAGAGGAGAGGGGACTGTCTTTACACCATGATTGCTGCATTTAATTGCCCCTGCAGCGGTATTATTATAATCCTATTTTCTTATTTTTCAGGCTGAGATAGGATAGAAAATATATAACCTGATTATGCACCATATAACATATTAAGCCAGGAAGGTCTTATAATTAAAACATTTAGAAAGAACTATCCAGGGAGGTAGTTAAAATCTGTTTAAATCCTTATCAAATAATGAAAATATCTTCAGAAAAAAAATCAGCCTCTTAGCATGTGTTCACCTCCACGATCATCTGTGGTTTTAGCATGAGGCTAGAGACATATTTACATGAAAATACTGAGGGCTTAAGAGTACTTTTCAGGCACAGCTGCACAACCAGACTGGGTACAGCGTGGCTCCGAAAGGCTCTCTAACTGCATGGAGGTGGGTGGCTTCACGGGGCCCAGAATCCCTGCCCAACCTATCCCCACCCAGCACCCTCCCAGCAGCAGGCACTGCCTCCTCCCCAGCAGGACTCAGTCTCACTCCGAGGCAAAAATGGGGGTGCCTGCCCAGAGAGCAAGGTTAGAGCTGTCCTGTCCTTGGGTCCCCCTTGGGCTTTTGGGTGCCATCTCCCATTTTGGGTGCCAGCTCCTTCCCATGGACTTCCTTGCTCACCCTGTGGGCACCTGCCACAGCCAGTCCTGCCTCCTGGCTGCCCTGGTTCCATGCATCAATGTACCTGTCCTCCGGGCCAGGCACCTGCTCCACTCCGGGATGAGAGTGTCCGCATCTACACAGCACAGCTGTGTCGTCCAGGCTGCAGGCCTGGAGTTGTAAAGAGATGGATGCATCCCAGGGGGTCTTTTGTCCACTCCCCTCTGTCTTCCCCCATCACTGCCTGCCCTGTGCCTCCTGGCCCCAGTGATGCCAGCTGCACCTAGATCGTGGAACCAGCCTCAGCAGTGGCACAGGCTCAGCCTCCTGAAATAGATCCCTTCTCGCCACTCCCAAAGGTGCAGCCTCCGTAGGGGAGTCCTAACTCACACAGCCTGTCCCACACGACAGCTCTCAGACTTCTTCTGTGTCAGAGAAACAGTGCAAGGACAGAGAGCTTGTACCTGCTGCTTAGAAAGCTCAGCACCTGGCCCACCAACAGGTCCGCCCCTGGCTGCTCATTTGCGATGCCTGGTTCTGCAGATCAATCCCAGCCCCACCCCGGGCCATACGAGTTGCTGGTCCCTTCCTGCCCTCCCCGGGCCAGAACAGGGGAGACCCCACCTTTCTGTCCAACCTCCACCCAAGCCTGCTCTCCAGAGCTCCCCCCAGAGCCAGACTGCCCGGCTTCTCCCTGCCTTTTCCTGCAAGGCCTTTAGGAAATACTCCCTCACCTGACTCATGATGCAGGGCCTGCGGAGAAGCTTTTTGTTTTAGTTTGTTTAGTCCATCCCCTGGCTCTGTAGAAGCAGTCCGGAGAATTGGAGTGACCCTCATGGGCAGAACTGGGGTGCAGAGGGATGGAGGGGCCATCATGGGCAGAAGTGGGTTGCGGAGGGGTGGAAGGGCCATCCTAGGCAGAATTTGGGGGCAGCCCAGGCCCCCGCTTCTGCCATTGTCCTCGGCTCTGCATCCTGAGCTCCATGTGGAGCTGCTTTGGAAAGGGCCAGCCAGGCATTGCACAGAGGCCCAGGTGGACATCCCAGTGGGAACTGCATCCCGGTGGGAACTGCACGGTGGGCACTGTCTTCTAGCCTCCTCCAAGTGTCAATGGGGGAAGAAAACAAGGTCATTTCAAGAGGCCTTGTTGAATGCACAGAACTAGAGGAAGCCTGCTTATCTCTGTAGGTGTTTCATAAACTGATCACCTTTTCAGTTACAATGCACCAACAGAGAGGACATTTAGGAGCAAAGACAAAGGGAGGGGAGGGGACGCCCCCCAGGCTGAGCACTGGAGATTTACAGGGGCCTGGATTTGGAGAGGCTGCATTTCCAGTGGGCTCTGACTACCTCTAGGTTCCTTAACTCGGGAACTAACTGAGCTTGGAGTATTAATCAGGCCGTGATTAGCTGGGTGAGCAATAACTCACCCTGGCCCATGAGCAAGAAACGGCTGCGCCCAGTGCAGGGAGGCCTAAGGCTGCACGCAGACCCAGACTCAGGAGCCGGACCCAGGTGCGCCCAGTGCACTGAGGCCTAAGGCTTCACGCAGATCCTGACTCCGGAGCCCGGACCCGGGTGCGCCCAGTGCACGGAGACCTAAGGCTTCACGCAGACCCAGACTCCGGAGCCCGGACCCGGGTGCGCCCAGCGCAAGGAGGCCTAAGGCTGCACGGAGACCCAGACTCTGGAGCCGGACCCAGGTGCGCCCAGCGCACGGAGGCCTAAGGCTGCACGGAGACCCAGACTTGGAAACCCGGACCCCGGGGATGTGAGGCTGACACTCTGAAGGTCAGCGATTGACCTTGACCTGCAGAAGACCTAAACTAGGTCATGATTGCATCTGAAACTTTTTCCTTAGTTTTTCTGGACAACTCTTTGATTTACTCAATGGGACATTGGCCTGGGAGGAGTGAGGGCCTTGGAGGATTTTCATGATAGAATTTCTCAAACATATAGAAATGGAGAGAAAACGTAATGACCTGGGTTCCCACATCAGGAGCTGCCAGACTCTGAGTTCCGTCACTGTCCTACCGCTCCCGGCCCCCATGCCCTGGGCACCCCAGAGTTGGCCACCAAAGACAAGGGCTCTGAGCTAAGACAGAGCCATTGCCCACCCGATGACAGGGAAGAGTCCTCGTTAAGGATTTCCCCACAAGTCCTCACGCCCTTGCAGGAGTCTCCAGAGGAAGAAGCCCCTCCCCCTGGTTCATCCCAATTGTGCCTCTGAGGGATATGGCAGAAAGAGGGCAAGGTCCCCACAGCCAAACATCCCTGCAGAGCCATGTCTGAGGAATGGCTCGGGGAGGTTGGGACCAGATTTCATCTTTGCTCAAATAAGCCATGGTGTTCATTAGCTCCCCGTGAGAACAGGTGATGTCACGTGAGAAGCAGCTGAAGCTTGCATTCCATCCAAACCACGTTTCCCCCAGCAGCCTCTACCTCTCCTGGAGGGTCACAGAAAACCAGCACACCGGGCACACCTCATCTGCCATGAGCTGACTGGTTCCACATTTCTTTTCTTTTCCAGCCTTATTTGCCTGGTTGTTTAGGTTACCACTATGCTGGGCAGACTGGTTTCCATCCAGATAAAACTAATTTGGAGCCCACACCTGCCTCCCTCTTGGTGAGACAGATTTCAGCCATGTGCAAAGTCCGCTGGTCCATCTGGGTCCAACCTCCTACGGTTCAGCTGGTTTCTTGGTCAGCAAAGTTTCTCCTTCCCACCCTCCAACTACGCAGTGTCGACCAGTCTTCCTATTGTTTTCTGGAGTTTAGAATCAGCTGCCCAAAATATAAAATGCAATGAAGGTCCAATAACAAGATTTTACAGCTTTACTGCTTTAGAAGTTTACACATTTACAGCTTTGGAAAAGTTTATTGATACCCTGCAGAGCTGTTGCACAAAATATCGATGACTTGAAAGTAAGTTCTTTTTTTCCTTTTATTTTTCTTTGCAAGAGAGACACAATGTGAGCACGCTAGGTTAAAGGGAAGTTGGAAGGCAGGAACGGAATGCAGTCCAGAAGCCTCTGGGCCCAGGAGCTTGCGTTGTGACCGGGGTCTGGCTGGGAGTGAGACTCCTGGCAGCCAGGGTTTCCTGATCGTCCCCATGACAAGCCCTGCCCTGAGCACCTTGAGAACAGGGCACATGGCTGGCTCCAGGGATCCCATGGGCCAGTGCCTTCAGGGTTGTTGGGTTGGCAGGGGAGGGGGAGCACCGGAATCAGAGTCCAGTTCCAGCTTTGGGGCCACCAGGGCTGTGAGGCAGCACACACGCTCCCAAGGAAAGGCTTTGGAAGGAAGTGCTGAGGGCGGTCCAGTTGTGACAGAGTGGGCTGGGGCCTGCCCGAGGACACAGGGCCGGGCATCCGCCTAGGGGGAGTGAGGCTGGAGGGAGTGGTCTGGAGCTGGAGGGCCACACGCCTCCAGTACAGTACATAGCCAGGGGGCTGCGTGTGTGGCCCTTGTGTGAGCTCCAGGCCCCTCCCATCCACATCCTGCCCATCCAGAGGGGCCTGGGCTCTTCTGTCCACAGCACAGGCAGCTCTCTGCTCCCAAGGGGCTGCAGTGGTTCCTTCTGCTTCACAGGGACACGTTGAGGCCCCTTTACCCCTGATGGAGTCACAGGGTTGGAGGCCCTGATGGAGGCAGGCACACGTGCTCAGTGGGGCTCTAGGGCAGGCGACTCCCAGAAGCAGCAGGGGCAGGCCCCTCCTGGGGTCAGGACTGCACCCGTCCAGGGGACCTGGCTGCTCTCAGCCACATGTGTTCTCCTAGACATCCCCAGCCCAGGATTTGTCTCTGCTTTTCTTATTTTTCTAGACAAACTTTAGTCCACGTGGCCTGGACAAGTAGATAGCCGCAGAGGCAGCACCAGACTGGGCAGGTGAGGGAGGGTTCAGGCAGCACGAGCCGACCCAGGACAGGGACCAGATGCTGCACGGCCTGAGATATGTGGGCTAAACATGCAGTGGACAAATGAGAAACACTGGAACAGGGACTCACGTGTGTGTGTGTGTGTGTGTGCGCCCGCGGATATGTGTGTACATGTGCATGTATGTGTATGTGTTTATGTATATGTGGGTGTTCAGGTATGTACATTTGCATGTGTGTATGTGCATGTGTATGCAGGTATGTCTGTACGTGTGTGTTTTTGTATGTGTTTATGTGTGTGTCCAGGCATGCATGTACATGTGTATGTGTGCATGTGTGTGTAGATGTGTGTAAGTCTGTGTGCAGGTATGTGTACATGTGCATGTGTGTACGTGTGTATGTGTGTGTGTTTGTAGATGTGTGTGTGCAAGTGTGTGTGTACATGTGCATGTGTGTATGTGTATGTATGTGTATGTGTGTGTGCAGGTATGTATGTACATGTGCATGAGTGTGTGTGTTTATGTAGATGTGTGTGCAGGTGTGTATGTGCATGTGTGTATGTGTGTGCATGTGTATGTGTGTATGTGTGTATATGTGTATGTTCAGGTATGTGTGTACGTGTGTGTATGTGTGTGTTTGTGTATGTTTATGTATGTGTGTTTGTGTATATATGTGTGTACATGGGCATGTGTGTATGTGTGTGCATGTGTGTTTATGTAGATATGTGTGTATATTTGTATATGTAAGTACATGTGTATATGCATATGTGCAGGTGTGTGTACTTGTGCATGTGTGTATGTGTGTATTTTGTGTGTGCGTGTGTGTGTGTGTGTGTACTGGGCGGCAAGGGGAACAGCTGTGGATGGTGGCAGACCTGTCCACACTCAGATGCCATGTTCCGCTCCTAGGCCACAGCATGACAAGACTTGTGGTTTTCTGACTATGGGAAAAACAGACCCCTGGACGTGTGTTTATTCAACAAGTGACACACTACACGCCACTTCTGCCCACTCCGGAAAACGCGAATATTCGATAATTTGGGGTATAGATATTATTAAATGCACAATCTCTTTTTGAAATATTTTATTTTGCTATAAAAATTTTTGATGAGCCCATAAACCTCAACATCACGTGGCTGTTGTGTAAATGGAGTCGAGAGCATGTGGGTTGGTGTGAACAATATTACAAGCATAGTTTAGAAGAATATGGCTTAGGGAAGGGGATGCTTTGGAAGAAGCTCTAATTGGGGATTGAAGACCAGCCACAGGATTAGAGGCAGGAAGGGCTTCCTGATGGGAGTGGGCCAGGGGCTGGGGCTGGGAGGCCTGGCCTATGGCTGGTGAGGATAACTTCGAAGGGGCCATGAAGCCCTCTGCGTTCATTTTCAACGGCATCTTCTCAAAGAACCGGGTGCCCTGCCAGTGCGAGTCAGCCTCTGGCGCAGACACTCGCTCCTCTGCAGGGTTCTGTCCTTCCAAGCCAAATTGTCCCTGACTCACATTTCATATCCATGATTAAATAAATGTGTATGATAGTTCTTTCTTACCTAGTGTCTACCTAGAAAATGTTACAAACCTATAGAAGAGCTGACAAGTAATAAAATGAACCCTCACAGACTCTCAGCTTCATGCTTTTTAACAGTGTGGCATCTGTGCACTCTATACATGTCCATATGTACATACAAGCGCGTGCACACACACGTACATTTTCACGAAGACGTGGAGCGAGTGTAAGACATCACGACATTTTACCCTTGAATACGTCGTCATCAGCATGCATCTCCGATAATAAAGGACCTTGCCCACCCAGCCAGAATACCATTGTCACGGTGAAGACTCTTTAACTCAACAACGGCCTAAATAGTTCACATTCCAGTTTCATCTATTTTTTTTTAACAATGACTTTTATGCTTTTTCTCCCAGGAGCCAATCAAGTTTTACCCACTGCATTTGCTTGCCAGGTTTCTATGGACATTTTAAAATCAGAATTTTCCTCCCCCACACACACTTGCCCCATTCCCTTTGTTTTCCTGACATTGGTTCTTTGGACCTGCAACCCAGCATTTGGGATCATCAGCTTCTCTTGAGGTGACCCACTCCAGGCTGGCCCTTCTGCCCTGGACACCCCGCCGGTGCTGGGCTCCCCTCATCACTCCCCATTGAGAAAGGCCTGCCTCACCTGTCCCACTGCCGGCTGTGTGAAGCAGGACCACTGCGGCTGGTGTGGGGCCACCCTTCCTTGCTCCTCCTCCATGCAGTGGGCCATCCCAGGGTGCTGTGGCTCTCGTACCCACCCTGCTAACTGGCTCTCCAGGCTATTCTCAGCTCTTTGCTAACATAGAACACTGCTGCGAGGAATACACTTGTGCACGCACTGGTTGATGTTTGGAGACATTCACCTGTAAGGGAAATTCCTGGACATGCAGCTCTAGGTCAAAGGCACGTGCCTATGCTACCTCCTTAGAAGTCTTCTCATTCCCCTCCACAATGCAGTAACATCCCTGCTCCAACCAGCACTGCGTGGGGTGGCTTCCCCCAGCCTTGCCCATGGAGTGCTGCCAGCTGTAAATTGGCATCGATCTGAGAGGTGAGAAACAGCAGCAAAAGCAGCTTTCATGTGTTCTCCCATCGTGAGTAGCGTTGTAACTATTTCTTCACAGTTCGATGTTTAGCATTTGCTTATTTTTACTATGCAATTTTTACTATGCAATTTAAAAAGCATATCATTGCATTTATCAACTTTTTTATTGTTTCTAAATGTTGAATCTTAATTAGAAAAGCTTTTCACCTATCCAGGTTAAAAAGGAATTCACCCATGCTTTTGCCTAATATGTGTGTGTATATATAATTCATGTATATTTTACATTTTACTTTTTGTCCAGCAAATAGTGTGAGTCATGGATCCAATTTTCCAAGTGAATGTCAAGATTTTCTAGTGAATTTTTAAAAGTTAATATTTTCCTCAGATATTTGAGAGATGTCCTCTTTAACGGTATGCTCAACTTCCATATGTGTTTGGGTTTATTTATGGATTTCTATAAATTATTTTTATTTATTTATTTATTGAGACGGAGTCTCGCTCTGTCGTCTGGGCTGGAGTGCAGTGGTGCTATCTCAGCTCACTGCAAGCTCCGCCTCCCAGGTTCACGCCATTCTCCTGCCTCAGCCTCCAGAGTAGCTGGGACTACAGGTGCCCGCCACCACGCCTGGCTAAATTTTTTGTATTTTCCGTAGAGACGGGGTTTCACCGTGTTAGCCAGGATGGTCTCGACCTCCTGACCTTGTGATCCACCCACCTCCGCCTCCCAAAGTGCTGAGATTACAGGCATGAGCCACCGCACCCGGCCTATAAATTATTTTTATTTATTTCTTCTATTGGTCTGGTGGATCATGTCCTACTAATACACTGTTTTAATCACAAAAGCTTTATCGTATTTAATAACTTTACCATTGTTTTTAAAATTTTTTTAAAGATATTTTGCATTTGTTTTCATAAGAAATTTAGAATATACCTGTTTGGTTTCAGAAAAGAATATTTATTAGCACTTTTATTGGTATTACCTGAAATATTTACATTAGCCACCCAAAACTAGTATCTTTATTATTTAATTTAATTTAATTAAATTAATTAATTTATTTATTCATTTATTTTGAGACAGAATCTTGCTCTGTTGGCCAGGCTAGAGTTCAGTGGCATAATCTCAGCTTACCACTACCTCCATCTCCTAGGCTCAAGCAATTCTCCTGCTTTTGCCTCCTGAGTAGCTGAGATTACAGTCGTGTGCCACCATGTCTGATTAATTTTTGTATTTTTAGTAGAGATGGGGTTTCACCATGTTGGCCAGGCTGGTCTTGAACTCCTGACCCCAGGTGATCTACCCGCCTCAGCCTCCCAAAGAGCTGGGATTACAGGCGTGAGCCACCGTGCCTGCCCAAATTTTAAATAGTCCTACCCAACAGTAGGAGATGCCTCTCCATTCAGGGAAATCCAAATTTTTAGGAATATTTAAAAGTTTTTCTCATATAAGTGTAGAGTTTTTAAAAACTTGTTTTTATGTATTTTTATTTTTATTGCTATTTGTGTTTTCTTATCCACTATATCATCTGCTTGGTCATTGTTTGTGTATATAAAGGCTTTTTATTATTACGTTAATTTTATATCCTGATACTTTACTAATTTTTTATATTTGTTTTGCTTTTGTGTGGTTACATTCCAGTGTTAATTTGTTTTATCCTTCTTTCTCTTGGGTTTTCCGGAAATACACTCATATCTCCTGCAAACAGAAAGGGTTTACATCCTGTCCCTCTTCTATTTCTCCCCGTCTGATTGCACGGGCTGACGCCTCCATTGAGCCCGCCAAGCTGGAGATGACTGGGAGATCATCTTACTGTAATAGGTTTTCCTGTTTGGTAGGAGCTTAGCTTTGGGGCTGAGAATTTTTTTTTTTTTTTCTGCCAGGGACATTACCATAAATTCCTTTTTAACTAAGCATTTTTGTTGCTATTTGAATCAGGAAAGGGTGCTGGAATTTGGAGAAGCCACAAATAAAGCATCTTCGGTCAGGGCTGTCCCAGGCCTGTCCAGAAACTGACCATGGAGACTCCCCCAGCAGCTCCATTCCTTGGAGAACAGAGGGTGTCATGGAAATGAGTGCCACGTCTGTCTCACCTGCGGACGCACAGGTCCTGCGCCTGCCTGGCAGAGGGAGACGTGCTCTGAGGACAGTGTGTTCCTGCACTCAGGTGAGAACTCGTCGTGAAGATGCCGCGGGCACAGCACCCCGCCTTGCACCCTCCTACAACACGGGGAAAACAGGGGATTCAAGTCAGGGCTATCGCTGCCTGAGTCTGCGTGCCAGCAGAATTCAGCGATGGGTCATGTTATTAATTTCTAGACTTAATGCTATGTACAGTCCTTTTTGCAACAAGCTCTTCTTGGACCCCAGCGTTCTTAAAGCAGTGCTTGGGGGCGAGATTGGTTTGGGAGCTGATCAATAGCTTATCCCTCATCCGCCCACACACCTCTCCTCCTGTCCTGCTGTTCTGGGGCTGTGAGCCCCTGGGGGAGCTTTTGAGAAGCAGCATCCTGTCTGCCCATCTCTCCCCATCCACGACAAGCCCGATGTGAAGGGGCCTCCTGAATCCTAACCCTGCTGTCTGGACACAGCCCCTGGCAAGGGATTTTCCTGGAAGGAGGGTCAGGATGCTCCATGTGGCTATTGCCAGGGCGTCACCTTGGTGAAGCCTCAAGGTTGACTCTGAGGCTTTATAGAGGTTTAGGCTAGAATTGCAGGTGCAGAGGAATAGCTCATTCGAATGAGCCCACAAAGCTCATCCACTTACTGAACAGACTTTCCAAGGACATGGCCTCCCACTGCCCAGACACTCCCTCTCATGGCAAGGAGGCCAGGGAGCCACCGCATCTGCCACAGAAGATTCTTGGTGAGTGTGGGGTGAGGGCAGAGGCCACTGGGGATCCGGGAGGTCTCCATGGAGCTGCTGGTGGCTTGTGCATCATGGCCTGTGTGGGATAGAAAACACACCTCCCACCTCACTGCTGGAGAATCAAACAAGATAATGGATGTGGGCATCATCTGTAAGCAGGAAAGATCTGGGTTATATAAGGACATCTACTTTTTATTCATCCACTGAGTATTTATTGGGCACATTTCGTATACCAGTAATTGTGGATCACAAACTGAACAAGAGTCATGGACCCTGCCCCAGGGAATTTAAAGTCAAATTCTGTTTTGTTTTCAATTGTTTACACACAAGGGCAGAGAATCACTCTTATTCATTTCTGTGTTTCTCTAAAAGTGTTTGCATTTAAAATTCTCAACAATTTTTTTACGTTGAATAATCACTGGTCAACCCTGAATTTTCCTTCAGTGAACTAAAGTGAGGAAGTACACAGAATATAGTATCTTTAAGTTATTATTATTAATTGTTATTATTTGGACAGAGTCTTGCTATGTCACCCAGGCTGGAGTGCAATAGCATGATATCAGCTCTCTGCAACCTCCACCTCCTGGGTTCTAGCAATTCTCCTGTCTCTAAATTATTTTTAATAAGCAACCTTTTTTCCTGTACTTTCAACAGCATTGATTTTATCATGTTGGTGATATTGCTGGAAGACAGTACACAGATAAGCTGTATATGTCACTGTTGACTTCTAAAAAGAGTATGTCTGGCCAGGCGCAGTGACTCACGCCTGTAATCCCAGCACTTTGGGAGGTGGAGGTGGGCAGATCACGAGGTCAGGAGATCGAGACCATCCTGGCTAACACAGTAAAGCCCCGTCTCTACTAAAAATACAAAAAATTAGCCAGGCATGGTGGCAGGCGCCTGTAGTCCCAGCTACTCAGGGGGCTGAGGCAGGAGAATGGCGTGAACCCGGGAGGCGGAGCTTGCAGTGAGCCATCGCGCCATTGCACTCTAGCCTGGGCGACAGAGCGAGACTCTATCTCAAAAAAAAAAAAAAAGTGTGTCCAGGTTTCTTGATGAGAAACAACACTTGGAGGTTTCTTAGGGTGATTTCCTCATGTGCCTATATTTGTATTTGTTACATTCTGTTATTACAAATAACATTTTCACAACCTTATTTGCTTATCCAGGCTCGTCCATCATTGCACTGCCTGGATGAAGAAAAATGCTGTAAATTATTATTCTAGTCATGGACATACATTTTCTAAGTGGAACAAGTGTTTCTGGAGCCCTGGGTTCTTGCAATCTCCCAGGATAGGAATCAAGAGAGACTAGCGAAAAGTTTATTAGCTTGTGCACAATGGAGTCAGCACTGCAGATGGGAAGGACAGGCTGCTCTCTGAAAGCAGAATGGGAGTTAATTTTATAGGACTTTCCTATAGGGAAGGGAGACATGAGGGCATGTAGAGGAGGATCCTTTTCAGCACCTGGGCAGGGATTTAATACACTTCTGTATGCACTGCATGTAGCATTAGCATTTTAAATCTGCACCTCTGGGTGTGACTTTTAGCATTACAATGAGGAAGGGATAACTATAAGTTGAGTTTTAGTCCTAATGGAAGCAGGAACTTGTGGTTAACAGTGTCTAGGGTCTTTTGTCGCTGATTGGCTGAAAGTTAGATAAGCTAGAGCTTGAGTAAAGGGCTTTTGTTCTTCTCTAGACCAGATCACAACAGGAGGCTAGCCAGCCTGCTTCACAGGGAGCAAAAGAGTTTCCCAGCATGCACGATTCTTGCATCTGGATAGAGTCCATCCTGGAAACTGGGATTTTCAAACTTAGTTCCATAGAATCTGGTTCATGTTCTCGTAAAGAAGACATCCACATACTCTCCGTGGCTCTGGTGGGCACATGTCTGGGTGGGTGTGGGGAGCCCCAGAGCAGTAGGGAAGACCCAAGCACTGTGAGAGCTGCCAAAGACAGAGTGAGTCACTTGGCCGGCAGAAAGCCAGTGGGGTGGTTAGCAACAGCTGAAGCCTCATGTTGGATGTTATTTAAGAGTTGGTCTGGATGGCCTTTAAGGTTTGTTTTGTCTCAAATGTTCCATTCCCATATAGTTGCAAGTCAGGTGTAAGGAAGCAAATGCAGTTAAGAGGGAGTGAAGCTCTTTCTTTTCTTTCTTTAATAGATGCCCATAGGACGATTGTTTAGGCTGGGGAGAATATGTATTTGAATAATGAACCAGTTAGAACAGCTGAGACAGTTATGAAAAATGTCTTAAAATGTTGTAACCCTATGGTAGCTGCAATAGTGTGAAATAGACCCAGCTACCTATAGGAGCATACTTTTTTTTTTTCTGTTTTTTGAGACGGAGTCTCATCCTGTTGCCCAGGCTGGAGTGCAGTGCTGTGATCTCAGCTCACTGCAACCTCCACCTCCTGAGTTCAAGCGATTCTCCTGCCTCAGCCACAGAAGTAGCTTGGATTACAGGAACACGTCACCACACCCAGCTAATTTTGGTATTTTTAGTGGAGAAGAGGTTTCACCATGTTGCCCAGGCTGGTCTTCAACTCCTGACCTCAAGTGATCCACCTGCCTTGGCCTCCCAAAGTGTTGAGATTATAGGCGTGAGCCGCCGTGCCTGGCCAGAGCATAATATTCTATCAGAGAACTACAAATCAATTAGGAGGAGATACATTAGTTAATGTAATATATCAGTAAATGCTGTTATTAAAAAGGGGGTGGCTTGGAGTCCTCACACCACATTATCACACCAAAATGAAAGTCCCATGGTGCTAAGTGCAGAAGCACAGGACAGAGGAGGAAAGAAAATAGCAAAATAAGATGATTTAGGAGATTATTAGCTGATATATGGATGGTAAGAATGTTGTGTTTGATTTTTGTTTGTTTATTTCTTTGAAGTACATGAACAATAAAATAGATCACAGGAAAATTATTATCTTCTGGATATAATTAAGTGGATCCTTAAAATATCACTTCCAAAACATATTAAAAGATTTACAACCCAGGGGCCAGGCTTAGGAAAAAAGACTTAAATGAATATTCCAAATAAAAGCATTAATTGGCTAAATAAGGATTAATTTCCTAAGTGACAAAAACTCAAGAGAAATCAATAAATTAAAAGCATTTTGTTTTTCTTAACAGAAAAGGAACTGAAGGAAATGAGTAGGTTATTTACAAAGAGATTATTGACAAACATAAAAATTATTCAAATTTTCTGGTAATTAGGAAGAGAAACTTTATCATGATAGTAAGATACTTGCTACTTATTAAATTAGAAGACTGTAAAGTAATGATAATAGCCATTACCCATTAGGGAGAAGGGAGGCAAAGCGCCTGCTACTTGCGGAGGGTTAATTGCCTCAAACTCTCTTGACTTGCATAATTAGATTCCACCGTTATGTTTCTTTGTATCTCTTCTAAGGAAACAGCCGTATCAACCATCAAAGTCTTCTTTGCAAAGGTGCTCATCAGAATATTACCCATAATCGTGAAAAAATGCAAAAATCTTATGTCCAACACTAGGGAAATAATTAAAGTGTGCTGTATCATACAATAGATAATTCCATGGCCATTAAAATGCTTCTCTAAAATCGTCAACGACTTGTAGAACATTTTACAGCACAATATTAAGTGAAAAAAGTCAGGATATAAAATTGCACATGCAGTGTAATCTCAATTATGTAAATATATGTGCATAAGACTAGAAGAAAATGCAGATGGATTTAACAGTGCTTACCCCTGGATTACGGCATTATAGGTCTTTAAAAAATGTTTCTTCTTCATACTTTCACATGAGTATGTATCACTTTCCAAAAATAAGAGTAATGACAAAGAAACCAATAAGAGTTCTTTAAAATAAAGAGGTAAAGTGGGGATCTGCAAGCTAGAACTTCAAGACCCCAGCACCGTGGCGTAAATCATGTCCACCAGAACCGCAGCCTTTAGCAGCCTCTGCAAAAATCAAAGATTTCCATTCTGCCTCCTATTGATTAAAGGAACATCTCGTTATACATCCTTACACAGGTATAGATCTTTGCTTCTTTCAGTCTATGTTTTTCTTTCATGGTTTATTGTTATTCTGTTTATTTTATGCTAATGATGGAATCACCGTTTTGTTTTAGTTTCTTCCTTAGAAATGAAGTATCTACCCCTGGGCAAGATTCAGCTGGTGGAGGGTCTGGAAGGGGCAGTTTTGGAGGGAAAGAAGGACTCACTGCTGTCCCTCTGGGGCTGCCACTGTGTCTCTCTGCTAGTCTTGGGCTGTGCTTTCCAAAGAGCCTGGTGGTGCCCAGGTGCCTTCAGAGGAGCAGTGGCCACATGCTCCCCTGAGTAGATCCATCTGGCAGGATGATGAGAGCCTGAGAGGAGGACAGGAGGTTGAGCAGAAGCCAGCAAGGAGCAGAGGCCCCAGGGTAGATCCTGACCTAGGGCTCGAAGTTGGGGTGGGGAGGACGATGGCCTAGAATCTCATTTTCTGCCTGTGAATTAAAATGGATAGAATTACCACAAAGATTAATTCAGGTAATAAATAGGAAACTGTTTTGTAACCTCCAAAATGCTACTGCTAGGATACCAGCTGGTGGCCTTGTGATTCCAGAGAGAACAAAATGAGGCCATCCTGTGCCCACCAAGTCTGTACATCCAGTTCTGCCTGCAACACGTGCCTTGCATGAGGGATGATGGGCCCTGGTTGCAAAGTCTGTCCTGCACAGAGTGAGGGGTCTTTGGGTCTGGCGGCCCCTGTGTTACACCTAGAGAAAGGTGCCTCTTGCAGAAGGGCCTTGAGTGCCATCTCCTGAAGGGCCAGCTCTTGCCACTAAGTCCCTGAGCCCTGCGAGGAGGCCCAGGCTTGTGGGAGCTGGGGCTGCCGTGGTGGGAGATTGGAGCTGAGCCCCTGGGTCTGCCCCTCTTCTGAAACCCTTCTGCTGGGCCTCCGTGCCCCTCCTCTGCCTGGGATGCCTCGGGGACTTGCCGTGGCCCTTGACCCTGTCTCAGCAGGAAGAAGGAGGGCACTGGGGCTGGGCACAGGAGTCAGGGCTTCCACGGCTGTGGTTTGTACCATGGACCTGGGAGGCAGGGAACTGTGCCCCTGTTTAGACCCATGAGCAGGCTCAGGCTCACAGGACCTTGCATGCTTCACACAGGATGCCTCATCCCTGAACATCCACTGACAGCGAAGAATCAGACCCCAGCCCCAGGGGACAGCCTCGGCTGGCCACAGTAGTGCTGTCTGGCTCCAGGGATCTGGACAGTGGCCTTCCTTCCTTCAGAGAACACCCCAAAAGCTCCTGCCTGGGGTCCAGACACCAGCTACTGGAGTCTCTCACCCTGGAGGCCCTCACCTGGAGACCCTCACCTGGAGGCCCTCACTTGGAGACCTTCACCTGGAGACCCTCAACTGGAGACTGTCACCTGGAGACCCTCACCTGGAAGCCCTCACCTGGAGGCTCTCACCTAGAGACCCTCACCTGGAGATTCTCACCTGGATACCCTGACCTGGAAGCCCTCATCCAGAGGCTCTCACCTGGAGGCCTTCACTTTGAGACCTTCACCTGGAGTCTCTCACCTAAAGACCCTCTCCGGGAAGCCCTTCCTTGGAACCCCTCCCTGATGACTGCTGAGTCCAGAGCCAGAGTCAGGTTTATTCACAGGTATTTGCCTTCAGGGATGCTCTTTGAGGTAGCAAGGATGTGAGTGGAATGCCCTGAAAGTGGCAAAGGGGACATGGGCAGTCTCAGGGGGTAACCTGGGAAAGCTTTCTAAGTAAGGTGGTGTTTGAACTGGGCTTCAAGGTACACATAGGAGTTTTACAGGTGGACAGAAAGAAGGCCAAGGAGTTCCAGGCCGAGGAGGCCACATGGGCAGGGAAGTGAGTTGCTTCACGACATGCAGGGTGGGAGCACAAGGCTCAGACAGAGGCCTCCGAGATGGAGAAGAAGGTATCTGGCGTGCCCTGGGATCATGATGGCAAGTGGGGGTGGGGGCTTTGCAGCTGTATGTCAAGCGTGCCTGCTGTTTCTCCTTTCCTAAGGAATGCTTGTACTCCCAGCTGCCACCTTCCTTCCTCTCTACTCTGAAAGGGTGTCCCAGGCTGCTCTCCAGCTCTGCAGGAGGAGGATGGGATGTCAGATGGTCCAGGCTGGGTGCTGCGTCTGGGAGAAACAGGATACCTGTGTAGGGATGGGCAGGGGGAAGTGGGGAGTCTCAGGGGCTTCTATGAAGGGGCCCTTTGGATGAGAAGTGGGAGTCTGATCCTTGTCCCTCTGAGAGCATAGTGCTTATCAGTAGCTGCTGGGACAGGTGGTGTGCTGACCCGTGGCAGTGGCGACCTCCATATCTCTCTGCCTGTCCATCTTCTTACGCCTTAAACTCCGACGCTCAGGAAATGGTGCAGCTACGTGTTCTGAAATGGAGCCCGGCCTAGCCACGGTTCACTTCTCAGCCCTCCTAACGCAGAGGAAGAGTTACCCAGTCACAGTCAGAGAGCCTGACTCCAGCCTGCTCAATGAGCCAGCGGGAGCTTGGCAGCCCATTCTGAGACAGGTAATGGGGAGGAGCATTAGCACCGGGAGACCTTGGTAATCACTCAGCTGGCCCCTGATTTTACAGCTGAGGGAGCCTAGGTCCTTACCTCACACCCGAGAAAGGGAAATTATTACCAGAGTTAAAGCTTTCCATTTTTGATATTTTATAGCGAGCCATTTTTAAGTAGAGTCTGGTGTCAGTCTTGAAGAGCTGAACACGCTCACTAGGAAAGGTGATGAGTACTTAGGGCAGTGCTGGCTGAGCGGCACTTTTAATCAAGGACTCCTGGGCCTCTTGCATAAATTCACTCCAAACCCAGTGCATCACTCCTTCGTTCTCTGAGGACAGCGGCAACTTTGTCATCTTTTGTTTCAAAGTGCATAGTATTTAGATAGTCTAAAATGTGCTCTGCAAATACTTCCTTTTGGAAATTTTGATAATAAAAGTTATAAAACGCTAGAAGTGCAGTGGTTCTTCACTTTTTTTTTTTTATAATGGACCTCAGAGATTGTGAGAAAAATGAGAATCTACCTAGTCATACTCATAGCAACATGCATAAAATTGTGCTTTATTGCAATAGGCATGAATATCTTTAATAAAGACAAATGACTACATTTTGTAGGCCATCATTTTGCTTTCATTTTCTCGGGTGAAATTTGATTCCCATATCTTGTGAAATAATTGACACAAATCTGATTTGGGACAAGAAAACCGAAAAACAACTTTCGTAATGCACACAAGAAAATGCGCGTGAGGGCCGGGCGCGGTGGCTCACGCCTGTAATCCCAGCACTTTGGGAGGCCGAGGCGGGCGGATCACGAGGTCAGGAGATCGAGACCATCCCGGCTAAAATGGTGAAACCCCGTCTCTACTAAAAATACAAAAAATTAGCCGGGCGTAGTGGCGGGCGCCTGTAGTCCCAGCTACTTGGGAGGCTGAGGCAGGAGAATGGCGTGAACCCGGGAGGCGGAGCTTGCAGTGAGCCGAGATCCCGCCACTGCACTCCAGCCTGGGCGACAGAGCGAGACTCCGTCTCAAAAAAAAAGAAAAAAAAAAAAAGAAAAAAAAAAAAAAGAAAAAAAAAAAAAAGAAAATGCGCGTGAGGAGGCTCCTAGACTGGGCTGAACCGGGAGGCGAAAGTCCGGGGTGCTCAGCCTTGGCCACCAGGCACCTTTGACATCCAATTGATCTTGCCTTTCCTTTTGTGGCAGTAAATGTTGAAAATGCTGATTTGCAAAAATTTCCATTTGCGATAGACTTAGAGCTTTTAGAATTTGATTTGCCAGGCAGGAGTCTATTTTAATCTAGGAGCTAGAGAGTTCTCTGAGTTCAGCATGGGTCCAGTTGTTTTCTTTGTTCTTATGTCAGTAAGGGCATCACTGATAAGTTCTTCTCACTGACACCCTGCCAGAAATCAACAGCTTAGAAACACACACTTCAGTATGATGCCATCTCAGCAAACTGACCATCACAGGAGCTTGCAGAGTTTCTGGGTATCTGCAGATTTCTTTTCTTTTTTCTTCTATTTTTGAAATTTTAACAAAATCTTTTATTTTGGGATGGTTGTAGATTCACACGCAATTTTAAGATATAATACTGAGAGGTCCTGTGTGTTCATTACCCTGTTTCTCTCAATGGTAACATCTTACAAAACTGTAATATGGATCACAACCAGGACATGGATGTTGATGGAGCCGAGACACAGAAGAGTTTCATCTCCACAGGATGCAGCTCCAGACACTGTGATGCAGCCAGGCCCATCCGCTCATTCCCACCCCTCCTCAGCCCCTGGCAATCAATAACCTAGAATTTTAGCATTTTAAGTATAAGTGGAATCATACCATATGTAGCCTCTGGGGACTGGCTTTTTTTCCCCTGAGCATTATTCCCTGAAGATCCATTGAGGTCGTTGTATGTATCAATAATTTTTTCCTGGGCCAAGTGCCATAGCTTATGTCTAGAATCTCAGCACAGTGGGAAGCTGAGGTGGGAGGATCCATTGAGGCCAAGACTTTGAGAACAGCCTGGGTAACATAGCGAGACCCTGTCTGTATGAAACATTGTTTTAAAAAATTAGCTGGGCATGGTGGCACACATTGCCCTACTCCTAGATATTTGGCAGGCTGAAGCAGGAGGACCCCTTGAGCCCAGGAGTTCAAGGTTACCGTGAGATATGGTTGTGCCACTGCACTCCAGCCTGGATGACAGAGCAAGACCTCATCTCAAAAAAAAAAAAAATCACACAAATTTATTCCTTTGCATTGCTGCATAGTATTCCATGATATGGATTTACCACGGTGAGTTTAACCACACATCCATTGAAGGACATTTGAGTGGTTTCAGTTGAGGGCCATTACTAGTGAAGTTATTGTGGCTATTCATGTACAGGGTTTTATGTGAACATAATTTTCACCTCTCTGGGATGAATGTCCGAGGGTGCACTGTATCATACAGCAATTAAATGTGTAGTTATGTTTTGTTTAAGAAGCTGCTGAGCAGTCTATTGTATTTGCTTTGTTCTTGCTGACCACACTATCTTCTTTCCTAGTGTCCCAAGGTTCCTTCTTCTATTGCTTACTGTTTGTCTTTAACCATTATTTTGAAGGTTTTAACCATTCCTTTAGCCATTATTTTGAAGGAATCTATTGGCAATACTTTCTCTTAGTTTTCTATCATCTTCGAACGCTCTAATTTTCTCTTCATTCCTGAAGGATATATTTTGCTGGGTATAGGATGCTGGGTTGATGTTTCTTTCCATTCAGTGCTTGAAAACTGTCCAACCATTTCCTTAGGGCCTTATGGCTTCTGATGAAGACTCTGCTAATTTTTGTATTTTTAGTAGAGATGGGGTTTTACCGTGTTGGCCAGGCTGGTCTTGAACTCCTGACCTCAGGTGATCCACCTGCCTCTGCCTCTCAGAATGCTGGGATTACAGGTGTGAGCCACCGTGTCTGGCTCTCTTGCTGCTTTTAAAATATTTTTGTTGTCTCTAGTCTTTACACATTTACTATGATATGTGCTTTTCATAAGTTTAACTATGATGTGTCTTAATGTGGATTTCTTTCCATTTATCCCGTTTAAGATTCGCTCAGCTTCTTGAGTCTATAGTTTTGTCCTTTGCCAAATTTGGGAAGTGTTCAGACACTCTTTCTTTGTGTACTTTCCCCACTCACCCTCTCCCTTCTTCTCTTCCAGGACTGTTGACACAAATGGTAGAACTTTTCTTATTGTCCTACAGGCCCTGAAGCTCTGTTCATTTTGTGTGTGTGTGTGTGTGTATTTTCTGACTATAATTTAGATTGAGTAATTTTATTGTTCTACATCCCTGAAGCTCTGTTCATATTTTTGGTCTATTTTCTGACTATTATTTAAATTGGCTAATTTTATTGTTCTATATTCAAGTGGCAAACAGTCTTCCAGGTGCAGTATCATCTGATGATTCCCTCTGCCCCCCATTCTGTAGTTTAGTGTTTCATTTTGTTATTGTATGTTTTAGCCCTAACATTTCTTTTTGTTTCCTCTATAAATCTGCCATTTATTTCCTGCAACTTTCTGGGTTGTTTTTTTTTTTTTTTTTTTTTTTCATTTGCTTAAATCTGTCCACAATTGCATAAATGGAAACACATTTATGAGTGATGGCTGACTTAAAATCTTTGTCAGATAATTCTAACATCACTGTCATCTCAATTTCAACATCTACTGATTTTGTGTTTTAATTTGCTTTGAAATATTCTGCTTTCCTCCTATGAGTGATTTTTCTATTGCAATCTGGTCATTCGGGGGTATTATGAGATTCTGTGTATAATCTGAATCTTCTGTTTTGGCTGATTTTAGCTGGCATCCCTCCAGCAGGTGAAGGAGAAGACACTTTGGTACTGTTCAGTGAGGGTATAATCCATCTTTCCACTTGAGCTCCATCAATACACACAGGGGGGCCTTTATTACAGCATAGGTGAGGATAGCAATCCTGGCTCCTCATTGGGGTGCCCATTGATACCCCGATGCCTGGGAGAGGCAGGACATTCCTCCTTACTGGCCGCATGTGACCTCCACAGACAATACAGGACATGGGGGTGGCCTGGTCATCTCCGGGCAACAGCAAAAGTCTTTATTCTCCATTAGTCCTCCACGGATACTACGCAGTGCTGGAGGGCAGGGAGTGTCACCCTCCTGCTGCTGGGGAGGGTGGTGGAAGTCCAGCCATGGTCTCCCCTGACAGCACTCCTGGGTGAGGAAGGCGATATTACCTATATCTGCCGGAGACGAAAGTCCCCGGTCTCAGCTTAGCCTTCTCTGACACCATCACAGTGGGAGGCTGGGGTGCCTCGCAGCAGCCTGGTAAGGGTGAAGGGTGGACCCCTCACCTGACCCTGCATAGGAAGGATCGAGGTGGTTCCTGGGTCTTGGTCAGCTGCTTTTTCCTGATCCTTTGGTGCAAAAGAGCAAGCTCCGGCTGAGGAGTTGTTTTCTGTCCTGCTGGCACTTCCAGGTTGCTGGCTTCTCCAGTTCCCCATCTGGGAGGTGTGAGGCAGAAAGAAAGCACAGGGAATGTACGTCCGTGTTGCTCCCCAGGTCCCAAAGCCTGCAGGTCACCTGCCTTCTTCTCGCTGCTTTCCTTCTGTCTGTAATACAATAAGTGCAGGCTTCTGCTTGTACTCAGTGGCATGAACAGGGAAAAGTAGACTACTTCATCTCTCTGTAAGCGGGAGTCCCAGAGTCCTTCTTAAAGAGGATGTTCAGAATTTGTCCCTGGACTTTTGCCTGAGGAAGCACATTAGAGGCAGCCCTGGACTTTCTGGGGCAGGATGAGCCTCTTCCACAGAGGGCGTCTCAGTCACGCCAGCGTGGAATGGTGCAGTCTGTGAGCACATTGCTTAGCTCACCTGATGCCATCAAATTCACCAGGTGACTCACCCGATACCAGAAAATTCACCAGACGACCCATCTGATGCTGGCGAATTCACCAGGCGACTCACCCAATGCCAGAGAATTCACCAGGCGACCTACCTGATGCCAGGAAATTCACCAGATGACCCACTCATGCCGGCAAATTCACCAGGTGACTCACCCGATACCAGAAAATTCACCAGACGACCCACCTGATGCCAGGAAATTCAGCAGGAGAGCCAGGCCAGGACTTAACCTCTTCCCTGTCAAATTGTTCCCAGAACAAGTTCCTCTTTTTTTTCCCCAACGTGAAGTTCATGTATGAAGTTCAAGCAAACACTTAAGAACTTACTCACTAAAAAGCAAGAGAATTTCTGTGGAGAAAAATCTTATATTCCACTTTCATTTCATGACAAAAATCTGTTGAAAGGCAGTAATTCAAGACTGTCTCTCATGAATTTGATAAATTCCACAGTCAGAGACGAGACGTTTTCCAGGTTATTGACGACAGTCTGAGCATAATCTGATAGCAAATGCAAGGAAATATGATGGCTGGTAGGTCTTCTTTTTACACCAAAGCAGCGAAGCCATATGGGTTGCCAGACGAGGAAGCGTGGGCTCTGCGTATCGAATACTAATATTCTTTTATAGTCAAAGTTATTCTCAGAAAAGAAACTTTCCACAATTATAAAGCTGTGGACTGCCTTTGAAGTTTAAAAAAGAAGGAAGAGAAGGACAGCAAGCTTATGAGCTTATGGATTCCATGATGGCGGAAGGGAACTTGGCGGGAAGCAGGTGCTGGCTGCATGAAGAGATACCAGGAGAGTCACCTGGTTGCATGACCTGCTTGCACAAGCATGTGAAATGTCAGTGATTCTAGAAAACACTGCCTCACTTAAGAGAGGAATACTTCCCTTACCCAGCTCCTGTCGAAGCCGTGAGTCCAGAGCTTCCTCCTAAGACCCCAGGTTTTGCAACGTTTTCCTGCTTTTAGGTGGCTGCTTTGACTTGGCTTGAGATGCTCAGCCCTGCAGGATGTTTCCAGACAAGAATTTTGCCAGGAACTTAATCTGAATTTTCTTTAAGTTATAGGGTTTTCAAAAAAAGCAATATTCCTGGAACAGGGCCATATTCCCCAATGGATTTATGCAGATTCATGGAAGAAAATTGCTGCTTGATGTGTCGATAGTCAGCAACCTTAACCAAAGCACTGTGCCCTTTTGACCACCATTACACAAGGGATAGGAGTAAATTCAACAAACACTTTCACTTGTGTTATCCTCTCTTTGTTCACTTCAATTATGTTACAAGAAATGTCAAAGAAAAACATCAATAACAGCAAAAATAATTTTTTAAAATTCCTATCACTGATCATAAAGTTTATAGAGGCTATAACATGACAACAATAATTGTTATTTTACCCAATTCTGTACTGTACCATCCCATGCATGGAGAAGATACCATACATTAATGAGATTATTTGACATTGCATTCTGTAAAACTTACAGATAAGTGTGTATACCCCTAGGAGACCTCAGGAAAAAAACCTCCTGTTTTCCTGTTTTGAATGATATTCATACACCAAGAAAAACATCCTTTGAAATGGAACTCAAGTAAACTGGAGCCTCGAGAAGGTGACATTTATTTTCTCTCAGAAGCAAACATTGTAAACAGAGAGAGGCTGTGTCACAGAAGCTGGAAAATCTAGTGTTTTGTACTGAAAATTATTTGACTGAAGCCTTAGGACAAATATAAAGGATATTCAGGAGGAAATTTGAAAGACAGTTCACATGTTAATTATAATCATCAAAACACATAAAGTTTAGAACTTCCTAACTTGCCAGAAAGACTCCAGGTTATAGAGTATTTTTGATCCAACTTTCCATCTAACAGGAAAAATAAGACTCTAAACTGCAGTCGTTCTGAGAGGAAAGAACCCTGCGGGTGTCCTACACCAATTCTTTCTTCCTTTGCTTTTCTCGTAATGTGATCACAGTGAAATGAAGTAATAATAGGAACCATTTGACTCATAACCTCACCAGATATTTATGGGAGCACAATCTTATTTATCTGTAGTTGTGATGTTTATTTGCTAGATGTTTATTTACAACGTGGGGGAGAAATGTTTTTAGACTCAAAAATATATTCATTATTAGAATTTTCTATACAAGACTTTTGTTGTACACACATGTATGTCTGAATTACAACTTTTCCTTATTTTTATTTGCATAAAGGGGTGCAACATTATCTTCTGTTACTTAGGGGAACTACATTCTCTTAAAGACTTTGGGAATATTACTGTTAATAATAAACACTAAAATGTGCATACCTGTGTGTAAGTTTTATTTCATGAATTTAGAGAGAACTGAGAACTTAATAATTTGCGATTTACTAGTGTTGGTGAGAACGTCAAACTCTGTAAAATATTTAAAGAGTTTTATTCTCAGCCAATGATGAATGACCGTGGCCCAGGGTATAGTCTCAAGAGGTCCTGGGAATGTGTACCCAAGGTGGTTAGGTTACAACTTGGTTTTATACATTTTAGGCAGAAGGAAGTTACAAAGACATCAATCACTACATGCAAGGTGTACTTTGATTTGGCCCAGAAAGGAGGGATATCTAGAAGAGGGAGGGACTTTGAGGTCCTAGGTGGATTCATAGATTTTCTTACTAGCAGTTGGTTGAAAGAAGTAAGCTTTGTATAAAGACTTAAGAAGTCAGTAGAAAGAAATGCTTGAGTTAAAATAAGGGAGGTTGTGGAAGCCAAGATTCTCATTATGTAGATGATGCCTCTAAGTGGCAGGCTTCAGAGAGAATGGATGGGGAATGTCTCAGACACTAAAAGGTATCAGACTCTTAGTTCCATCTCTCCTGGACCTGGAGAAGACCTAGAAAGGGAAGGGGATTCTTTACAGATGAAAATTTCCCACAAGAGATGGCTCTGCAGGGCCATTTCAAATGCCAAAGAAATAGATTTGGGGATAAAATATTTTGATTTCCTTGGGAGCCTGCTATCTGTCACGTGATGCTATAGTCAGGTTGAAATTTGGTATCTTATTGTCACAGAGACTCTGTCAGTCTTATGCTCTCTACTTTAAAGTTAATCCTGGTCAGCTGTGCCTAAGCTCCAGAGGAAGTGGGTATTAACGAGGCCTGTCCACCTCCCTTCCCATCATGGCCAGGAATTTGGTTTTTCAGATTTCTTGGGTCCTGTTAGATGTAGACACTGAAACCCTCCTCACAGGTTAACGAAAATTGCATTCTGGGTTCTAGACAGAAATAATTAAGCATTAATTATACTGCACCTTGGCCCACTCCCTTGTAGCTGTTTACTAACCAAAAGTCCTGTGGCACTGGGTCCTGGCCTTTTCCATCCCACTGTTTCTATAGACAGGACTCCTGACCTTAGAATCCTAAGGCTTTTGTTTCAGACTTGATTTGCAGCTCCGTTGTTCCTGTAGATAGGATTTCTGACCTCAGACGAATTGCTGAAGACGTTTTCCAGGTCCTGAGTTACAGCAGAAAATGCTGACACCAGGCAGTTTGAAGACCCCCACAGAGAAACCAAATCAGCAGGACACTGCAGTTCACTCACCACCTTCCACAACTTCACCCTGCACTCTTTGACCCATCAGCCATCTCCAATCTTGGCCCAGTATTTTATTATTATTCTTTTTTGGACAGGGTTTTAGTCTTGTCACCCAGGCCAGAATGCAGTGATGCAATCTCAGCTCACTGCAACTTCCGTCTCATGGGCTCAAGCGATTCTCCTGCCTCAGCTTCTCAAGTAACTGGGACTACAGGTTTGTACCACTACATCAGGCTACTTTTTCATATTTGTTGTAGAGACCAGGTTTTGCATTGTAGCCAAGCCTGGTCTCAAACTCCTAGGCTCAAGCAATCTACCCTCCTCGACCTTGCAAAGTACTGGGATTACAGGTGTAAGCCACTGGGCCCAGCCAAACCTTAGCCCAGTACTTGTCCAAACCCCTTAAAATCCCTAGCCCCAAACTCCTTGGGGAGGTGGATTTGAGGTTTCCTCCTGTCTCCTCCTCCGGCTGCCTTATGATTCAGCCTCTTTCTCCACTGCAACCTGGAGTCTCCGTGTATTGACTTGCTGCACATTCGGCAAGAAACCTATTGCAGTTTCAACACCTTTGTTATTTATGATTGGACCACTGAGTGGCTCAGATGGTCTTGGGATGGGGACTGGCAAAGGTGGAAAGGCCAGCATGTGATGATAGGGTTGGAGCTTTAAGCGAAGGTATCTCAGCCTGGCTTTCAAAAAAGAGACAGGAACTGATGATTGAGTTCAATTAGTCATGGCTGGATTGAGCTCAGTTAATGATTAATTAATGATTCAACTAATCACACTTGTGTAATGGAACCCCAATACAAACTCTGAACGTTGAGGCTCAGGGGAGTTTCCTGGTTGTTGAACTCATCAATGGGCTGGGAGGGGCCACATCCTGATTCCACCGGGAGAGGACACAGAAGCCCCATGCCTGGGACCTTCTCAGCCCTCACCCTATGCACCTTTTCATCCGGCTGGTCCTGGCTTGTATTCTTTCATGTTAAGCTGTAACCATAAGCACAGTACTTACCTGAGTTCTGTGAGTCATTCTGGGGAATTATCATGCCTTAGAAGGTCATGGGAAGCCTCCAGTTTTAGCCAGTTGGTTAGAAGTGTGGGTGGCCTGAGGACCCCTGAACTTGCAGCTGGCATGCCCTTGACCTGCAGGGATCTGTACTAACTCTGGCAGCCAGTGCCAGGACAGTCCTGCAGAATTGCACAAACAGGCTTTTGCTATTTTTGTCTCTAATGACACAGCCATGTGGGTTCTATGTGCTCAATGGTGACTAAAATGTTGGGTCCAGATGTTATCTCCAGCAGCTTGTGCCTAAACAGTAAATGCTTATAGGCACCACCATGCCACGCCCTGTATACATCATTCATTCAGACTCAGTAATTAATGATGTGGATCCACCAGAGTCCTCGGAGCCCCTGGGAGGGACAGGTGTCTGTGTTTAAAAGACATACGAGATAGATAGTAGGAGGGGGTGTGACTACTCCTTCAGATATATTTTTTCCTTTTTTTCTTCTCTTCACAAAACCCACACAAGCACCTCACTGACGCTCTACCACTGACCCCAAGTTTTTAGTTGCACAAAGAAAACAATAGTTCTTCCGTGCTCTAACAATGCTTCGCCATACCTTTTACTGAATAGATTCCAGAAACTGGCCTGAGGAAATCCAAACTTCGAACCAAGGTTGTGTAGTGTCCCACCTTGGGAAGAAATGCAGCGTGATTGATTCACAGCCTTGTTGCTGCCAGACAGATGGCCAAGTGACCCATGACTCAAGAAAACCACAGTGACCAGATATGCTGACCCGCATGCCCTACCCCCAGGGACTCTCCCCAGTCCAGCTGTGTACCCTACTCCTGATGTCAATTCCCACGCTTTGCCTAATTAAAAAAAAAAACCCACTGACTCTTTTTGTGGAACCAGCTGGAGTATTCTTGCACCTCCACTGTCTCCCTTGCATTCAAGCACAAGCCTCCAAATAAAAGCCTTGTCTGGGAAAACTGCTTGGCCCTGCATTAGTTTCCAGGCCATGGAACCCGAGACCCTGTGGTCTGGAACACATGGAGAATGAGGCAACAGACAGAGGTGAGATGTAGGGTTCTGTCAGCATGCTTCAAGACCTTGTCAGCATGATGTCACGTGAATTCCTTCATGAGAAGACAGCAAGATAAATTGTGGGGGTGGAATAGGAGGAGAGAAAGGTCAGGGAGTGGGGTGAGGGCAGACATGGAAATGATGACGTTGGTGGAGAATGAGACCAGCAGGTGGAAAGGATGACTGGGGTTGGGGAGGAGCAGAGGAATGTGAGGGTGGTCAGGGCACAGGAGGACTGATGAGTTCTGGAGTCCCTGGCCTCAGGGGGCTTCCTGTCATGTCCACAAACCAAGAACGTGGGAGAACCATGTCCTTGTCTTGCCCCGTAGGCTTTGGGAGCACTCATTTGAGGATTTCCCATGAGGTAAGCTCCATGACACGTCAGCTCCATGACACGTCAGCTCCCTGACACATCAGCTCCATGAAGGAAGAACTAGTATTTGTCACGTGCGTCCATGTGAAGAGACCACCAGACAGGCTTTGTGTGAGCAATAAAACTTTTTAATCACCTGGGTGCAGGCGGGCTGAGTCCGAAAAGGTAGTCAGCAAAGGGAGAGAGGGGTGGGGCAGGAACAAATCATAATGGTAGAATGTCATCTTTTGTGGTTCTTCAGTTGCTCCAGGCCATCTGGATGTATACGTGCAGGTCACAGGGGTTATGATGGCTTAGCTTGGGCTCAGAGGCCTGACAGTATCATATTCTTTTTATGGGTGAGGAAACCCAACCTGGGAATGTGAAATTTCTCTCTCCAGGCCCCCCCATTTGTTAGGTGGGGAAGGATTTGGTCCATATGGTGTGACTCCACAACCCACTGTCTTCTCCACCAAAGAAGCAAGAATGCGTCATTGCAAAGTCTTGAGCAGATGACTGTGGAGAGCAATTTCTCAGACCTGTGAGGCTACTGAGCCCTTGCAATGGGGCAAGTTGAAACTGCAATTTGCTATAAGTTTGAAATGCACCCTGGATTCACAAGACTTAGTATAAAAAAAGTAAACTGTTTTATTACTAATTTTTATATTGATGATATGTTGGAATAAAAATATTTTGGATCTACTGAGTTAAATAAAATGTTACTGAAATTAATATCACCTGCTTCTTATTGCATTTTTAAAATGTGGCTGTTGGAAAATATTTTTAAACATTATTTATGTGGCTTGCATTATGACATCACAAATAAAATTGAATTGTATTTCTATTGCTTAAGTTCTACTGACCAGTAAAGTGCTGCTTTGAAGAATCAGACTAGGAGATGGTTTGGGAGAAGAACCAGACAAGGCCTGGAGAGGAGGACCAGGCACCCAGACAGCACAAGGCACCCCCGCTGGGGTCTCTTAGACTGAGTTACCCAAGCACAAGGAATGAGTAATTGAAAAATATTGTCATTGGCCCCAATCAGCGCTTCCTCTGTTCCCTGCTGGGCCCATTGGAGTGTGCCCCTCCTGGTGACAGTGCTGTGGAGTAGCTCTGCAGGGTGCAGTGGGAGGAGGGGCTGGCTCATTACCGGTTTTGTGATGCTAAAGAGATTCCAGCACTGACTGCACCTGTTGGGAGGGAGTAGGGGTGAGCGGAAACACTTCTCATCAGCTCATTGAGCAAGGAGGCAGTGTTTCCAACAGAGCAAGCTAATTTACCTTTTAACTTAAAGGGTTCTTGCTTTTCTGTAAGTAGAAATGAGTCTTCACTTTTGAGCAGAGGTTGGCAGGGAGCCCACAGCCTTCATTATATCCCAACTGGCATTGTATCCAATATCATCGCCAATGTCCACAATGTAATTGGGGATATTTTGATTTGCTCTTTGCCGGAGACTGGGATCAGCTCCAAGACGTTGTACACGTAGGTGTCGGGTCCCTACAGGCTGGGCTTGCCCATTTATGTTGAGCCTCAATCATCTGTGACTCCAAAGTTGCAGACCACCCTGGTGCTCAGGGGTTCTTGTGGGTAGGCGGGCCAACAGCTATTGCCCGGCTGTCAGCAATGCCCTTAGCCTCCCGCAGTGCTCCCGGCGCTGTCCTCCACTGCTGGGACTGAAATTGGAAGAAGGTTGAGAGTCTGTGACTTGGGAGTTGACAGCATCTCCCAGGTGCTGTGGACTCGCATTTGGCGTTTACTTTCTGCTTTTCAATGCAGTTGTTCTCATGTCTCTCTCACCAGTGATGCTCCTTCAGGACACAGAGGGTCCTGGCTCTCTCTGTGTCCCTAAGCATCTCCTACACCTGCCAGGATGGCACCCTGCAGGGACGAGGTTATAAACAGAGTCCAGCCAGATCCAGGGCCCTTGGTTCTGCTGTCCTGGCTTTCTTACCTAATAACCGACAGCCTCATCTGTGTGCTCTGCCCACTACACCTGTAGGTCCTGCCCACCGCATGTGAGCCACATTCCCCAAGCTATTACCTGTAAGATCAGATAATAAAATGTGTGTAAAGCACATCACAGTGATTTTAAGGTGGGGCCTCCCCAGGGTGAGAAAGTGCTGGCATCCAACGGCTTAGCTGATGCCTGCAGCGGTGTGTGAAGTCCACACGTCAAGACTAGGTCTGTTCTCTCCACTTCATCTCCAGCATCTACAGGAGTCTTTTTGTTGAATGAAGGAGACACTGATAAAGGCCAGAGGTATCCAGAGGGAAATAATCTGTACACAAACGTCTTGCCCTAGAGAGGAGGGTCCCTCACTATCGACACCACCGCTCGGACAGTCCTGTCCTCCAGGTCCTCCCTGCCCCCAGTTCAAGTGAGGCACCTACCATCGTGTAGGTTGAACTAAACCTCTAGGATTCAAGACAACACCCATTGAATTTACGTTTTGTTTTCTCCAGACACACCGTAAAGGGTAGATCTTGTGCCTGGTTGTTGATAAAGTAACATGCTGATTGATAAAATAATATGCAGGCTCCTCGCTGCTCCCTCTTCCCTAATAAATGGGTGTGCAGGATGAATCTCGCAATCATAGCATTATGCACAAGAAGAAGGCGGTGAGGAGCACCTGGAGGCAGCTGAGTGGCTTGAGTGGACTTGTTCTGAGTCTTTACAGCTCTAGTAAATGACTCGGGCATGGGCCCTGCAGCAGCACAATTGTAATGGCCCAGCAGGTACTTCCTGCCCACTGCACAGGAAAAGTCAATCAACCAAGAAGGCGGCATTGCAGGAGAGTGTAATTGATGCCAGGCCAGCCCATGTGGGAGAACTGGTGTTATCACCCAAATCAGTCTCCCAGCAGGCTCACAGGTTTGGGTTCTATGAACAATTTTTTGGGCAGGGGGCTAGGGAAGGGGTGCTGCTGATTGATTAGAGATGAAACAATGGGGTGAGAAAAAAAGTCTTCATGTGCTGAGTCCACCCTTGGGTGGGACCACAGGATCAGCTAAGTCATGAGTCCAGGTAGGGTCAAGTCTGAAAAGCAACTCTGGAAAAAAAACAATCTTAGGTTCTAAAAGCGTGAAGTTATGTATGGAGCAGTGGGGAGAGTCATGAAGCTTGTGGCTTCTGTCCACATGGCCCCTGAGCAGTAAGGGATTATAGACACTATGCACAGCTTATCAGAATTCACACCCTTCTCATCATCCCAACCTCGTGGCCTTTCATTAGTTTTACAAAAGCAATTTAGGGTTGGGAAGGGCTATTATCATCTTTGCTTTAAGGTTTAACTAAACTAAATTCCTGCCAAAGTTAGCCTGACCTACACTGAGGAAGGACCAAAGACAGCTTGTAGGTCAGAAGCAAGATGGACTCAACTCTGTCACATTTCTCTTGCTGTCATCATTTTGCAAATGTGTTTTCACAATCCCTACTTGGTTGTAATAAACTATGTCTTCTATGGTTTTCTTCTCCAGAATTCTCCCTGGCCCTCCTGCTCACCCAGAAGAGGCTTTTTGTCAGTGAGGCTGCTGTGCATTGGGAAAGGGTCAGACTCGGCACCCAGGACACAGGGAGGGCTGCCACACTGTGACCTTCTGCCCCAGCCGAGGGATGATCCAGCCTCAGGGGGAAAAGGCAGCCTTCTGGGGGTGCATCCTGGAAGCCCATCCTGCCCTGGAACATGGGTCCCTTCCAGGTGTGACATCCCAGGTGTGCTCTGCCTGTCTCCTACCTTCTCCTTCTTCCCCAGGAGACCCCAGGAATCAGAGTGAGGATGTATCCCCATGAGGGCAGGGGCTGGCTGTGCTTTAAGGGTTCAAGGCGTCAGCCAGAAAGTGCGGGAAGAAAGAGGAGAGAAGCAATTGAGGGACGGTTTGTTATTTAGAGGACTGTGTATGTGTGTGTGCGTGCATGTGTGTGCATGTGTGTGTCTGTGCGTGTGTGGACTGTGTGTGTGTGGACTGTGTGTGTGCGTGCGTGTGTGCATATGTGTGTCTGTGCATGTGTGGACTGTGTGTGTGCATGTGTGCGTGTGTGGACTGTGTGTGTGCATGTGTGAGTGCGTGTGTGTGGCCTGTGTGTGTGTGCGTGTGTGTGTGTGTGTGTGTGTAAGGGGCTTTTGAGACAGCTTCCCATGGTTCAGGACCATAGGAAGATTAATGTGGGAACTGGGGGACAATTTTGCTATTTGGTACATAATGGGACTTCTCTTCACAGGCCCCGAGGAAAGCTGTCAATGAATATTTATTTTACACTGTAAGGCGTTTGGAGTCAAATTCATTTCTCTTGGATGTGTAACCAGGCTGGGACGGGACTTAAAGCAAATAGGGAAAGAATACAGATTTATCTGGATTTCATGATGTTTTGAGACGAATCTATGACTGATCTTGGTGTTTAATAGCAAACTATTGAATAAGTAAAAAAACATTATGAAGAACCTATGGCCCTTTCCATCATTTTATGAGATTCCTAATTAATTTAAGATACACTGAACGCTTCAAGTGTGTGTCTTCTGTTTGCATTTAGGCAACATGGAGGTGGGGGATGCAGCTCCTTGGCCGCCGTTCACCACTAGAGTCTGCACCTGCCAGGCACACAGCAGACACAGGTATGCTTGTTAAAGAATAGAGAATTTGCTTTATTTTCCTAGGCACATGTTATAAATTCTCCCTGTTTCCCTTATTTAACAGTGGTTTCTATAGAATTTTTTCTCATGGAGAAAGTTCTCATCTATAAGCTGAACTTCCAGAATGCCAGAGTGAGATGCTGAAGGATGGGAAGTCCAAAGGAGAGTCCTCCTCCCTCCACCCTCCTCCCTTCCTCCTTTCCTCCTCCCCCTCTCCCTCCTTTCCTCCTCCCTCTCCCCTACTCTGCTTCCTTCTTTCCTTCTTAACCTTTCTTCCTCCCTTCCTTCCTCCCTTCCTCCTTTCTTCTCCCTTTCTCTCCCTCTCTGTCTCCCTCATGAGATGCCAAGAGAAGGAGGTGATGCCCTTTCCTTTCCTGTTGGATACTGTTAGGCAAGGCTGCCAAAGGCTAATAGCCCCCTCTGAGCTGGAATACACCATGACCAAGAAGCAGGTGAACCCACCTACCTCCTCCAAGCAAGTGCCCTGACATGCTCTGGACCCTGGCAGGCTCCCTTGGGCAACTTGAGGGTCCTCAACCACCAGGAGAGGGGCATATCATATCCACCCATCATGGGGGCTGAGGGTTGCAGTAAAGGCCTTTCCTGGAATCTCGTTTCTTGATGTGGCTCCAAGAACTTCAGGGGTCCCCAGCACGTGGCCTCGGGCCGGGCTCCCAGAGAGTTATCTGTAGATGGTGGCTATCCCCCTCCCGATCCTCTGAGCTCTTTCCCACGGTTATAATAAAGGTGGTCTCAGGGATCGGTGGCCAAATGGAGTTCAGCTACTCCCACACAAGTGCTCTGACACCATGAAGAAGAGAAAGGGAATTGTGCGCTCCTGTTGCCATGGTGACAAGTGGAGAGAGACAGATAGAGAGATGGGGTGAGAGAGAGAGAGACTAAGAGAGAGAGAAAATCAGAGGGAGAGGATCTTGTTGCCCCTTTCTGCTGTCCTGTGAAACCTGGTGGTGCCTGTGGCTTCCTGGGCATGATTAAGGTGTGCAGCCCCTTCCCAACCACTCAATGTCCCTTCCCCATATCGTGAGACATCCATCCCCCGCAGAAGACATGGACACTCAGGGGGCCATGCCAGCATCTTCCTGCAGAAGTGAGAACGTGGGATCTCCAGGTTCTGGGAAGGACTCAGCAGGGCCCCCGCAAGTCTCCTCAGGAGGGCTTCCAGTGCTCCCCAGAAGTGAGGGCTTCTAGTGCTCCCCAGGACTGAGGGCTTCCAGTGCTCCCCAGGAGGGCTTCCAGTACTCCCCAGGAGTGAGGTCTTCCAGTGCTCCCCAGGAGTGAGGGCTTCCAGCGCTCCCCAGGACTGAGGGCTTCCAGCGCTCCCCAGGACTGAGGGCTTCCAGCGCTATCCAGGAGTGAGGGCTTCCAGTGCTCCCCAGGAGTGAGGGCTTCCAGAGCTCTCCAGGAGTAAAGGCATCCAGTACTCCCCAGGAGGGCTTTGGTGCTCCCCAGGAGTGAGGGCTTCCAGCGCTCCCCAGGAGTGAAGGCATCTAGTGCTCCCCAGGAGGGCTTTGGTGCTCCCCAAGAGTAAGGGCTTCCAGAGCTCCCCAGGAGTGAAGGCATCTAGTGCTCCCCAGGAGGGCTTTGGTGCTCCCCAAGAGTAAGGGCTTCCAGAGCTCCCCAGGAGTGAAGGCATCCAGTGCTCCCCAGGAGGGCTTCCAGTGCCCCCCAGGGGTGAGGGCTTCCAGGGCTCCCCAGGGATGAGGGCTTCCAGGGCTCCCCAGGACTAAGGGCTTTCAGTGCTCCCCAGGAGTGAGGGAATCCACTGCTCCCCAGGAGTGAGGGCATCTAGTCCTCCCCAGGAAGGGTTTGACAATTCAGTCCCTCACAGCCCTGTTTCACTCATTTAAGGAAAGGCTCATATTTTATTGTTTTTCTTGACTCATTGTCATTTCTTAACACCCTGCTAATAGCTTCCCTTACAACTTCTGCTTTCAGGGAATCCACCAAGATGCAGGAGACGAGAGACATTTCCAGAACTACTGTGTTCCAGCCAACACTGATAAGGAGAAGATTGGGCTCTGTTCGTCTTGTGGTAGCCCCAGAGCTAGTGGAGGCAGAGAGAAAAGTGCAGGCAATCAAATGAGCCACTGGAGCCCTTGGTTGCCCCATACCCCACGTTACTCTCCATGGGCAGGTGCTGGTTGCCCCGTACCTCATGTTACTCTCCATGGGCAGGTGCTGCACCTGCAGCCTGACAAAGACACGGAGCCAAGAGGCTCAGAGCCCTCAGGGACAAGAGTCAGCAACCACCACGTGAGCCACCCAGCCCAGGAAGAGTGCCAGCTGGGGGCAGGGGATGCAACCTGGAGGATGGAGGCAGGCAAGGAGCAGCCGGCTGCCTGGGGTGGGCTGTGGCATGGGGGCTGCACTTCATCTGAACAGCCCTCCCTGGAGCTGTGCCTGGCAAGGGTCCCAGGGAAGCTGTGTCTGGACAGAGGATTTAACGTGAGGAGCAAGTGGACTGGAACAGTACAAGGCAAGGACTCAGTGGATGCTTCAGGTGCCGGCCCCATTCCTGGCTGGTGCACTCACACTACTGTGGCTGTGAGCATTCCCCAGAGTGAAGCCACTCTATCCCTAACCCCCACCACTCCCCATATGCTATCTTACCCCACCCCGATACCCTATCTTACCCCACCCCCCATACCCTATCTTACCCCGCCCCCCATACCCTATTTTACCCCACCCCGATACCCTATCTTACCCCACCCCGATACCCTATCTTACCCCACCCCGATACCCTATCTTACCCCACTCCCCATACCCTATCTTACCCCACCCCCCATACCCTATCTTACCCCACCCCGATACCCTATCTTACCCCACCCCCCATACCCTATCTTACCCCATCCCCGATACCCTATCTTACCGCACCCCGATACCCTATCTTACCCCACCCTGATACCCTATCTTACCCCACCCCCCATACCCTATCTTACCCCACCCCGATACCCTATCTTACCCCACCCCCATACCCTATCTTACCCCACCCCGATACCCTATCTTACCCCACTCCCCATACCCTATCTTACCCCACCCCCCATACCCTATCTTACCCCACCCCGATACCCTATCTTACCCCACCCCGATACCCTATCTTACCCCACTCCCCATACCCTATCTTACCCCACCCCCCATACCCTATCTTACCCCACCCCGATACCCTATCTTACCCCACCCCCCATACCCTATCTTACTCCCACCCCCGACACCCTATCTTACCCCACTCCCCATACCCTATCTTACCCCACTCCCGATACCCTATCTTACCCCACCCCCATACCCTATCTTACCCCACCCCCCATACCCTATCTTACCCCACCCCCCATACCCTATCTTACCCCACCCCCCATACCCTATCTTACCCCACTCCCCATACCCTATCTTACCCCACCCCCCATACCCTATCTTACCCCACTCCCGATACCCTATCTTACCCCACCCCCCATACCCTATCTTACCCCACCCCCCATACCCTATCTTACCCCACCCCCCATACCCTATCTTACCCCACCCCCGACACCCTATCTTACCCCACCCCCCATACCCTATCTTACCCCACCCCCCATACCCTATCTTACCCCGCCCCCCATACCCTATCTTACCCCACCCCCCATACCCTATCTTACTCCACTCCCCATACCCTATCTTACCCCGCCCCCCATACCCTATCTTATCCCACTCCCGACACCCTATCTTACCCCACTCCCGATACCCTATCTTACCCCACCCCCCATACCCTATCTTACCCCACCCCCAACACCCTATCTTTCTTCCCCATCTCTTGAGAGTGATCCTCACAATACATCAACTGATGCTTCCAGGGCTCCGGACTGAGGCCAGTTGCTTTGCAGAATCTGCAGACTCTAGGCTTTCAGGGGATGTGTTAGACTGCATCTTAAGGATTTGATGTTCTCCCATTTCAGTGCCTATACAAAGCTCTCCTGATGCCAAGAAAGGTGAACAGCTGAGCTATTAGCCTCCCAGCAGGATGAGTTCCACCGGCACTCCCAGCCTGCTCTTTCACACAGATGCGCTGCTGGGTCTAAAATTAGGAGCACGAGGGCTGATTATGGACCCTTGACACCATTAGCATTGATATGCAAAATTTATTTCCATCCAATCTGCAGAGCAATCCAAATTGCCCTGTGAAAGCAGGGCCTGAAGTCTTTGGATGTTGGCCAGGCTGAGCTGAAGTCCCCCAGGGCACAGTCCCCGAGCAGCTCTGCTATTTGCATAAATATTGGCATATGTCCACCCTCTTCCTGTTAGCCACAATTAACCACGCAGCACACTCAGCTCAGCATCTCTGGAGCTGCAACCTGATTTACAAAGAAAGCTCCCATTAGATCCCTTGAACATCTCCTGTAATTAGACCAAGGAGAGATGTGGTGGGGATTCCAGCAGCGGCCTCTTCTGAAAAGTCCACACGGTTTCCCCGTGGGTTTGCTGCTGAGAAATCCACTGGTGCCATTTCAGTCTGTCAAGCTTAACGCTGAACATACCCTTACACATTTCACGCTCTCACAAGTCGATGAAACACAGATGGACCCTGGAGTTTGGGAATGTTATATGTAAATGCTTGTTCCCTGGTGCCGCAAAGAAATAGCACTCAAACATAAATTGAATCGTCTCGGCAAGGCAATCTTTACTTTCTATGGAAAGGGTGCTAATCACAGATGGAATAATGGTCAGAGCACACCCGAACAAAGGAGGGAAGCAATCTTTATTCCTTATACACTTTGTCCCTGCTACTGGGTCCTGTCTCCATTGGCTGGAGTCAGACCACACAATTTAAACTAAAACCCGATTGGCTAACAGTTTAAAACTTTTCTAAATAGGTAAAAGTAAGGGAAAGACAAAGGAAAAGAGGAAGTTGCTTATGCCAAATAGGGAAGGGGCATAGGCCACGAGCTGGAGCGTGCCTGTGAGCATGTCCGGCACAAAAATCTTGGTGAAGGTACAAGGACATGGAACGTACTACGTGCCTGTCAGCATGTTTAACAGGTACATAGGATAGGGCCCAACAAAGAGTCACTAGCATAAAGTAAGGAAGCTTAAAGGAAGTTAGTCTTTAAAAGAAACTATTATTTCTAACACTTATGGCTTATTTTTTAACAAGGAGGGAAACTTTGAAGAGGAACTTTTTACTTTCTGCAGGGAACTTGGCCAGCTGTGAGGCCCCTGTGAGCTGTGGATGTTTGCTTCTTTCTTCACGGTTGGGACCGACTCCTGCCTTCTGCTGGGTTCTGCCGAGAATGCGTGAGAGAAGTTTCCTCCATTCCCTGTTGGGCTCATGAATGTGGACTCTGGGACTGAAAGGTTGTGACCTGTATTAGTCTGTTCTCACATTGCTGTAAAGAAATGACTGAGGCTGTGTTATTGATAAAGAAAAGAGGTTTCATTGGTTATGTTTCCACAGGCTGCATGGTTCCTCCCTGAGTGGCTGGGAAGGCCTCCAGGAGCTTTCACTTACGGTGCAAGAGGAAGGGGAAGCAGGCACATTGACATGGGGAGAACAGGAGGAAGAGGAGTGGGAGCGACCACACACATTTAAACAACCAGATCTCATGAGAACTCACTCACCGGAACAGCGCGAGGGGAATTGTACTAAACCATTAGAAACTGCCCCAGGATCCAGTCATCTCCAGGTCCCACCTCCAGCACTGGGAATTAAAATTGAAGATGAGATTCACGTGGGGACACAGATTCAAACCCTATCATGATGAATCCGTGTATACCAAGCACCTCATTGGCTAGGATGGGGCCTCTCTTGCTATGCACAACACTCAAGTGAGAGAAAACCCTAATATTGTCTTAAATAATATGGACACTCATTGACCTAACAGGAGGCCTAGAGGTATCAGGTCTCAAGCTTGGTTTTGTGGCTCTTCTTTACTCCACTGTTCTTGTCATGTTGTTCCTCATTCTGAAGCATTTTACTTCCTGATCCTAAAAGAGTTGCCACTGCTCCTGGTATCACATCATCACAGCAACATCCAGAACTGGGAGAGAATGGAGAAGCAGCACAGGCCCACCTTATAGCGTCTTGTAGCAATTCTCTAATATACCAGGGAGGTGAATCTTCCTGAAGAGCAGCTAGTACCTAAAGAATACCTTGTGTATTATTTATACAAAAGTGAACTCAAAATGGATCAAAGATCAAAATGCAAAATGTAAAACTGTAACACTTTTAGAAGAAAATGTCAGAAAAAGCCTTGACTTATTGCTAGACAAAAAATTATTAGATATGATACCAAGACACAATCCATAAAAATAATATTGATAAATTGGACTTTATATTAAAATTAAAAATGTCTGCTCTGTGAAGGATCTTGTTAAGATAATGAAAACATGAGACACATACTGGAGAAATATTTTCAAGCCACACACCTGATAGGACCTAAATCTAAAATCTGTAAGAACTCTGAACACAACAATACAAAATCAAACCATCCAATTAGCAAATTGGCAAAAGATGTGAACAAACACTTCACTAAGATTCATGGGTGCCTCTTTCTTTAGAGAACTGAGTGGCGAAGAAGCACCTGAAAGATATTTACCATCCTTAAACATTAGGAGTATGCAAATTAGATCTAAAGTGAAGTAATACTACACACCTATCGGAATAGGTAAAAGAAAAAATACTTGACAATACCAAGTGCTATAAAGCATATGCAACAGCTGGAATCTCACACATTGCTGGTGGGAATGTAAAGGGTACATCCATTCTGCACCATGATTTGTCAGTTTCTTACACAGTTACGCATATATTTACCCTATGACCCGGCAATGACACGCCTGGATATTTACTTTAGAGAAAAGAAAACTGATGATCATATAAAAACTGGTGCTCAAATGTTCATAGCAGCTTTATTTGTAATTGCTGTAAACTGAAAACTACCCACATGTTTTTCAAGAGTGAAATGGATAAACTGTGGAAGATCCATGCAATGAACAGCAGCTACTCAGCCATCAAAGGGAATAGAGGCCGGGCACAGTGGCTCATGCCTGTAATCCCAGCACTTTGGGAGGCTGAGGCTAGTAGATCACTTAAGGTCAAGAGTTCAAGACCAGCCTGGTCAACATGGCAAAACCCTGTCTCTACTAAAAATACAAAAATTAGCCAGGCGTGGCAGTGCGTGCCATTAATCCCAGCTACTCAGGAGACTGAGGCAGGAGAATTGCTTGAACCTGGGAGGCAGAGGTTGGAGTGAGCCAGGATTGTGCCACTGCACTCCAGCCTGGGTGACAGAGGGAGACTCCATCTCAAAAACAACAACAATAAACAACAATAACAACAACAAAAGGGAATGGAATGCTGATGTGCTGATGTGCACACTGGCCTGAAAGGGTCTCAGGGCATCACGCTGAATGACGAAAGCCAGTCTCAAATGGTGGCATCTGTACAACTGCATTCATGCAATGCTCTAGAAATGATGACACTATAGAGACGGAGAACGCATCAACGGTGGCCAGGGCTCAGGCTCAGCAAGGACAGGACCAGTGGGGTAGCAGGAGGGAGATTCTTTGTGGTGCTACAAGTTCTGCATCCTGGTTACGTGGATGATGGCTTGAATTTTTATGTGATCAATTTTATTAGAATGATATGCCAAACCTTAAAAAAATAGTTCATACAAAAACAAATGAAATCCAAGACTGTTTGAGTCACCAGTATTGCACCTGTGCCAGTCTCCTGCTTTTGATGACGTGGGGTTTGTGTGAGACGTTATCATGGAGGGAGACAAGGGGAAGGGTGACCGGGCACTCATGGTATGACTGTTGCAACTTATGAGGTCCTTAAGCTATTTCAGAATTTAAATATATATTTTAAAATAGCATCCTGCCGACTTCTGGTTCTCATTTGCCAAAACTGGGTCAACTGGTTCCATGCCCTCCTAAACAAAGAAGCAGCAGATTGTGTCATCAATGTGGACAGATCCTGATTCTAGCTCTTGGGTGAGCATGTGGCTGTCCAAACCCAAGCAAGGTGAAGTTAGCAAGAAAGAGAGGCGGGGGGAGGACTGCGGGCAGGAGAGAATCTGCACAGCTACATGGATTCCTAGGAGAAGTTGGGTCCCATCCATGAAGCTTTGTGGATAAAAGGGAGAAGGCCAGGGGCCTGAGGAACCTTCAGTGCCCTTCTGCAGGAGCAAAGCAGTGAGGCTGAGCAGCAGTGCTGGTGTGTGAAGCCCCATACTTCTCCAACATGGTAGGGGACGAATGGTTCTTCAGGATGGGGCCCTGCCCGCTCTCGAGTGGTAGCCCAAGGCTGGGCACACCATGATATCCATAACACAAAGAGTTGCAAGTATTGGAATCCCCAGCCAAGAGGCAAATTGATTGATTTAGGGACCTTGTACTTCCAAGGGCAGCTTTCACAACAGCTGGATTCCGGGGCTGTCTCTTCCTCCTTCCAAGTCTTCATCCCTCAGTGCCACTCCTCTCCTTCCGCTGCCACTGGGCCCTTGGGCCGCAAATGGGCTTCTTCATCTGGAGGGAGAGACGGCTGCTGGCAGCCCAAAGTCTCTGTCCTTACAGATCGTGACCTAAAGGGGAGAGGAAGCTTTCTTCCCTTCTGCTTCCCAGGAAGAATTCTGAAGGAACTGGTTTGAGCTACATCAGTACCCCTTGGACTGACTGGAATCACGTGCCGAGTCCTGTGAGCCTCTGAACCATGCTCATGCCTGCATTCCACACGTATGGAGCCTCATCTTCATGCAGACACTGCTGTGGGGGCTGGAGGTGGAGTGGTGAGCAGCCCAGGTAGGAAGAGGCAGCACCGCCCACATGCACAGTCTGCCCCCAGCCCCATGGGAGATGGGTCACAGCAGGATCCGTGGTCACTGCGGATTTCCAGGTGAGTGCTGTTGAAGGGAAAAAAGGCAGGATGGTGAGTGAAATGTTAGGACGGAGCATCGGGCAGGCTTCACTGGGTGAAGGACAGCCAGAAAAAATCTGCATGAGATTAGGGGGAAAGAGGTCCCAGATGGGAGGAAGCGGATCAGACCAGCACGACCACCACAAGCACAGGGTCCGCTTGGCTCTGATGTTTAGGGGTGAACACAGACCGAGGCCAGAAGAGGAGAGACCTGAAATGTCCGGAGCCCAGAGCCTCAGCTACATCTAACTTCACATTTGCACAGATCACTATTGAGCACAAGGCTATGCTACCTGTCCCTCCCCACTCCTGTCTGCCGGAGCTCACCTGGGACAGAAGACAGGACTTCCAAACAATGGGATGTGAGCCAATGCCTTGTGAGGGGAGGATTTCAGAGAATGTTATCGGACAAAGTGGACCCAGCCCCCGGCAATTCAGCCTTGTTGGTCACACAAGACCTGTGGCCATTCTTGGGGACAAGCACAGAGCCACAGCAGGGGCTGTCACCTGTCACATCCCTGGGCTGAGTCCACAGGGGTCCCTTCGCTGATCTCATGCGCTTGTCTGTAATAGCAGTGCAAGCATTTGAGTGTGGGGTTAGCCTGACTGCACAGAGGCAGGGCATCCAAAACAGTAGGATATCTGTGGCACCTGCGAAGGCAGGGACACTGGGGGGACGCTTCCTTCCTTCCAGGGTTCCCTCCAGCCTGCCTCAGGCCCTGGGAACTTTATTTTAAAGAGGAAACTGCTGAGAACGCATGGAGAGGTCGCCCCAGTGAATCTTACTTCCTGATCGGATCCTGGTTCCCCAGCAAGAGAAAGGCCGGACGATTTTATGAAGCGAGCTGGAGAACCAAACCCTCCGTCCCTATGACTCACGCGGAAGAAACACACGACTTTGGTAGACTCCCCACGTGGCTTTTTGTTGACCTCTGAAGAACAGAGGTCAGAGAAACTTTACCTTTGGATTTAAGACTACCTGGATGAGACCAAGGAGTGTCTTCCCCCTCCCGTTCCCCATCCCCAAAGCTCCTGTTTCCTCTCCACTTGTCTCAAGTCCCTAAGAATTGGAGCTGCCTTCTGAACGGGATGGAGCTGCTGGTTTATGATTCTCTGCACTCCATTAACTTCAAATGCAGATCAATGATCCATAAAATATAGAACAAGGAAGCCGAGGAAACACCGCTAGGCTCAGAAATAATTTTCAAACATTTCTGTGTATCAGAAATGGAACAGAAACAAAAACTAAAGGATTTTTAAAGGTTTTAGAAAAATTTTTAAGAGAGCGTCTTTGACTCTGAGGAAAGGAAAAGATGTAAATAAGACATAAAACAAAAGTCATAGAAGAAACGGCTGAAAAATGTGGTAACATTAAAAAGTTTTCCATTTCCTACAGTAGTCAATACTGGAGAAAAAATGAAAATACAAACATAGAGAAGACATTTGCAATGCAGATAACCAATGTCTAAGATAAATTAATAAGAAGAAAGGCAAAACCTGATAGGCCTATAGATAACTTACAGATGAGAAACCATAAACAGCCAAAAACATGCATTTCATTTTTGAGCCTCACAATTAACTAGAAACATGTGTATTAAAATAAGAAACCATCTGGCTTGGTTGGTCAGAATCAATGTTTGGCAGGAAAGTAGTCTGACCAGAGCCATCCTACACTGGTGGAGAAGAGGAAATTGTTCAACCACATTTTAGGGCAATTTAGCAAAACCTGGTAAAGATGAAGATGCCCCCAAATTGTATTTCTAAGCAAATACCTGTGCAGTTTAGAAAGAAACTCTTCCAGCTAGGTCTACGGAGACACGGATCAGAACATGTGTTGCTGAGTTATTCGTGACAGCAAAAAACGGAATATAATTGAATTTCCATGAATAAGAAAATGGAGAGATAAATCGTGGTGGGCTTATGAGGCTCACTACTACTGCACTGCTGTTGAAATAAGCAACCTGGAGCCACAAACATCAGTGTGGGTCCAAATCTCCCAAACGAAGCAAGTGACAGACAGCATGATGTTTACATAGGATGTTAGAACATGCAAATTGTTTATGGATTTATATGTGAATCACAGTTCTCCCTGGGCATACACAACGCTTCTGTGCTCATAGAATAAGGTACACCCTCTGGGCAGACACATTTGAAGGAAGCAGCTGGTGCTGGCTCTGGTGGGGCCTGTGATGCAGGGCTCTGGGGTGCAGACTCCCTGTAGCCCCAGCTCAGCCCTGGCTGAGTGCTCCTCGCAGGGCACAGCCTATGAAGTCCCCAGGGTAGCCCTGATATGACGCCAGTGTAAGACTGTGCAGGTGGAACAGTAAACCAAATCCCGCATGTTCTCACTTACGAGTGGAAGCTAAACATTGAGTACACACGGACGTAAAGATGGGAACATTACACACCGGGGACTCACAGAGGGGGCACGGAAGAAGGGGGATGAGGGCTGAAAAACTACCTACCGTGTGTGCTGTGCTCCCTACGTGGGTGACAGAACTCAAACCTCAGCATCATGCAATATAACACCTAACAAACCTGCACATATACCCCGAATCGAAAATAAAACTTGAAATTATAAGAAATATAAAAGCATGCAGGTAACAAAGGACACATTCAGGAGGGTGGGGGCCTCCGGGGAGGGAAACAGTGGAACGGGGCTCTGAGGTGAACTGCAGGGGCCTCAATCATGTTATATTCTCATTATGATGTTCTCTCTGCCTCTTTGTTTTAAAAATATTTCACAGCTTACTAATCACTGAAGCAGAAGAGCTGTGTCCTGGAGACTGCAGGTGCCCAACCTGGCCTGCCTCTGCCTGGCTGGAGCCTCCTGCAGGGCCTGGCCCTACCCAGGCCCCACAGTGCAGGCCCAGGAACCCCAGGAGTTGCATGTCTGAGGGATGCCCTCTCCTGCTCCTGCTCCACATTCCCCAGGAGCCTCCCTACCTCCCTCTTGGACCCTGGGTGTCCTCTGCTACCCCATTACCCCAGAGGCTGTGGGAGGGGCTGAGCACTGGGGTCTTGGCCATGCCTGTGCCCTGCACCAGGTGCCCACCCACTGCAGGGACACCCTGCCTTGCACAGTGACACTCTCTGGAAGGGGAGTATACCTGCAGCTGCCATTGCCAGGACTGCTTTGTTACCCACATAATCCTCACTGCCATCACCCACCCCAGGTGCACAGGACATCCTGGTCATTTGGGTGAAGCATGCCCAGCTCAGTCACTGCCTGAGGCCTCGCCTTGGTCCCATGTGCAATCCCAGCTCCATCACCTTGGTCCTGCCCCAGCGCCATGTGCAAAGCCAACCTCCATCTTTCTGCGTATCCAGACCCCCTGCTGCTGCCTGTGTTCTGCATGGAGAAGCCTTCACAGAAGGTTCACTCTCCAGCTGGTAAATGTGGCTGGTGCCCCATGTGCTCCCAGGAGAGACGGTGAGTGCCCCCCATCCCTGTTACTCAGTAGGACCCCATGCCACTCTCTCCACAGGGACCCTAATGCCTCTTGCCCTCAGTAGGACCCTGTGCCCCCATCCTTAGTGGAACCTCGAGCCCTCTGTCCTCAGTGGGACCCCACGCCCCGTCCTCAGTGGGATCACGTGTCTGCTCATAGCCCTCCGCACACTTCTGGGCTCAGTAAGTCCTAATATGCCCCTGCCTGGCTCTTACACACCGTCTGCTTCTACAGGGTGTTATATCTTCATTAAGATGGTAAACTCCTAGGGACAGAGGCTCTGTTCCCCCTTCCTTGGCCACTCAGCAGCCTGCCCAGCACTGGTGCTGCACACCCAGGTGCAGACTGGGGAGCCCAGCTTGCAGCACCTGAGCCTCTTTCTAGATCAGAAGGGACCTGGGTGGGGGGGTCTCCGCTGGGGGCAGGGCCGGGCTTCCCTGCGAGCATTCCTCCATTGGTGACCCTGCTACCTCCAGTGGGGAGGAAAATCCAGGTCCAACCATCACACCGGGAGCCAGGTTGTGCCATGAAGAGGACTAGCATGAGCCTGGGGTTCCACAGGCCTGGTTCAGTGCCCTGAGCCGCACACACCGGCTGTGTGTCCTTGAATGGTTACTATCGTCTCTGTGCCTCTGCCAAGGGGGTAAGAATATGCACCCACCTTAGCTGGTTGCTTTGAAAAATAAATGAGGGGATATGAAAGCAAGGGCCTTCTCAGCAATCCTTCGCTCTCTTCATGCAGGACGGTGAGCGAGAAGCCCATGACGCTGGCATGGTGGTTCCGGCGGCCCTGTGAATTCAGTGGGTATCACTTCCATTGCCCAGGAGCAATGCCCTCACCGCAGAAACCCCACAAGACGCCCTTAGCGTGGCGGCTGACGTCTCTGCGGACAACAGAGATTTTCCTGTGCCTTTTGGATCATCTGTGGGAACAGCGTGGGGTGCTCCGCCTTATAAGGCACAGGTGCCGCCACTGTGGGGTCAGAGTTCTGATTGCTTTTAGATTGTGTCTGTGCCGGGGAAGACGAGTGAACACAAAGTAAATCACCCTCACTTGGCGCGGTGATGGGGACCAGCCTGTGAGGCAGCTTCTGTCCTCTTCGCTCCTTATCTCTTTCCTCTCTCCTCACCCCAGCTCCTGACTTAATTCAGTGTCATTCTGGAATATGAAGCCCAGCCAGAATGGAAATAGAAAGCCAATCACATTACCACAAAAAAGAGAGAAGAAAAATAAAAATTTGACTGCAATAAGAAATGCCCATTTCTGTTAAATGAGTTAAATTTTTAAGAGTCTATCTTTGGCCAGGTGCAGTGGCTCACACCTGTAATCACAGCATTTTGGGAGGCCGAGGTGGGTGGATCACCTGAGGTCAGGGGTTCGAGACCAGTCTGGCCAATATGGTAAAATCCTGTTTCTACTAAAAATACAAAAATTAGCCGGGTGTGGTGGTGGGTGCCTGTAATCCCAGCCACTTGGGAGGCAGGGGCAGGAGAATCTCTTGAACCCGGGAGGTGGAGGTTGCAGTGAGCCAAGACTGCACCACTGCACTCCAGCCTGGGCAACAGAGTGAGACTCCACCTCAAAAAAACAAAACAAAAAAAAAGTCGATCTTCAGGTGTTATAACTTTCTAAATAAATAGAATTACAGGTATGTTAGAAACTCAGAGGTTAAAAGGACAGAAAGAGCCTTCCCATCTGAGTGTTCTGTCCAAATTCATCCTCAGCCGAGTTCCCTCCCTGCAAGGAGCCAACCCGGGACGGATCCAGAAAGGGACTCCACTGCATCACACGGTGCATTTCGTTAACCAAGCCGAGTCACGGGGAGGGAGAATGAGACGTGTGTCATACCCGCCCCCTTGACCACTTCCTCCTCCCTCAGATCCACCTTCTCTTGTGCTGTCATGGCAAGAGGGCCTGATGGTTACAGTGCGAGCCATGCCGTCAGAGATGGAGGCCTGCGGATCCTCCGATTGCAGCGAGGGAACCCAGAATTAATACCTCATTTCTGGGTGGCTTATAAAGAAAATGAGAAGAATGTATCTGGATTCCTAGAATGAGAGCATTGACTCGGACAGCTGGCAAGTTTACCCATGGAACTGCCGTGTCTCCACAGAACTAATTGGTATTTACACCGAGTCTTCCTTGATCTTTACAGGCACACTTTGGAGACATTGTGGGTTCTGTTCCAGACCACCACGATAAAGCCAACATATAACAAAGTGGTTCACACAAGTTTTTTGGTTTCCCAGTGCATTTAAAAGTTATGTTTACACTATACTGTGGTCTACTGGGCATGTCATAGCATAATGTCTAAAAATGTATATACATTAATTTAAAAATCCTTTATTACTAAAAGTTTTTAACAATCAGTTATCTGAACCTTCAGATGATTGATGAAGGATGTTCCATCAATCCTCAATTGATCGAAGGATGTTGATGGCTGCTGACTGATCAGGGTGGTGGTTACTGAAGGTTGGGGTGGCTATGGCAATTTCATAAAATAAGACAGCAGTGAAGTTTGCCACATCCCTTGACTCTTCCTTTCACAAAAGATTTCTCTGCAGCATGCGATGCTGCTTGACAGCACTTCACCCACAGTAGAACTTTTTTCAAAATTGGAGTCAGTTCTCTCAAATCCTCCTGCTGCTTCCTCAGGTAAGTTTACGGAATATTTTAAATCCTGTGTTCTTGTTTCAACAGTGGTCACAGCATCTTCACCAGGAGTAGATTGCACTTCAAGAAACCACTTTCTTTGCTCATCTATAAGAAGCAACTCCGCATTACTTCAAGTGTTACGAGATTGTAGCAATTCAGTTGGGCTCCAGTTTTAATTCTAGTTCTCTTGCTCTTTCCACCATATCTGCAGTCACTTCCTCCACAGAAGTCTTGAGCCTCTGCAAGTCATCCGTGAGGGTTGGAATCAGCTTCCTCCAAATCTCTATTGGTGTTGATATTTTGGTCTCCTCCTATGAATTACAAGTGTTCTTAATGCCATTTACAATGGTGAATCCTTTACAGAAGGTTTTCTTTTTTTGTTATCGTTTTTTTTTGAGATGGAGTCTTGCTCTGTTGCCCAGGCTGGAGTCCAGTGGCGCAATCTCAGCTCACTGCAAACTCTGCCTCCCGGGTTCATGCCATTCTCCTGCCTCAGCCTCCCAAGTAGCTGGGACTACAGGCATCTGCCACCACACCTGGATAATATTGTTTTGTATTTTTAGTAGAGATGGGGTTTCACCGTGTTAGGCAGGATGGTCTCGACCTCCTGCCTTGTGATCTGCCCACCTTGGCTTCCCAAAGTGCCGGGATTACAGGCATGAGCCACCGCACCCGGTCTCCAGAAGGTTTTCAATGTACTTTTGTACTTTGCCAAGATGCGCTAGAGGAATCACTATCTATGGCAGGTACAGCCTTACGAAATGTATTTATTTTCTTTTTCTTTTTTTTTTTTTGAGGTGGAGTTTTGCTCTTGTTGTCCAGGCTGGAGTGCCGTGGTGCAATCTGGGCTCACTGCAACCTCTGCCTTCCGGGTTCAAGTGATTCTTCTGCCTCAGCCTCCCGAGTAGCTGGGATTACAGGCATGCACCACCAAACCCAGCTAATTTTGTATTTTTAATAGAGACAAAGTTTCACCGTGTTGGCCAGGTTGGTCTCGAACTCCTGACCTCAGGTGATCTGCCCACCTTGGCCTCCCAAATTGTGGGGATTAGAAGCGTGAGCCACTGCACCCGGCCCATGAAATGTGTTTCTTAAATAATAAGAGTTGAAAGTCAAAATTACCCCTTGATCCATGGGCTGCAGAATGGGTGTCGTGTTAGCAGGCGTGAAAGTAACATTCATCTCCTTGGGCATCTCAGAGCTCTTGTGGGATCAGGCTGTGTTGTCAATGAGCAGTAGTATTTTGAAAAGAAACATTTTTTTATCTGAGAGTGAGTCTTAAACGTGGGTTTAAAATATTCATTACACTGTGTTGTAAACAGATGTGCTGTCATCCACACTTTGCTGTTTCATTTATAAAGCACAGACAGAGTAAATTTAACGTAAATTTTAGGGCCCTAGGATTTTCCGAATGGTGAAAGAGCATTGGCTTCAACTGAAAGTCCCTAGATGCTTTAGCCCCTAACGAGAGAATCACCCTTTGCTTTGAAACTTTGAAGCCAGGAATTGACTTTTCCTCTATAGCTGTGAAAGCCCTAAATGGCATCTTCTTCCAATAGAAGGCTGTTTTGTCTGCATTGAAAATCTGGTGTGTGTGTGTGTGTGTGTGTGTGTGTGTGTGTGTGTGTGTGTGTATCCATCATCAGTGATCTTGGCAAGATCTTCCAGGTAACTTTCTGAAGCTTCTCCATCAGCACTTGCTGCTTCCCCTTGCACTTTTGTGTTATGGAGACAGCTTCTGTCCTTAGACCTCATGAACCCACCTCCGCCAGCTTCAAACTTTTCTTCTGCAGCTTCCTTACTTCTCTCAGATTTCATAGAACTGAAGAGAGGTAGGGCCTTGCTCTGAATTAGGATTTGGCATAAGAAAATGTTATGGTGGGTCTAATTTATTCGGAACACTCAATCTTTCTCCATATCGGCAATAAGGCTGTCTCTCTTAACATTTGTGAGTTCACCGGAGTAGCACTTTAACTTCCTTCGAGAATTTTCCTTTATATTCACAACTTGGCTAGCTGGTGAAAAAGTCTTAATTTTTGACTGATCTAGGCTTTCAACCCATGCCTTCCTCACTAAGATTAATCATAGCTAGCTTTTTATTTAAAGTGAGAGCCATGTAACTCTTCCTTTCACTTGAACACTTCGAGGCCATGGTAGGGTTCTTAGTTGGCTCAACTTCAATATTGTTTATTTCAGGGGATAGAAAGGCCTGAGCGGAGGGGGAGAGACAGGGGAGCGCCGGTGACCGGAGCAATCAGAACACACACGGCATTTATTGATTAAGTTTATTGTCTTATGTGGGTGCCTCTCATGGTGCCCCAAAATAATTATATTCATAATATCAAAGATCATCACAGATCACCATCACAGATGTCACAATAAGGACAAAGTCTGAACTATTGTGAGAGTTCCTACAATGTTATCCAGAGAAATGAAGTGACAACATGCTCGTGGAAAAGTTCCAGCAGAGGTGGTGGATGCCAGGCTCCCCCCATCTTCAATCTGTCAAACATGATATCTGTAAAGTGCAACAGAATGATGCGCACCTGTAGTTAAGAAGGTTCTGCAAATGCTTCTTACATCTTTTCACTATTGTGACAAACAAGACACACAACTGAAGCAAAACTTGCATAAACCCAAATGCTCAGGGAAAGGTGGCTCCTTCATGGGATCCCAGGAAGTCATCTCCGTCCACCTTGACCGTGAGTTCCCATTCCTGGCCCAACTAAAGTCAGGGAAAGGCAGCTCCTTCATGGGATCCCAGGAAGTTATCTCCATCCACCCTAACCGTGAGTTCCCATTCCTGGCCCAACTAAAGTCAGGGAAAGGCAGCTCCTTCATGGGATCCCAGGAAGTCATCTCCATCCACCCTAACCGTGAGTTCCCATTCCTGGCCCAACTAGAGACAGGGTCTAAATTGTATTGACTTTGTGGTCAGTTTGGAGCGTGTGTGTGTGTATGTGTGTGTGTGTGTGTGTGTGTCAGACTTTAGGAACTGTGAATGGCAAATGTTTTTTCGCTGTCTTAGCCAAATTTCAGCTTATGTCTCACCGGCACATCAACCCAGGACTCTTAGGAGAGGGAGCTAGTAGCTGTATCTATCGCACAACTATGAAAGGCTGCATAACAACTAGAAAAGCTTGGTGACAGACAACATCAGCACTGATTTGGCTGTGGGTGGTGCTTGGCCAGGGTTTGCCTGGGAGGGGCTGGGCTCAGCTGCGGCGTCTTGGTTGTGCTGCAGAATCTTCCATGCTCCTCTTGCACCAGCAGCCCAGACAGACGTGCTCTTGATGGCAAAGGCAGGGGCCCAAGAGAGCAGGCCCGACCCCTTCAGCACTTTTCATGACTTGCTCATGGACACAACTGCTCTCATGCCACTGCTCACAGCAAGTCACACAGCTGAGCCTCCAGCCAGCGGGTGCAGACGAGCAGCCCCTCAGCCTGCCCCACTGCAGTGCAGTCCTGAAAGGTGGAGGGAGGGGTGAGGAATTGGAGTCATCAATGACACCTGCTGAAGTAGCTGTTTTACTCCCTAAACACAAGTTTCTAACCCTTAGTGCCTGCTTGAAATGTGTGAAATGCGTGAACAAGAGGAAAAAGGGAGAGAATAAGGGAGACAAGAAGAGAAGAACGACGAGTTTTGTTTTACTTTTCTTACTTTTCTTTTTCTTCATTTTCATGCCCGGCATTGATATAGTGCCAGACTCAAAATTAGTTGGTGAGTGGCTTTGGGGGCCCATCAGTCACGTTTTGAGTGTTCTCTGCTAATTTCTGCTAAACGCATCAGACATAGGCTTCTTTCTTTCCTAAATGACTAAATTATTTTTAAGGAAATTTTCTTTAAAATGGTAAATAAAAATAAGACATCTTTTCAAAACATAGCTGTACAACAGTTTCCCACCTGCACGTTTGTGCCATGGCATGTGTCCTTCCGATCGTAAGCTTTGTCAATAATTGAAGCATGTGCTGGATGTAAGCCCAGCCTGTGAGCATTGGTCCTGGTGTGTCTGCCGCAGACGCACATGAGGACCTGGAGAAGGGCCTTGGAAATTGGACATCGCCTGCCTCAGCAGCCAGCATCCAGGTAAAGCGTCCATTGCCCCGTTTCAGAAAGGCCTGAGGTGGCCAGAGGAAAACCACGAGGCAAAGTCAGTGCAGGGGTGTCTCCCCCATCGGCTCCCTTATTAAAACAGGCAGGGTGTGTGGCTTCTCCTTGGCTCCTGCCCCTTGGCTCTCTAAGGGCTTTGCTGGCCACAGGGGTGTCAAGGAAGCTGGACGTGACTTCCCAAGGTCCTGCCTTCTGCTCAGGATGTCCTGGCTGTGTCCCAGCACTCCCATTTTTCCTCTGTTTTGTGTCGGAGGCTCACTTCCCCAAAGCCTGCCTGACTTCGTTGTTCTTGGCCATGGCAAGTCCCAGGACACTTATTTATGTTTTAATAAAATGGATTCAAATCTATTTTTCCACTGGAATCTGAATCTTTTATTTGTTTATTTTATTTTATTTTTTGAGACAGAGTCTCGCTCTGTAACCCAGGCTGGAGTGCAATGGCGCAATCTCGGCTCACTGCAACTTCCGCCTTCCGGGTTCAAGCGATTCTCCTGCCTCAGCCTCCCGAGTAGTTGGGAGTACAGGTGTGTGCCACCACGCCAGGGTAATTTTTGTATTTTTAGTAGAGATGGGGTTTCACCATGTTGGCCAGGCTGGTCTCAAACTCCTGACCTCAGGCATTCTGCCTGCTTCAGCCTTTGAAAGTGCTGGGATTACAGGCATGAGCCACCATGCCTAGCCTGGAATCTGAACCTTTTAAATGTATCACAACTGTGGGGCAACGTCAGGGCCTGGGTGGGGTGACCACAGAGAAGCTGCGAGTGGGCCTGCCGAATCGAAGGGTTCCTTTGCCAGGTGGGGCTAATGCTCATTAGCCGCCCAGAGTTCCCGTGCATTCCCTGGGGTTTCTGAGACTCCCTGCCACTGCTCCTAGGGGTTCTAAGCTCTGCCATCAGCGATGGGCTGAGGCCCTTCATTTCCCCTCTTAGTCTCCATCCGTGCCCTCTCTGCTTTGAGGGCCCTCATGCTTTCTTCCCTCCAGGGCGTGGACCTGGTGCAGAGATCTCATCTGGGCTCTGGGATACCTGGTTCTGATTTGCAGCCATAAGCTCCTTCCCCCCGGGGATGGCCTCAGCCTCTACTTTGAGGAGGAGCCTCCTGTCGTGTCCTCCCCTGGCCCCTGGCTCTCCGTCCCTGTGCTCCACAGCATCTGTCCTCTGGGAGCCGGCGTGAGTGCCTTCCCCAGGAATTGGAGACCGGGAAGATCTTGCAGCCTCCACCGGCATGTAGCTTCACAATTATCTTGTCACAGCTGGGATAAGGGAAGGAGGGAACATGGTCCCTGTCATGGTAGTTTTACATAGCTGTGTCACCCTTCCTCCTGGCCCATGTCCTCTTCCCCATACCCTGGTGGGAGGTCCCAGGTGAGGAAGCTTGTGTGGCGTCTGTGCTGCTGGCCCTTTAGGAAGCTGGGTCCTGCAGGGAGACCAGTGGGCATCAGCAGAGCCAGCAGCTTCCCCCTGGAGAGTGGGCTGTGGGATTCTGATGACTAAGACGCACTCATAGAGTCATTTGTCCTTCGTAGGGTGATCTTGGACTTGTTGTTCAAACCAGGACACCTTTGAGCACCTGGATCTCTGGGTCTCCCTGCACTGGCTCAATGGCTATAAAAGCAGGGTGTCTCCACAAGTCAGGGCATGAGATGGTCCTATCTGCAAACCGGCATTCCATGCCCCTTGCTCAGCATGGGGGTGTTGGGGAGAGGTGGGCAGGGACAGACATGTGGTTCCCACAAGCCAGGATCTCCAGTGTCTCCAGGAACAAGGCAGATGGCAGGCAAGAGGGCAGGGTCACTGGAAAAGGCATTGGGAATAAAGTCCCAACACTCGCCCCCGGCCCAGGCCCCCAGGAGAGGAGCAAGGCAGCGCAGGGCCCTGCCAGGACAGGCTGCTCCACGTTGGCACCCTGAAACCACTTTCTTACATTTTGCTGCCCTAAAAATGTAAAAGTAGAAATACGTTAATCGTTCCAAATTGCTGTTTGTGCCTACAGATTCTCAGTCGTAAGGCACCAGACTCTGAAATCGGTTTATTTGATGTGTCTTTCCAGCAGGAAAACATTCCGGTGTGACCCATGCGCCTGTCCAACCAACCGAGGCTGTTAGGATGCCGCTATGATCTGAGTGTGTTCCCAGAGTTCAAGTGTCGAAAACTTAATCCCCAACCCAACAGTGTTGGGCGGTGGGGCCGAGTAAAAGATGACTAAGGAATGAGGTACATTCTGTCCTTGTGAATGGATTAGTGTTGTCATCATAGAGTGTGTTCTTTATCATGAGGGTGGGTTTGTTATAACAGAGAGTTGAGCTCCTGTTGCATTCTCTCTCTCTCATGTGTCTCTCTCTCCCCTTCTCTCAGCTGGTGCCCTGGGATGGCACAGGAAAAAGGCCCTTGTAAGATGCCAGCACCTTGATATTGCACTTCCCAGAACTGTGAGAAATAAATGTCTTTTCTTCGTAATTATCCAGTCTGTGATATTCTGTTTTAGCAACACGCAACACAGACTCAGGCCGATGCCAAGTACAGCTTTCATGCAGAGGTTCCAGGCAGCAGTGCTTAACCCAGCACCCACCATGCTCCCTGCAGCCCTCTGTGTGTGGCACCCACTTTCTCGGTGAGAAGTGGTCTTTATTGGTGAGTGTTGGAGGAATTCCTTGAGCTGTTGATGTGTGGAATGTTCTGGGGCAAGGCTCTTGGGGGCACACACCTCCCAGGAAGGCCAAGTTCCATCCCAGGCTGCAGGCTCACCCTTAAGCCAGCCCAGCCCTTTTCTCATTTCTTAGCAGACGTATTTCTGGAGGTATCGCTGCACCTGCAGTGGCTGTTTAATTGCCGTGGGTGGAGGTATTCCATTATTTGCCATTAATTAAGGCTTGTGTTTTTAACATGACATGAATGCAAGGTAGCCATGTAGCTAAATTTCATCTTTTCCCCGCAGCACTTCTTAAATGATTGGAAGGAGGGGTTACTCAACTGGTGAGACTGACAAGGTTTTGTGCCAAATTTAAAAAAATGATATTTGGGGGATGCATGTCCTCCTATCAGCCTGAATAGTGAATGGTCACATGCCGACACCGGGTGCATTCAGCAGGCTCTGCCTGCACTTCCTGAGTCTCATACAGCCTTGCCTGGTAGCTGCTGTCTCACTATGAAGCAGAGGAGGAGAGTGAGGGTCCTGATGCATAAAGAACAGGCCTGGGGCACAACCCAGGGGCCATCCTGGAGGGCCACCAGGACATCAGGACATAGGTGCTGCACTTCCCTCATGGGTGAAGGAGATGGGGCTCAAGGGCACTGCCCTTTCTCTATTCTGGGGTCCCTGCTGTGTGACTATTTTCTGGAGGCCAAGTTATCATTGCCTGTCACTCAGCATCTGCACAGTACTCCCAGCCTGAGGCTTCGAGCTGTTAGGGAAGGAGAACAGGACCCCTTGCTGCTAATCAAAGTGTTTGGAGAGTTCTTCTCTCCTTTGAAGCCCCGAGGCACATTCTTTGATCTTCCCAGCCACCTACCTTCCTCTGCCTTGTCTTCTCTCTCCTCCATGCTGTCCTGCCCAGCACAGGTTGGGAAGGCATCGACTTTGGTCACAAGGCTCACCAGGGCTGTGCTGTGTTATCAGGGCTGGAGTCTTCCCTTCCCTCACCTGTGGGACGCACGTGTGATCTGTGCAGTTGCCAATTTCTTTTCTGTCTCTGAAATGTGCCTTTTGTCTGACTCCCTCATTAGTTAGCCTCAGATCCTGCAGCACTCACCCACTTGGATTCCTCATGACCTTCCCTCCTGCCCTGTGCCCCAGACGGAGACCTTTGCACCCTTCCCTGAGTCCCGGAGGATGACCACCACCTCCTGCCCTGTGTCCATGGATGATAACCATGACATCCTGCCCTGTGTCCCAGGAGGAGGACCATGGCATCCTGGGATGATGACCATCGTCTCCTGCCCTGCATCCTGGGGTTATGACCATGACGTCCTATCCTGTGTCCCGAGACCATGACCATGGCCTCCTACCCTGTGTCCCAGGACGATGACCATGGCCTCCTACCCTGTGTCCTGGGACAATGACCATGGCCTCCTACTCTTGTCTGGGGACAATGACCGTGGCGTCCTGCCCTGTGTCGAGGGAGGATGACCATCACCTCCTGCCCTGTGTCCTCAGAGGATGACCATGGTGTCCTATCCTGTGTCCACGGACGATGATCATGGAGTCCTGCCTTGTGTCCTGGCAGAGTGACCATCGTGTCCTGCCCTGTGTCACTGGGAGCATGGCCATTGCCAAGTGAGATAACAACTTCCATTGAGCTCAGCCAGTGGGAAGCCCCAGAAGTGCAGCTGTGCAAATGGGAGAAGGGTCTAGCATGGGAGGAGAGGGAGCCGGATGTTAGTTCCAGCAGCGGCCAGGTCTAGCACAGTGTCTGTGCTTTAGGAGCCTTCTTCTGTAGCTGTGACTCCCTCTAGCTGCAGTCATACCACCGCCTCTTTTCAGCCTTCCTGCTGAGGGGTCTTGGCAGCCCTCATGCTCCCACCTGCTGCCCTGTGCTTGGCCAGCCTCGGTCCTTCCTGTAACCCACAAACAGTCTATTTGTCCAGCCACCTTCTCTCCACCATGCATCTCAGTGGGGATGATGGGGGCAGCAAAAATGTATTCTTGGAAGGCAGAAAGATTTTACATTTTTTTTTTTTACATATATAGCACCAATATATACACAGTACATAAGCAGGGACAGAGTCTGTGGTGTTAACATTTCATGGAAGGCCATTTCAGGAAAATGTCTGAAAAGGCTCCTTAGGGGGTAATTATGGAAAACACACTGGGAAACCCCCCATGCGGCAGAAAGCCACGGGCTTTGGGATCAGAACAGGGACGGCAGGGCGGGGAGGAGAGGGTGGACTGCAGAGGCTCTCAGCAGATGGGGCGGATCTCAGGGACTGATCTTAGGGTTCTGTGAGGACAAAGCCAGGAGATTCAGAGACACCAGATTATGGCCCTGAGCAGTGGCAGGCACCGCATCGGGCAGGCAGAAACATCAGGGGCATGGGTGGAAGGGAGCAGGGCAGGTGTCTGCGTGGGGGCGAGGTCTGAACTACGTGAGGACCAGCAGGGGTCTTATTAGGAGACAAGAGCCAAGGGAAGGACCAGAAACAGGAATTTGGGATACACAGGATCCCTGGGCCACAGAAGCACCACAGCTGAGGACGTGCGAGGTGCTGAGCTGCCCTGGGGAAAAGACGCAGCTGTGCAATTTGGAGAAGGGTCTAGCTTGGGAAACCTGCCCGCTGGCCGCCAGTGAGGCCAAGAGATGGTGAGTCAGGGAGTGAGCGCCCAGTATGGCAGAAGAGGCTGGGTTTGGTGATGGGAAAAAATGCTGCTGTGTAATATGTTAATTATTTTTATAGTATAATACCAACGTAAATCAAAAAAATCAAATGCAAGAAGATCCTTAGAAAAAGTATAAATGGCAGCAAATGTCAGGTATAATTCCGTCTAAGGGCCCCCAAATACCATCTCACAAGTAACCACAATAAACCAACTCTTCTTCCAGAGGACTCTTTTCTGGCCAGGCAGGCAAGATCTGCTCTCTGCCACCCTGGGAACTGGGTTGCTCTGCACCCATCAGACCAGCCCCTTCCTGGGGAATTTACCCAGCACCACATAAGAGTCACAGAGTCACCTGGGTGGTGGGCCTGAGCCCCGGGAAAGAAAAGTCTCTCAGGGTGAGCCCTGGAGGGATGCGGAATGTGAGCCCTGTAGGGATGCGGGGTGTGGGCCCTGGAGGGATGCGGGGTGTGGGCCCTGGAGGGATGCGGGGTGTGGGCCCTGGAGGGATGCGGGGTATGGGCCCTGGAGGGATGTGAGGTGTGGGCCCTGGAGGGATGTGGGGTGTGAGCCCTGGAGGGATGTGGGGTGTGAGCCCTGGAGGGATGTGGGGTGTGGGCCCTGGGAAAGAAAGTCTCCCAGTGTGAGCCCTGGAGGGATGTGGGGTGTTAGCCCTGGAGGGATGCGGGGTGTGGACCCTGGAGGGATGCGGGGTGTGGGCCCTGGAGGGATGCGGGGTGTGGGCCCTGGAGGGATGCGGGGTGTGGGCCCTGGAGGGATGCGGGGTGTGGGCCCTGGAGGGATGCGGGGTGTGGGCCCTGGAGGGATGCGGGGTGTGGGCCCTGGAGGGATGCGGGGTGTGGGCCCTGGAGGGATGCGGGGTGTGGGCCCTGGAGGGATGCGGGGTGTGGGCCCTGGAGGGATGCGGGGTGTGGGCCCTGGAGGGATGTGGGGTGTGGGCCCTGGAGGGATGTGGGGTGTGGGCCCTGGAGGGATGTGGGGTGTGAGCCCTGGAGGGATGTGGGGTGTGAGCCCTGGAGGGATGTGGGGTGTGGGCCCTGGAGGGATGTGGGGTGTGAGCCCTGCAGGGGTGTGGGGTGTGAGCCCTGCAAGGGTGTGGGATGTGAGCCCTGCAGGGATGCAGGGTGTGGCCCTGTAGGGATGAGGAATACAAACAGAGGCAGCCAACAGACCAGGAGACCTCATGCCATCACAGGACCTCCCTCAGGGCAATCTGCCCAGTTTCTCAATAGGTCTCCTTGCCCTCACTCTGGGCTCCCCACTCGGAAGAAGGTGGAACGGGGCACAGACATGCTGCTTGCCCTCTTCCCATCTGTCCTGGGTTCCCGACCTCACGCCACCACTCTAAGATTTGCTGCCTTCTCCTGCTGAAAGCCAGCCAGCTGCAAGTCATCTAACTCAGATGTCCCTGCCGGTGGCTCAGGCAGTGCTGGGCTCCCACCGTTCTCGGGGCAGGTGCACATGTCAGGGCCCGGGGGGCACAGGGCATGGCTGGGGGGAGAACCCTTTCAGGGCTGGTTAAACACAGAGGTGCACTTCCAGGGAGGACATCCGAGGAACGTGTGTTAGGCCTGCCCACCTCTGGGCCACCATCACCTCCAGTACGTGCCTCCTGGGCCAGTGCTCTCTGTCCTCACCCAGGAGAACTCACTTTCTAAGTGTCACTTTAAATGAAAACCCAGCCTCCCTCCTGGGCCCTGATTCCCAGTCTCTCCATGAAGATAACGGTGAGAACGTATTATCTCTTGTGTGATAAATATGAAGCTGCTCCTGTTTGAAAAATGACAAAGCAACAATTTGGGCCCATTTACTGAGTGCAGCAGGCACGGGGTGAAACAATCATGAGAAATAATGGAGTGCAGAACCTTCTGCCTCTGGCCGGCATTGGCGTTCAGCTCACGTGTCAGGGCGAGGAGAGGGACGGCTCTGCCCCAGACAAATGTTCTTGTCATGCTGATCTCCTTCTCAGAATTGTGAACGCACCTGGACCACAGCCGTCAGCAATGACCAAGGCCAGGCCAGGGCGTGCACTGAAGGCAGCAACATGGTCAGATGTAATTGCAGTTAAAGATGGGGAAAATAAAAGTGAAGGAAGAACCAACCCTAAACCCGGAGGTGGAGTTTGAACCGAGGTCTTCTGGGGGCCTGAAGCTGTGTCCCTGGGACAGGCATGGGACTCACAGGCTCCTCTGCCTATTGGCGGATTCTTCCTCAGCTGGGGCCAAAGGGCTTTTACCACGGAAGTGATGAAATGCAGAGAAAATGCAGACCAAGGTCTACTGACAATAGCCCACTTGCTCGGTGACCTCATTTTCAAAGCCCTTTCACATTCTTTATCTCATTGGAGAAAATGATCAGTTTATCAACTGTGAATGGGCTGCAGAACTTGGAAATGTAAGTGACTTTGCAGCCTGTGATGCTGGGATAAATATTTACTTTGGAGGGTATTTTTGCTCCCATTATGTCTTTAGTTGCTTAGATTTGATCTTGACCCGGGGCTGATGAAGAGGAGCTGGGCTTGCAGCTCTGAGACTGAGGCTATGGATGGTGCTTGGGCAACCAGGCTGTCCTCATTTGGTAAATGTCAAATGTGCTTAGTAGGACCACAAGCACTTGATTTCCAGCTACTCCTGAAGATTTAGACATTCACCAAGTGGGATGTGCAGGGTTTGGTGTTGCCCTTTTGGGCGATTTCATCTGAAATTCACTTCCTCCTGGTAAAGAGAGCCTGGAGCATTGGAGGCTGCTGTACAGGGATACTGTCCATGTGCAATACAGAGAGTTATGACCAACCAGCTACATGTAAGTTAGTGCTATGTGACAATATTTCCACACACTCAGTGCTTTAAACAACTCATATTGTGATCTCAGTTTCTGTGGACCAGGAATCCAAGCACAGCTTGAGTGTGGCAACTGCATGTCTGCAATCCAGGTTTCTGCAGGGACTGGGGTCTCATCTGAGGCTCATCTTGGGAAGGATCTGACACAGAGCTCGTGTATTTGTCAGCAGTATTCAGTTCCTTGGGGCCAATGGGCTGAGAGCTTCAGTTTTTTATTGACTGGTGGTTGGAGGTCACCCTCAGCTCCTTGCCCTGTGGCCCTCCCCTAGGGAAGCCCACAACATGCAGGCTTGTTTCTCCAAAGCCTGCTAGGGGACAGCCTGTGAGTGAGATGGATATCGCCATTATGTGAGCATGCACACGCCACCGTCTTGCTGCATTCCATTGGTTAGGAGCCAGTCACCAGTCCTCACCTCAGGGGAGAAAGCGCGCAGGGGTGAACCCCAGGCAGGGGGCTGTGGGTCACCCCGGGGTCTGCCTGCCATGCTGTCTTTTAGCAAAACATGACATTTGCTGGACATTAAGCCCAAAACAGGTTTGTTTTTAACATCTGAAGAGTTTTCAATTGAAGTCAGCAGGTTAACAGTCCACAGGCTTTATGAAGTTGCTTTGCAAGGCTCCAGCTGCACGACAGGAGCTGTGGGCATCCATCCCTTTCCTTTGCCAAAATGGTTGTCCCTCTTTGCAGTGCCCTGTCAGTCTGCTGGAGCCCTCCAGGGTGAGCATTCTTTTGGAAAGGTGGTTTTTCTGCTTGGTGTCACTGTTGATAGCTATCAACACGATGATAGTGGTCATCGTGTTGGCTCCCTGCCTCAAGAAAACTTACCTTGGCCTGTTGGACATTGCATACCTGAGGCATGTACCTAGGCTATGGATGTGAGGAGATGACAAAGGGGTGAGTGTCAGTCATCAGGTGGAGGGTGCTTGTCCACCCTTCCTGCCAAGAGAACATCGCTGTGTCCTATGCCAACTTGCAAAATGCCTTCAGGCTCCCCATGGCCCTAAGCCTGCCTCCCCAGTCTGTGGTAGATGCACTGGGCTCCCTCATTTCCTACTCACAAATTCCCTTTTGCTCAAGGTAGCCAGAGCTCAGCTCTACTAAAAATAAAATTCCTCACTGAGAGCACCAGGGCATGATGAGTGGATGCTGCTGACCCTCTGAGTTATGGACACTTCTAGGCACTATGAGATGAGTGATTCAGAATCATAGGAAGCAAAATTATTGGCTTCATGATCAGAAATAGCAGGTTTAAGATGAATAAAGCTTGTTTACTTACACATTAGCAATGAAAGCTAGGTCCACTCTTAGGCTGAGAAAGGATGTCAACTGGAGGGATTCACTTTATGAATATCCAGAGCCTCAAAGGTTCAACCTCTGGCTGAACTTAGAGAGAGGCTCTTACTTCTTTTTTTGTTTGTTTGTTTGTTGTTTGTTTGCTTTTTGTTTGTTTGCTTTTGAGATGGAGTCTTGCTCTATTGCCCAGGCTGGAGTGCAGTGGCACAATCTCAGCTCATTGCAACCTCCGCCTCCAAGTCCAAGTGATTCTTCTGCCTTAGTCTCTCGTGTAGCTGGGACTACAGCCATGCACCACCATGCCTGGCTAATTTTTTTGTATTTTTGTAGAGTCGGGTTTTTGCCATGTTGGCCAGGCTGGTCTCAAACACCTGATCTCAGATGATCTGCCCCTTTGGGCTCCCAAGGTGCTGGAGTTACAGGCATGAGTCCCCGCACCCGGCCTGGCTCTGATTTCTTAAGGGGTCCGTTCTTTGCCTTCTTGCTGAAGATATGCGTCTGCATACATAGACATGTATATGAAGACAAGCATGGCTTACACATATGCAGGATTACTGAGTCAGTAGTTTCTGGGCATCATTTTATGTGCAGAGCTGCTTGGTGGCCACTATTTTTTAAGACAGAGGGTGAAGCCGTATGTGATGTCTGTGGCAGACTTAATAAAGTGAATGTATTCCAGTTCTCGGTGCCTTGCGTTTTTTCCTTATGGGATTCCTGGTGCAGAGCGGTTTAGACATTGATTTTAGTTGGCCTTCTTTTCTGTTGTTGCCCATCTCCTCAGCCTGCAAATCCCAAAGCAATGGCCACTATTCGTGCCATCACCAAAAGTTTAAGTTCACTCTCGTTTAAAACCAGACCACTCTAGAAAACTTCTCAAAAATAATGTTATAAAAATAATATTGCACAAAAGTTCATTGTGTTTTTGCTGTTCTTGAAAAAATGTGATTAGGCCGGTCCTTGGGTAGTGGGATAATGGGTGACACTTTTCTGAATAAAACAAGTGAAAAGCTAAGATGCTCATGATATTTTGTTAGGGTAAGCAGTTATTCACGTAAAACAAAAACAACAACAACAACAAAACACTTTTGAGGATAAAAATATGAAGTAAAAACTGATTTTTTAACCAGAAAAATAAAACATAGCTACAATTGCATACATGCAAAAAATTGCAGTAAATTATCAAATGCGGGAGTGTAGGTTTCTGCTAAATTCCTATGTAAGGGAAGTGAGGCGTACGCTCTGATCGTTGGCACTTACCCCGAACCAATATGTTTTACCATGTTGCTCTTTTATACTCCTTTCTAGAGTCCTGGGGACAATGTACAGGCCGGGGGCCAGGACAGAGCCCAGCCCTCCTGCCTGCAGGGAAGCAGTTGTACCCGGTGACCTCTTTCATCCACCGTGGATCTGGATTTCTGGGCCTCTGCACCTAAGTAGACAAGACATGGCAGCCAGTGCCTCAGCTGCCCCTCCAGCTTCCCCTTTGTGAGTTTCCAGGTCCTGAATCCTGAAACTACAGTTTTTTTCCAGTCACTCTTCAGCTGGGCAAATTTCCACGTTCTTTAGGACCTACCAGTTCACCAGAACCGTGGATCATTTTCAGACAAACGATGGAATCTCATCTTTTCCAGCTGTCTTATCCTCCATGGGATTTTAAACCACCACTGGAATTGCAGCCGGGCAGGACCTAGCTGTTCCCTACTTACACCGGAAGCCTCGGTTTGTGCCATGCCTACACTGCCATTTCTCTTTTCCCTTCGCTGTGGCCAAATCCTATTCGTCCTTCAAGTCACAGGTACTCTCAACATCCAATCCAACTGCCAGCTTCCGCAGGGCTTGCCATTTGTCTCTGCCTTTAGGACACTTGCATAGACAATGTGGATTGGGATTGACTCAATAACTGGAAGGTATGTCTTCCAGTGCAAGAAGCAGTCAATCCAGAAGTCAAATGGTGATAGAGAGTTGATAGGTAAGTAGGTAGGTAGAGAGAAAGACAGAGAGGGAGAGAGACTTGCAGGTAAATTCGGGTATATAAAAAATTCCCCTTGACCCTGTGCATAGGGGTGGGTTGGGGGGGGACAAAGAAAAAGCCTATTAGCTCAACGAGTGGAGTATCTCAGGGACCAAGAACTTATGCTCAGAGAATCTTTTTCAGTGCATTTTCACAAAATTGCTCTCCCAACTTCTAAACATTGCATTGAATTTTTCATGATTTCTTTTCTAATCCCACAAAATGCCAGATTACCCAGGTGACAATTTAGGGATAGATATGAGGACCAAAACCTAGAAAATTTTCAAACAACTAAGAAAAATATACCACCCCAAGTAATTTTTATAATTATGCCAAACATATGTTTTATAATCCCAATATTTTAAAAATAGTATCTTATATTTAAATTCTAAGCGCGTGAAGGGATGATTCATCTGCTGTATCTTAATCTGTTACTGATGGTCTGTCTGAAGTTGACAGTGTGCCTGAATGCTTGGAAGGAACCCCCCTTTCCCTCATTGCCAACACACCTGCCCATGGTGGAGGTTCACTGTCTTTTCCTGCCTGTGGACCTGCCTGTTGTCTTCTGGGCGTGGTGTCTCCTTTCCCCTGGAGAACTGTCATCCTCATTCTCTGAGGTCTTGGAGAGACTCTTGTCCTGGTGCCATGCACCCTGGAGGCAGGGGTGACCCAGGCTAGGACAGTCATACCAGCCAGGCTCCCTCTCCTGGAAAGGATGTGGCCTGCCCAGGGCCTGCCCTGGATTCCAGCCTCCTTCTTGCTCCTACCCTATGTGGGGCAGGTGGGCCAGTGTGTCTCCCGTGCAGTGGGTGCCAGAATCTCTTCTATGAATTTCCATTTTCCTTAAATGATACAAAGAAACTTTCCATGACTTTCCATCCAAGAAACCGCACCCTGCTACCGGGCATTCTTCAATACTGTGCTATCTGGACATAAGGGTAAGTGAGTCCCTGTTCAAATGTTCTTTTGTTAGAGACTGGACTGTGAAAGCCTTAGAATAAAATAAGAAACACATATTTGTGGCCATATCCCTCGTCATTTGCAAATTACGAACTCCAAAAAGCCTCATTTGCTCATTTGTACTATTTATAAATATTTTAAAATTAACATCATCTTAGAACATTTCCTGACAGTTTTGCATAAAGTAATTGCTACATTCATAACATTACTTGCAGGATCAATTAATATAATTTAACTGATTATATAATCGGAAATATAAACATTATATTTTATATATTTTTGTATGCAAAACTGAAGAAAGAAAACTCTGAGTTACATCATTTGCTTTTGGAATAAAGTGGATTAAAATATCCCCTTCCGCTGAGGGAGGTCACTGACGTCCCACTCATCGCCACTCCACAATGGCCACTCTGTGGACAGTGACTCTAAGAGCTGCTGAGAACTGTGAGGCTCTGCGTGGGCTCCCAGACTCCAGATCCACCTTGCAGCAATCACAGGGAACGCAAGTCACAGGAGACGGGTGGCTGGGGAGCAGCACCCTGAAATGCAGGCAGAGCTGGGAATGACGTCCGTGTGGGCGGACTGCGCTGTCCGGATCTTGGACCTGAGAAGATGCTGGCACCCTAGATGAATGGCATCCTGGTGGAGGAAGCATGGATTCCAGAGGTCAACATGGAAGATGGCCGGTTAGAGCCAGCCCCATACACCAACCAGCCGCAAGAAACCTCGACGTGGGTAGAGTCTGACATCTGGGATTCCAGGGGCAGGTGTCACCCAGGCAGAGGGCCAAGCAGGCAGGCCACCTGGCAGGCATGTGGGCAAGCAGCCTGCCTCAGCCTCAGGCTGGGACTCAAGGCACAAGCCCCAGGCACCGGGGGCAGGTATAGACGGAAGCTGATGGTGGAGGCACTTCAGTTCTGGGCCCATTTGTCCAGGCAGAGAACCCAGCCTGGGAAATAAATGAGGCCCAGTCCCCAGAATGAGAGTGAAAAATGTGTGCAGGGCTGGGGAATGTGACAAGAGCCCATTTATCCAACTAGACAGCGAGGCAGGGAAAGAATGATGGCCACTTTCCAATGTGCTGGGCGTAAGCTGCTTCTTTTCCTCCTGTCTTGGGGCAGCCTTGCCACGGAGAGGGCTGAGGAGCCCAGCAGGGAGGCCTTGAATGCCCCCTTCACCCCTTTGGTGAGGAAGAAACGTCTGCCCCAGGGTTATGTAGGATCGTGCAGTACCTGACCTAGGATCAATGAGATGATGGGGGTTAATCAGCCAAACACACCCACACCTGGGGAGGAGGACACCAGGCCACATGGGGTCACAGGGGGATGCGTTTAGAGCAGTGAGCCCGCAGAGTTGTGGGGCAGTCTGGGTGGTCCCAAGAGGGCAAGGTGCCCCTGCTTCCTGCGGGAAGGTGTGACTGGTTTGTCTGAATGACTCCACGGGCTGGCAGGGACCTGAAACCCCCTGCTCAGGAATCAGTAGTAGCTGCCTTAGCTGTCTGATAAAGGGGGTTGTTTGGCAAGGGGGCCCTTCTGTGGGGGCAGCATCTAGAAGGAACTTGCAGTCAGGCTTGTTTCTACTGTCAAGGAAGCACATCACACTGAACCTGAATTTGGGGTCTCACAGGGGCATCGAGTGGGGTCTTTGCTGTGTGGAGAGGTGGAAGCAGAGGCCGGGCAGCCTCACAGGGCCAGCATCGTCACCCTGCTCTGACGTCTGACATCCGACCTCACCTCTAGTTTCAGGGCTCTTGGGCTCTGGGTTGGTGGCCACCCCCGCCTTGCACCTGCTTCCAGGGCCTGGCTGGCTCCTGGGTCAGCTCCCAGCTTCTCCCATTCCTACTCATAGCAGTGGCCCCTGCCCTGCCCAGGGTAAAGAATTCTGCTCCTAAACCTCACTCCTCATGAACAAGTTTCTGGATTCTGTTCTCCAGTTGGACCACCCTCTGGCTGCTGCAGGGCCCCCCACACGCGGCTTCCACAGACTGGAGACCTAGCAGGCTGCTGTCCTGCTGTCCTCAACCCAGGCAGGTCCACGCAGAGGCACCACAGGGGTTCTCTGTGCCACTTTATGGAGCAACACTTGAGAAGGACCAGGTAACCTGTGATATGAGGATGATGCAGGGAACTGGGGAGCTGGGCGGTGAGTCTGGGGAAAAGGGTGCAGGCCCAGGAATCTCTGAGTGGCCCCAGCTCAAGGTCAGCCCCAGACTCAGGATCTCAGGAACACAGAGCAGGAGCTCCAAGGAGGAAGTCTGGGCCCTCCAGCCTTGGGATGAGCTGCTCTGTATGTGGCCCTCAGGTGGGGGATCGGGGTCTTCAGCACCTGACTTACAGACTCATGCCATTCATCCATCCTTGACTCCTCCCACCAAAGCCCTACAGCCAGCCCAGCCTCCCCGGACACTGGGCTGTTTCCACTCATCCAGTCATGGTGAGTTTGGGCCATTCTCAAGCCCTTGCAAAGTGGTAGACAAAAGACTGCAAATACAAACAAGCCCTTGCAAAGTGGTAGACAAAAGATTGCAAATACAAACACATAGGTGTTCAGAGCCCCCCACCTTCTGACCCACCAATGGCAGAGGTAAGCCACGGCAGGCTGTCCTCACCCCGAGGGCTCTGGGGTGCTCCTCGTCCTGATTCCCTTCCAAGTCCTGTCTGGTTGGCCAACTTGCTGGAGAGCATCAGGCCTCTTCCCTCAGTCTTCTGGCCAGTAGAAGCTTGGTGCTGGGGGCTGCTGGGCCTGTAGAACCCCCAGTGCAGGTCCTCAGTTGGGCGTGGCTCCGTGGGGTAACTACCTGGTTTTCTACGCTACCCCTTACCTCCGTGGTGAGCTAGCTCTCTGCATCCTGCTGGCCCTGGGTCCTGGGAGCATGGACCCCAGGTCTCTGGTCCTGGTTACCTTCCAGATACCCCCAACTCCCCAGATACCCCTCACTTGTATTGACCGGGTGTGTGGTTCGGGGTATGTGGTTCTGGGTGTCTGGTTCTGCCACGTCACTTTCCTCAGGCTGCTCAGGTGGCCAAGACCCACTGTGTGGGAAGGCGGCTCCTCCCTCAGAGGGCCATCCGCAGCCTCAAGAGGCGAAGTCTTCCTGCCTGCCTCCCAGGAGGCCTCCCGGCAGGTGTCCTCACATGGCAAGCAAGCCAGAACCAATGGCAATTTGAAGGCAGGTGTGATTCAAATAAAGGACTTCATTAGCTCAAGTTTTGGATATTAAAACAATCAAGTTGAAAAATGTCAGAATAAATAGGTTTATAAATATCACCAGATACTTAGAATTAAAATTTGCACATTGACATTAGCTTATTTAATCTCAATAGCCACCCTATAAAATATGACCTAGTGTTATCCCTATGTTATGAAAAAGTGTATCCTCAAATATATAAAGCCCCTATGGATAGTATCTTACTGGTTAAAGAGAAAAACATCACTTCTGACTAGAGAAAGATTTCCCAGAAATTCATCCACCTTTGATTTGAAATACCAATATGGCGTTCTGACTCAAACGCAGATTCTATATTCACATAATTCCATTTCTCATTTCCCCCAAGCTAAGACTCACTGAATCCTCCAGTTTCCAAATCACTTGTATTGACAGCTTGATGTATGAAGAAATAAATAATATTTCTAGGGAGAAAATTAATTTTGAAAATAATTAAAGATGATTAGCTCCTCCTGGTTGAATACAAAAGCAGTTTCGTTTCTGCAACAGGTAATCCTGAGGGTTGGACACACCACTTCAGGGGCCAGAAAACTGAAGAAGACTAATTCTAATCACGTGAATTAAAAAAAAAAATCCTTTCTGAGTTGCTATTTATGGTCTGGGAGAGATTATTATGATATCAAATTTTCTTACTTACCACTGACAATTCTCTTAAAAGGAAGAAAAGAAAGACTGTCCTTGAAGTTGACTAACTCTTAGAATATCAAGCCTACTTCATTCTCCATAACATTAATAACTGATGCAGAAGCAAAACAGAAGAGTCTGAGTTCAGAACATTTTTGTCTAATGGAGGGGCACAGGGACTCATGTCATGCTTCAGGATACCTTGTAACCATTCCTGTTTTATTAGAGAAGATAATCCAGCTACATTCTCAAGGTGGGTAAGTCAACACAGCGAGGTGCCTTGGACAGAGCGTGCTTCCTGTGCTGGGAGCTCGGGTGCCTGCAGGCGTGGGCTCCCTCTGGTGCACCCTCTGCAGCTCCCCAGATAGCCAAAGCAATCTTGAGCAAGAGCAACAGAGTGGGAGGCATCCTGTTTCCTGATTTCTAAATGTATGACAAAGCTGCAGTGATGCAGTGTGGTACTGGCATAAAAACAGACATACACATAGATCAATGGAACAGAATAGCTACCCAGAAATAAATACGTGGACACATGGTCAACTAATTTTCAATAAAGGCACCAAAAAATCAAAATGGGAAAAGGATGGTCTCTTCAATAAACAGTTTTGGGAAAAGTGGATATCCATATGCATTAGAATAAAACTGACCCAGATCTTATACAGCACACAAAGATCAACTCAGAGGATTAAAGACTTAAATGTGAGACTTAAACCATAAAACTCCTAGAAGAAAACAGGAAAAAAGCTTCTTGACATTGGTCTTGGCAATGATTTTTTGGATATGACCCCAAAAGCACAGATCAACCCCAAAAGCAAAAATAAACAAGTCAGACTGCATCAAACTGAAAGCTTTTACACAGCAAAAGAAACAATCAATGAAATGAAAAGGCAACCTATGTGATGGGAGAAAATATTTGTAAACTATCTATCTAATGAGATGAGTCTTCAAAATATACAAGGAACTCATACAACTGAATAGCAAACAAACCAACAAAAGTAACTCAATTAATAAATGGGCACAAGACCTAAATAGATATTTCTGCAGTGAGGACACAGCAGTGGCCAACAGGTGCAGGAAAAGGTACTTAATGTCAGGAGTCATTGGAGAAATGCAAATCAAAACCACAGTGGGACACCACCTGTGATGGTTAGTGTTGAGAGTCAACTTGATTGGATTGAAGGATGCAAAGTATTGTTCCTGGGTGTGTCTGTGAGCGTGTTGCCAGAGGAGATGAACATTTGAGTCAGTGGACTGGGAGAGGCAGACTCACCCTCAATCTGGGTGGGCACCATCTAATCAGCTGCCAACGAGGCTAGAATAAAGCAGGCAGAAGAAGATGGAAGGCCAGACTTGCTTCGTCTTTCTCCCATGCTGGATGCTTCCTGCCCTCAAACATCAGACTCCACGTTCTTCAGCTGTTGGACCCTTGGATTCACTCCAGTGATCCGCCAGGGGCTCTTGAGCCTTTGTCCACAGACTAAAGGCTTCCCTAATTTTGAGGTTTTGGGACTCTGACTGGCTTCTTTGCTCCTCAGCTTGCAGACAGCCTATCTTCACCTTGTGATTGTGTGAGCCAATATTCCTTAACAGACTCCCCTTCACATATACATCTGTCCTATTAGACCTTTCCCCCAGACAACCCTAATACACCACCTCACATCTGTCAGAGGACGATTATGACAGAACAGAATGTGGCAAGTGTTGGTGAGGATGTGCCTAGTCATTTTGACATGTTAATAATTTCTTACTCAGATAGTCAATACTTCCCTCCCTTTTTTACACTGTAAACATAGAAAACATTAAGTTTTACGTTCTGTTCTTGATAATTCCAGTATATGCAAGCTTTGCAAATCCAATTCTCTAGTTTTTTATATTTGTGATGTATCTTGTTTCCTCCTGCAGGCTGTACTTTTGATTTATTTAGCTTAATTTTTGCATCACAGGCCCATGTCTGATGGAGCCCTATCTGTGAGGACACAGGGGACTGCACTGAAGGGGCTTTCTTCCAGACCACTCACTTTAGATTTTGACAAGCACCTGGGGACCCCACACCCTATGACTACCTTTCAATACTAACTTGAGGTTTTTTGGACCATCTATGTTGTGCAAATTCAGGTCAATAACTTGTGTGTAGCTAACAAGGTGGTTACAGAATCTCAGAGGAGATTCCCCACATACCCCCACCCAGGATGGGGTTTCTTGTCCTCCTTCCTGTAAGGGTGGATTGCTTTTTCTAGTTATTTTACTGAGAGGATAGTCCTTTCAGTCTCTGGCTTCATGGAAGAGGCTCCTGTCCAATGCCCCCTCCAGGTTGGGCCTGGGTTTTGTCTGCTGTTCTCCAGGCTCAAGGTCACCAGTGCTGGCAGGGGCCATCAGCACAGCTGTGGTTTCAGAGCCGGGTGATTCTCTAGTTTGCTCTTTCCCTTGGTATTTGCCTGAAGATTTTATCTACTTCTTGCCAATTTGATGCCATGTATAAGAAGATTTTTTTATTTATATTGTGTCCAACACGTTTAGTCACATTGAAGCGGGAGGATTGTCTGGAACCTCTAGTCTGCAATATTATAGAAATGAAAGCACCAGCCTGTGGCTCTCCCTGTTCCCCTGAATGTCACGGCGCTGAGTCTCATCTCACGCAGCTGCAGGTGACCTTCCCACGCTGTCATCCACGCACTGAAACTGTCACGGCCATTTGCTCCCTGAGGCTCCAGAAGGCATCCCAGATCTCACCCAGAAACTTGTTTCTCTATTTCTTATTCACACGTGTGCTCACCACTGTGCACATAAAATGGATCCACAGAGCACAGTGTTCGGGGAAAACAGACAAAACTATCATTGTGGTGCATTTTTGTGATTGCTAAGAAAGTATATATGTCCAGCGTTAGGGAATCAAAACAAAGAGGCCAAACCAAATAAAAGCATTACACTGACAAACAAAACCCCTGTGTTCCGTCTTTATGCCCAGGAAGCAGGGAAAGGACCGTCGGTCTTCCTAGGCGAGGCCCTCACACCTCACTGGCTACACTCTCAGCTTTCCCAAGAGAGTGACCCTCTAATTTTCAACTCAAGGGCAAAGTAGGGTAGTGGTTAGGGTCACAGATTCTTGAGCCAGTCTGCTGGGTTCAAATCCCAGCTCCGTCACATACTAGCTGCATGACATAAGGGATGCTAAGGAATCTCTCTATACCTTCATTCAACCACAGATGCACCTCTGCAGCTCCAGGCAGCCTCTGCTGTGGTGGGAGTCGCCCAGAATCCAGCTGTCCCCTCTACATCCAGACGCAGATGAAGTGCTGTGCCCAGGGCATGAGGCTCTGGCTTTCCTAGTAGGTGCCTTGTACAAAGGGGGTTGGGCAGAAGACTGGCCTTACCTGAGGGTATCCCACTGGCACCCTGAACTGGGACTACCAGCTTCTAGCACTCTGAGAAAATAAACATTCGTTGTTGAAGCCAGCCAGTGCTTCCCGCAGAAGTTCAGGGACATCAGCAGCCTATGGGGAGAACTCTGACCAATGGGGAAACTGGACAATGAGGAAGAAGCAGAGAGACAGAGGCCAGCTGTGTTTCCAGTCTAGCTAAGGCCTGCTTGGTAATGAACCATCTTTTGTTTGCATTTCTTCACTTTTACCTCATCCTTGCTGTCCTGGGAATAGACACCCAGTTCCAGCTACCACAAAAAATGCCAGGCGCTGGGTGGCTTCAACAACAAATGTTTGTTTTCTCAGAGTTCTAGAAGCTGGTATTCCTAGGTCAGGGTGCCAGCAGGAGGCGTTCTGGGGAGGCCAGTCTCCTGGCTCTCAGACCACTGCCTTCTCGCTGCATGTTTACGTGATCTTTCCTTGGTGGACACACATGGAAAGAGATCTCTCGTCTTCTTATGAGGTCACCAGTCTAATGGGATTGGGACTCCACATTTGTGACCTCATTCAACCTTACCTCGCATGTGTTAAGCCTCTCTTTAGTTGCTGTCAAGAAATACCTGAGGCCAGGCACAGTGGAACACGCCTGTAATCCCAGCACTTTGGGTGGTCCAGGTAAGTGGATCACCTGAGGTCAGGAGCTTGAGACCAGCCTGGACAACATGGTGAAACCCTATCTCTACTAAAAATACAAAAATTACCCAGGCAAGGTGGCAAGCGCCTGTAATCCCAGCTACTCAGGAGGCTGAGGCAGGAGAATTGCTTGAATCTGGGAGGTGGAGGTTGCAGTGAGCTGAGATCGCACCCCTGCGCTCCAGCCTGAGTGTTAGAGTGAGACTCCATCTCAAAAAAAAAACCCAAAAAAACAAAAAAACCTGAGACTGGGTAATTTATAAAGGAAACATGGTATCACAGTTCTGCAGGCTGTACAGGAAGCATGGCACCAGCATCTGCTCAGCTTCTGGTGAGGCCTCAGGAAGCTTTTACTCATGGGAGAAGGCAAACGGGGAGTAGGCATCTCACATGGTGAGAATGGGAGCAAGAGGTGGGGGAGGCGCCACACACTTTTACACACCCAGATCTCGTGTGAACTCAGAGCTCACTCATCACCAAGGCCATGGCCCAAGCCATTCATGAGGGCTCCACCTCCTGATCCAATCACCTCCCACCAGGCCCCACCTCCAACACTGGGGATCACAGTTCAACATGAGATTTGGGCAGGGACAAATTTCAAACAATGTCATTCTAGACATCCCATCCCCAAATACTGTCACCAAGATGGTTAAAATGTCAATATGTAAGTTTGGGAGCAGGCCATCATTCTGTCCACAGCAATGATAGCTTTTATCATCATATGCAGCCTTTTTTTTTAAGTTCCGTTTTCATTTGGTTATTTTTCTAATATTATGAGTATCTGAATCCATTAACCAAAACAAAAATTGGAATCTTCCTGAAAACTATCTACCTCTAACCTGCAGTGGCCACACCCAATCCTTGCTTCCCCCACAACCAAAGTAAATGTTATCCTGGACACAAGTTCATCATTTTTTTAATTTTCCTATTTATATATGATATTTTCCTAAAATTATATGCTTTATTTTCATTATTTTTAACTTTATAAAAATGATATATTCCCATGTGAATGAATGTGCACTAAAAGCGCCAATCCTTCAAGATGGGTCCTGAGGTGCCACCTGGGCCTGTGTTTTAAATTGAGACAAGCTTCCATTTGCCGACGAGACTTACATACTCTGAGTCTTCCAAAACCCACAACTCTACTTAAATTTGGGACTTCCAGAGCTCACCCTAACCATCCAATCAGAGGTCACCTGTATTGACAAAACAAGGCTCAGCTGTATCAACGAATCGGGACTCAACTGAGTCAATCAATCAGGACTAAGCAAGTTCGAATCCTACATTTACATAAAGGGACCTGATTGGAAACCTGGGCAGGAATTTTGCTATAAAATCTGAACCCTCTGTTTGTTCTCTGGAACACACCTTAGTTTAACACTGAAGGCTGTGTCTCCCTGGTTTGCAAACTATTCACTGGAATAGTCTCTTACCTCTAAATTCCTTTACAGAGAACTTTTGTTCATACCTGAAAGTAACCTTTTGGGACTTAATTGTTCACTCAATATAATATTACTACCATTAAGCCTTATTGAGTGTGTCATTGCATTTTTTTCATTGTGTTTGCTGTGAAATATTTCACCATGTGCCTATACCAGAGTTTATTTATCCATTTTACTACTGATGGGCATTTGGCTTACTTCCAAGTCTTTGCTATTGTAAACAGTGCTGCTAAGAACCAACTTCTGTCTCTAGTTGTTCGTAGTATGCTAGAATTCCCTTTGAGTATTCATCCAAGAGAGGAATGTCTGTGGATAGAACATATGGATAGTTGACTTTAGGAGCAGATGTTGAAGTGTTTTTTTCCAAAGTGTTTGTACTAATTAACACCCCACCACCAATAGGCCAGGAATTCCATGGATCCCCCTTCTCTCTACCACCTGGTATTGCAACTCTCCCTGGCATTAAACATGGTTTGATCAGCCAGGGAACTTTTCTTATCCAAGAAGTCAGGGCAGTCTTAAAGGGATAACACTCTCTCCCTCTCTCTGGAGATAAAACAGCTCTGACAACTATCCGGATGCACTGGGGGACGTTGCAAACGATCCAAACCAAAAGAACATTTAGCATGGTTCTGAGCAATGCATGACATGGATATTTGCGTAGAACTTTTGGACTAGCCTTTGTTAGGGTCTGGCAGTCAGAAAAGAATGAAATAGCCCATGCCCGCTGGGGGAATCACAATGTAGTTCCAGTTCTCACTGTGTGTGAGCACTGACGTCGCTCTCAGGATTGAGTAAAAGTCCATATGCATTTCCCCCATGATCTGCAGAAATGGCATGTAGGTGCAGGTCCCAGTGCTATCACTTGGAGATTGCGAGCTCCTCTGTGAATGTTCCCTCCTCAGTGTCTCCTCTCTAACGCACAGCATCTGTCTACGGGGCTGCAGAGAGAAGCAGGAGAGGTCACAGAGAATAAGGGACATTGTGAACCAGCTCCAGCACCCATTATTTCTTTGATGTCAACTGGAACAGAATTGTTTACATGGCATGATGAGTCAGTAGTTTATAAAACACTTATAGACACATGTTTGTCTAAATGGATTGAAGGCAAATTGGGTGAATTTGCTGTTACCTTGCTCTGAAAAAATGTGACCACCTCCTGCGGGTACCCTGTGGATTTGGAGAGAGTGGGTGGGGCTCCCAGGAAACATTCTTTGCCTCAGTGCACCTGTTCAAGCCCCTGACGCAGGGAAAGCAGAACACGCTGCCTCCAGGCCTTCACAGGGACTCAGCTATTTTTCTGTGGAGCATAAATCTCATTTCTTTCCTTGTGGCTGCCAGCACAAAACAGACTGTTAATAGCCAAAAATATCGAATTAATTTTGCTGTATTCATTTATCACAAAAAGTTTGATTTAGGTGTGTTACTTTGTGAGTCTCTATGTGTTTCATTTCCAGCAGGTGTAAACCACTCCATAGTTTATACCTCAGTGTCAACATACAGGTAATTTAACATCTAACAAAATAACATACTGATTAATGCAAAGAAAACGACCCTTCTCAGAGCAGGTTCTTACCTCATCTTGTATGAATGACCACTGTGCATAGAATTGCCTGTTAGACTGGCAGGGAACGGGGTTAGCAGGAGCCATTTGAAGAAAGGATATTAACAATGGACCTTTTACCACAGATTTCCCAGGCACGAGTCCCAAGAATTAAAGAGGAACGGTGGATACAAAGCATTTCTGTAGCAACCACTGGAGACACGCAATATGCTAAGAACCCAGGGGTTTCCATCAGAGCACAGGTCTATTGTCTATTTTATTGTTGTTGTTGTTCTCAAAACCAGGGATAGATTGATGTAATAAGATGGAGAACTATTTTAAGAACCAAGATGGTAGCTCTGAGAGAACTCAATTAAGCCACTACTAGAGCAACATCAACTAAAATTCATACCCTTCATTACTCCTGTGACCGAAGCAGGTGACACAGAAGGGCTCTGCCATCTCTACCCTGACTCTGCCCAGGCAGCTTTTCATCAGCACTTTGCATGGCTCTAAGGCGCTAGCAGGTTCCTGACTGGCAGCAAATGGGCCCAGGAGCGACTCCGGCACATGGCGGCAGCTGGGGCCCACAGCACTGCTGCTCCCCTCAAAGCCTTGCTTCACTTTGAGGATGCCTGAGCCAGGTCCACATTGGCTGTGCTGCTCAAACAGAATTTGCTGAAAAGATTTGCAATTCAATATGCTTCCTTCAAACTTGACTGGGAGACCAGATTCTATTTTCGTGCAAAGGCAGGATGCAAATGACTGCTGGGGTGGCCAGGCCGCCTGGGGAGCTTTTGGAGGCCTTCTGCAGAGAGCACAATAAGTCACTGCTATAAATCTCTCAGACTCAAATAGCTCAACAGGTGGAAACCGCATTTCCACCAAATGCTTCGCCAGAATTCACTCCCTGCCAGAGTCTGTCTTGTGTCTAATAAGAGAAAACAAGAATGTTTGCATCATTTTTCCCCCTACAGAGCCATTACAGATAGAGCTTTCTATTCTGAATGCTGAGTAGCGTCTTCAGGTCGGGTGCAGGGGACCATCCCAGGACAATGCAAACCCCAAACCATCTGGGAGTCCGGGTTCTGCAGGCTGTGTTGAGGGTAGGAGGCTTCCTGCCATTCTGTGCAAAGTAGCATGTGCAGAGTGGAAGAGAAAGGGTGACTCTCATCCTCATCCACCCACATGAACATCTCCAGCCAGTTCTGAGCTGTTGGGCCCCAGAGCATCAGGAGTGACTGTGAAGATTCGGGGAGAGGAACTGCTGCAGGCAGCCAGAAATTGGAGGCTTCAAAGGATGAATCAATCCGTCAAAGCCCTTGCATCTCAGTCATTTCAGGCGAGGGGAGCACGCCTTGAGCTGGGGCAGGACACTGTGTCATGATTCCTTAGGAAACATGCATTTCTAAGAGGGGAAGCCTTGCTGTGTAGGAAGTGGAAGCCTAAAGGCCGAGGGACAAGGCATGGATGGATTCCCTTTGATGGTGCTCGGAGGCCCTGATTATGAATGATCAAGCATTTGTCCCTGAAAACTCTATGATTTGAGTCAGGCGAAGGAGGAGAATGATAAGCACATCCTTGGCTGAACTTAGAATCACCCAAGAGCCCTAAAGCGTGCAGTGCACCGAAGGCTGTGTCCCAAACCAACTGCACCAGAAACTCTGAGGTTGGCCCCGGGCATATATCAGGGTTTGCCAAGTTCCGCAGGTGTCTGCACTGCACAGCCGGGGCTGAGAGACATGAGGTCCTCAGCAGATTCATCCTTTAAGATGACAATTCTGCACATCTGCGCCCTCATCCTGACAGTTTCCTCGCAGGGTCCTCTGAAGTCATCCATCACCTCTGCACTATTTTTGTCTTTTCCTTCACCTTATTTTCTAAGAAATCTGCCCAGATATGACCTATACATCCCCAATTTATCCTCTGCAGTGTAAAAGCTCTCTGTACCACCACCAAAATAGATGCATAATTTGCTATTCAACATGCAATACACGCTTCATCTATGTCTTTATATTTCTTCCTTTCAGAGTGGTAGCTGTTTCTTTTTTCTCTTCTATTTTTGTATAAAAGATTTCTATTTTTTTGCATCTAATGGAGGATATCAAACAGTTTTAAGCTATTCTCTTTTGGTTCAGTTTGTTCTCAACTTTAAGAGGTCTGGTTGTTGCCTGAGTTCCCAGCATGTTGTTCCCTTTCTTTCTGGCTAGAGATAACTTCCTCTGGTGACATGTGCTTGTGTAGCCTGTATGTTTGTGCTGGTTGGCTTGTGTTAGTCATTCTTAAATTTGGACTCATGAGGCTAAGCATTGGTCAGCAGAGGAAGAAGGAGCTCGCCTTGCCCCACCTCTCTGCTCCTCCACTCACTGATCACACTTGCTCTTCAGATTACCTCTCAGTGCAAATTGATGTGCCCAACCCCCAGCCAAGTTCAACTCTTGTTTTCACAACGTCCACCCACCACAACCGCAGGTCTAAAAAGACACCCTTTTCTGTGCTCTGGCCTGGCTTCCTGACTGGGTGACCTGCCTGTACAGAGCTCACTGTGGAAGTCCGTCTCCAGGATACTCCTGGACACTGCCATCTCCTTCCCATCCCAGCGCTTCACACAGGAACTTCATCCATCAGATGCAATGTTCTTCCCAACCTCTCAGCTTTACTTCTTTCCTGGGTGCTGATCATCTTACCAAAGCCAGGAAGACATGGAGAGACTTAGGATGTGACGGGAAATATAACCTCAGGGGATGCATCCAGACCCAGATATGGAAGACCCCTACCCAGTGTCCCCATGATCTCAGACTTCTGCTTTCTGGATCAGGAGGCCCAGAGAGGCGGGAAGAGCTTGTGAGGACCTGTTGGTCCTCTCGTGGAGGAAGATGGCATCACATATTCTGGCAATGGGGCAGTCAGCACGTTTTTTTAACTGATCAGAGTTGATGGCCATGGAACTTAATGCCCGCTGGCAACCTGGCTTTCAAGGTGAGTTTTAGATTAGTATGTCATTAGTGGCCAGGACTCAATTTCCTGAGCATCCGAGCTGGCCTAAATATTTGCAAAGCCTAGATTAGGAAGATATCCTGGCCATCAGTGTCCGTGAAATGAAGTCACAATTTAAGGAGATACAAAGTCACATAAGATGTGTGGCTTCTCCCACAGGGCAAGAGTAAGGACCCTCAAAGAGAGACAATGGAAGGGTACCTGGTGTGCTTCCATTCTCCTTGGCAGCAGGGCAGGCCTTGCCCTTGGAGGCCTCCTGCTGTGCCCTGCACCTTGCCTTTCCTGGTGGGTACTAGGGAAGCCCTGCCCCTGGGGTCTGACCATGGCCACGAGCAAGAATGCCAGACAGGCAGGTGCCCCCAAAACTCTGCAGCTAAGCTTGGTGAGGATGCAGAGGGTCTGGGCCCCACCAGGTGGTGTGAGAGGTGGTGGGTGAAAACACCAAGCCTAGTCTTGTACTGCGCTGGGATTGTTTCTGAAACAGAAGCAGAGGGATCTAGGGCTCTGGAGGCTGAACGAAATCAGCTCTGGAAGAAAGGATGAATGACACTTGGCCATGGTGCTTTGCTGTGCTGCAGGAGGGTCAGGCAGCATGGGAGACAGAGGGCCAGGCCCAGGCTGCACTTCTCCAGGTCACCTCCAGCTGTGAACGGGGCGTGCAGGGATGGATGCAGGAGAAACAGGGAGCCCCCCTGCCTGCAGTGGCTCAGGCTGAAGATGCATTCCGAGCACATTGTCCTGTAAGCGCTCATCCCAGGAACTCCAGCCTAAACCTCGCCTCTGTGTAGCCCTCGACTGCATCCTGCGGCCCCTCCAGTGCCCACCTGAAGGCAGGGCAGGGTCTGCCACTGCACTGGGGACAGGCAGCTTCATGTCTCTGCCCCTCTGGGCATGGGCATGTGCCCAGGTTCCCTACCCATCCGGCCCCTCCTCCAGGCCTTGGGTTCTGGCTCTGCTCCATGGCTGCTGGGCTCCTCTATAGCCTGCCCGTCCTCTCTCCCTCCCTTCCAAATGCCTTCTATGGTCTCCTTCAACATGGATCTTGTCTCTTCTAAGACACCTACTCTCGGGAAGAGGAAAAGAGAGAACATGTTTGCTTTGTCCCTATAATCATAACCATGTTTCTTTAAATAATCTGGAAAAGAGACTTGGAAGATCTTTTTTCAGAAAGGGGAGAAATCAAAGCGTACCTTGTCTAGAAAGTGCTGGTTACAGTAGCGAGTGCTGGAGCGGGTCAGCCTGTCCGTTTTGGAGGGAGACATTCCTGAGATTATGGTTCTAGGGTGGCTGAACAGGGTGAAAATCTCAACTCCAGGGTCCAGGGGACTTTCATCCCAGAAACATAGCAGGTAGCTTTAGCGTGGGCGGTTAGTGACTTCCAGGTGGGATGCAGAGCTGGACCCCGGCGGGGCCTGAGTCTGCCCATCACCACTGGGAATGAACCGGAGACAGCCTGTGACTGAGCCCTGATGGCAGATCCATTCCCGAACAAAGCCTGGAGCCTCCTGCAGCCGCGCTCCGTGGAGCCTCCCTGGTGACTGCTGGAGATTGGCGGATCCTGTGGAGTGTGTGATGGTGTTTTAAGTAAGAAGCCAAGGATGAGAGAAGGACTCAGACCATCTGGGTGTCTCTGTTCTCCATGTCTGGAGAACCCAAGCAAGGCCTAGGAATCTCTGAGCAGTGTTGCCCAGATTGAGCCGGGCCAGAGCTCAGAGGAATCCTCACACCCTCAGTGGGAATGGCAGGAAGTCGTGACAGGCATCCTCTGCCACCATTTTCCTCAGACATACCCCCTTTAGGACATGATGTGGAGCCATTTTCCATGGAAAGTAAAACACAACCCTTCCCGGCTTTGTGGGGACCAGTTGTCTCTCTCTTCTTCATGCTCTTTGACCCCTCACCTTTGACCCTCTGTGGACAACTCCCCCTGTCCCTAAGCCCCCAGTCCTGGTCAGCAGCGGACAGGGCAGAGGGACCTACATTCCTGGAACCCTCTCTGCCCACACAGATCTATGCCTTCTCAAGGGAAAGCTTCATGAAGTGTTGGGTTGCCTTCCGTTTTTGCTGACAGTTTTTGTAGCCACAGCAGAGAAGGCTGCTGCCCTCCCGAGGCTGGGGAAACCGGGTCCTGATCTCAGTTTGGCTGAAAACATTCTCAGGGTCCTGTTCTTAGCCTCTGTCTCCTCATCCCCAAAAGAAATGGATGATTAGTCCATCTCTAATTTTGCAGAACTGAAATGCTTTGGTTTTTTTAATAACCCTGCCAGGGACGGCTGTTGTGCCTTGCTGCCCGACTGGAATGTGAGGGCAGGTGGCTACCTGAGCATCCGTCAGCCCAGCAACCAGGGAAGCAGGGAGGGTCTGCTCTGCCTCTTTATAACCTGGGACTAAGAAGAGGTGCTGCCTGCTGCTCACACAGGGGAATAGAAATGCACTTCCCTGAAAAACCCGCAGCCACTGGGTGGAACCCACAAAGCCTCCTGGGCCCTCACGTGTTGAGGTCTCCTTCTTTACCAGCCTCTGCCTTTCACTCCTGTGGGCACAGAGAGATGCATGTGTGCCCTGAAAGAGGCTCACCCCTCCTTCCCAATGCAGAATCCCACCCTCACACCCCTTCCCATATTTCTATTTCCTTATCATCAGATTCTCCTTTATTTTACACTCTTCCTCTGCATAGAAGGAAGTATCTTTTCTATCCTTGAAAGAACAAGCACAGTAAATTAACAGGCCAGCAAAAAACAAACCCCCACCCTCTGCTCCAGATATAGCACTGCCTGGGGAAGAGGCTTCTCTGCCGTCAGGATAAGACCCAGCTCCTCAGTGTGATACAGCTTACTCACATGCATACCTTGCCCCCCTCTGAAGTCTGGTATCTACAGCTCTTGCCCTGGGAGGCTGGGTTGGTCCCCTGGCCTTCCATAAACGGAGTGTGCTTGGTTCCCAGAGCATCTGCTCCCTGGACACTCCCAGTTTCGCTGCACCCTGTGTTTCAGGAAGCACCAGGGGTTGTCAGAAGCCCTAAGCACAATCTTCCAGCTCGTTAGGGCACAAACTTTCAAGAGTGCAAGTACCACAACAATTGATAGGATGGTCTCTCACACAGTTTGAATGCAACCCCAGAGAATTGTATAAACACCTTACCACCAATCTTTTATGAATACAATAATTATACTCTGAGTTTAGCACCTCATAATTTAGTCACAGAATGTGTTTTCTTAGAGTGAGAAGCGGAGGTAGATGATTAAGGCTATTGTCGCCATCATGTTGTGTTTCTAGCTTTTGTAGACCTAAATAAAATACAACCTTTAAATCATTCTTTCTTAAGAATCCAGAATCAGTGTTACTTAACCAGATCTTTAGCAAAAATCCATTAGAGGTTAATGACAGAGTAGATGAGCGAAATCTAACGCTCTCACAGATAACAACTATAAAATCTGGACCCCAAAAACCAAAATGTAAAAATGCAACTCCCTGCAGGCCCTGGAGAACATGCAATGCACAGGAATGTGGAGGGGAGTCTCTGCAGGAAAGCCAATCTGCCGGGGCTTAGGTCTGTGAGTCTGCAGGTTTTTCACTGAGGACACTCCACAGTTGGTGCAGGTGGAGTGTTGGAATGACAACTCAAGCCAGTAGGATGATGACTGAGGATAGAGCGTGGAACTGGCATTCTACATTTAGCCAGAAATCAATGGGGAAATCATGGCAGGGAGCAGTCACAGCAAGTGATGGTGCCTCAGCTCTGGGAGTCTGTGGCTTACCGCTAAGGTAACATGCATCAGGACGCACGGGGATGCGGAAAAGTAGGACTGAACGTTGAAATAACAGCTGAGATTTCAGCCGCCTCTCCCCGCAGAAGAAGCAGAGAGTGTGGTTTGATTCCAGGCAAGTTAATTGTTTTCCAAAACAAAAGTCTCCCTACAACACAATACTCATCATGCCCAGTATCCAATTATCCTCACAATAACAATAACCATACAATGGAAAATGTGGCTTGAACTCAAAAACAAAATGCAGTCAATACAAATTAACACTGAGATGACACAGACGCTGTAATGAGCAGACAATGACTGTTAACAGGTATAAATATATTCAAGGACTTAAAGAAAAATATAGGCACAATGTCTAAACAGATGAGACTCTCAGCAGAGACACTGACAATACAACAAAAGAATCAAGTAGAGATTTGAGAGCTGGGAAACTATAAAAAATCAAATGAAAACTAACTAGCAAGACTTAACAGAAGGTTGTAGACAGAAATAAAAAGAGTCAGCAGACTTGAAGATAGAGCAATAGCAATGATCCAATCTAAAGAATAAAAAGGAAAAAATGTTAAAAATATGCAACAGAGCCTTAAAGACACTTATGGAAGCATCACACTGACTAGCATATGTATTACTGGAGTTACACAATGAGAAGAAAGAGGATTGGGCAGAAAATATATTTCAACAAATGATAGCCAAAGATGGCAAAGAACATTGATTTATAAACCTATGAAGACTAACAAATGTTGAGTGGGGTAAATGTTAGGTTGGCACAAAAATAATGGCAAAAAACTGCAATTACTTTTGTGCCAACCTAATACAAAGAAAACCACAATGGAGCACATCGTGGTCAAATTGCTGCATTCCAAAGATAAAGAGAAAATCTTACAAGCACCCAGAGAAGAAATGCAACACATCACATGGAAGGGAAAAAATATGTACAAACATAAGGTAGCATTCTCATGAGAAATGTTTCAGGTAAGAAGAAAATGGAACTCCATCTTTAAAGTGCTAAAGGGAAAAAAAATCAAAACAGAATTTTATATTCAATGAAATGATGCTTCAAAATTAAAGGTGAAATAAATGCTTTTTTTATAAACAAAATTCGAGAAAAGTTGTCAGCCACAGACTGTTCTAGCAGTCCTTTAGCAGGAAGGAAAATGATGGCAAACAGTATGTGTGTATGTGTGTGTATATATGTGGTGTGTGTAGTGTGTAAATTTACATACACACATACATACACTACACATACCAGTAATTGTAATCCTAAGAAAACAAGAGATGCTATATCAACACCATGCAAAACAGGGCTTAGAAAAAGAAGTAAGACTAAAACTAAGAGAACATTTCATAATAATAAAGATATCAATACATCGGGGAGACCCCACAATTATAAATGTTTGTGCCTAATAATAGAGCTTCAAAATGCAGGAAGTAAAAACTGTCAGAGCAAAAAGAACAAACAGACAAATTGCAACATGCTATCAGCTAAAAATAAATGTGAAGTTGCGTTAGTGGCTGAGATGTTCAATGAGATGCCAACTACAGGTGCCAGCACGTCGCAGGTTCTCCATTAACAAAGATTCCTTTCCTTCCCTTGCTCTGGTTGGGAAACATGTTCTTCACCAAGCACCTTAGATTTCTCATGTGCACCTGAATGTGCCGTCTCTTTGCGGTCTCCAAAGCCCCCTTGGAATGGAACCCGGTGCTCATCCAGGCTTTATCACAAGAAGCTGAGGGCAGAACTGTCTCTGACTCATGCGAAGCCCCTTAGCCAGGCTGTGAAAAATTCATAACTAGAAATTGTGCCTTGCCTTTCAAAGCTTAATATTCTTTACACTTGACCTTTAATATTCTGGGTTTTTTTTTTTTCCTTTCCAGATTCTTAATTCTGAGTCCATTTACCTGAACTGCATGATTAGATTTTTCAAAATGATAATGTATTCTACATTGATACGAGGCAACACAGACGAATGCAAGTTTGTGATTAGAAGGACGGAAATTGTCTCACTTCTGGGGTTTTGTTCTCAATTTGAAACTTAACAAATGGAATGCTGAATGGAATCGTGAACTCCTAGGACTGTGGATTACTGACTTGACTCATGTGTTGTTACTCACCTGCTTGTTGGAATGATGTGTCTGTCGGGTCCAAGGCGGGGTCGGGAGTGCTGAGTAATCCAACCTTGGTACCACGTCTGTGCATGGTTCCTCCCGCAGGCCAGGCTCTGTGCTTTGCCTTCATCACTAGCACTTTGCAGGACATGGGCTGGCCAAGGAGTGCCCCCTGCCCTCCCCACCCCAAACTACATCTGCTGGCCTTGGCCTCATTCTAGTCACAGCAGAATTTTTAGACACTCCACTCCATCCAGGCCTCTGAGGTCTCTCCAAGGTGAGCGTCACTTGCTCTCTGTGGGGCTGAGGAACAAAGGCCCCTCCCTTGAATCCCGGGCCATTCTAAAGAATCAAAAGGCAGGGGCCCTACAGTGGACGAATGGCAGCCCCAACAGAGATGTGCCACATCCTGACCCCCACCCTGGGTCTCGGAATGTGGTCTCACTTGGAAGCAGGGTCTGTGCAGGTATAATTCAGTTCAGGGCCTTGAGGTGACATCATCTTGAATTTAGGGCAGACACTGGATCTAATGACTGTGTCCTCATATGAGAGGCGGGGGAGATTTGAGACCCACAGACATGGAGGAAGGACAGCTATGCAGAGACAGAGGCAAGGACCAGGGTGACATGCCCACAGCCAAGGGGCCACGGAGCACCAGGAGCCACCAGAAGCTGGGGGGAGGCAAGGAACGGGGTCTCCCTCACAATCGCAGAAGGAGCCTTCAGACCCATGAGAAAAATGCATTTCTATTTTTTAACCAAGAGTGAAGTACTTGGTTGCAGCAGGCACGGAAATGAATGCAGGCGCCACCATCATCTTGGGGTAGAGGTTCCAGCCCCTTGGCTCTCCTGGGGACAGCCCTTGGGCTGCATTTCTCCCCCCACGGGGCAGTTGCAGCTCCTGGTACCCTGGTGGCACTCCACATCCCAAACACTGCCTGTTTTCTTCAAAAATGAGTGCCCACTGTCTCAGGCAAACTAAAAAGACAGGGACAGGCCCAGCCACAGTGCCCCTCTTCATCTCCCACTGATGCTGTCATCCAGCGTGGCTGCCCTGGAGGGGCAGAGCAGGTGAGGCTTGGTGGCCTCAGGCCGTCTGGCCTTGTTGTAGGGTTTCTGCAAATGGATTTTCCAGAGATCGCCCTGGCATACCGTTGAGTCAGGTCGGCGAGGAGAAGCTGGCAGGGTGTTGATGTGGCTGGCCTGAGCACTCTGGCCCCAACTCTAATCTGGGCTCTGTGACCGCCTTGCTGGGTCGCCTTGGGGTCACTTGCTCACCGCCTGGGTCATTCCTTTCCTCTAGTGTCAAATATGGGGCTTGGGTTCCTCCCACTGCGGAACAGTGTGGCTCACTGTCAGCCGTGCTCACCGACCAGGAAAGTTCCTGTTGGAATAAACACTGTGCAAAGCACTTCCAGAATCAAAAGACCAGAAAGTGCTGAGACAGCATGAGCTACCTGTCTAGCAAGGATGACATAGAGTAGAAGCTGTGTCTGGTCCTTCATGGGCACGGTGGGAGTGAACGGTGACCCCTTGCTGTTCTGTGCCCTTGAAGTCTTTGGGTGCTTGTGATGACTGCTTCAGGGAAGTCCAGTTCTTGTGTTGCTCCTCAGAGATGTAAAAGCCAGTAAATGTTTTCATAGTTTGGCAAGACTGGTCAAGCTAGTGTGAAATATTAGATTAATTTCTAAGGTAGAATCAACACACCAAATGTTAAGTGTGAGTCTAGATTAATTTATATTTAAAAAGAGTAAAACATAATTTTCAGCACTTATAGAAATTGGAATGAAGAAACATCTTCTGGAATTTTGTAAAGCATGAGCGGCTCCTTCATGAGCCTTTGCAGACTGGTCTCTGACACTGTCCTAGTTCACAGGAAGAGTCCCCCTTGTCTGTTCAGAATAAAGAGGCGAGCAGCTGAACTCCAATTCCCACCATTTACAAGGTGGTTCAATCCAGGAATAGAGATTCCAAAATTATAAAACTGTTGGTTTGGATCATCTGAACGCCACTTTTTTCCTTTTTACATAATAGTACACTGTGGCAGGACTGCATTGCTGAGATTCTGCCATCTAAAAGGTGGTAGGAGGCGAAGGTGTTTTTATTTGCCTTTTCCTTCTTCTTGACCAATTAAAATACTAAATATAAGACAGCTTGGGCACATTGTCCAAGTTCAAAATACTCTCCAAATTTACCCATCCTCTTCCCCAAATGCCATAAGTTTCAATAAAAAGAGAGATAATTTAAGATGATAAGATGAGGTCTGCACATATCTCCTGCTCTTCCCACCCTCAGCATCTGCTGATAGCTGAAGGAAAGCCAGAGGTGAGGTTGCTCAGTGCCCCATTAGCTCACAAGTGCACTGTGCTCACCCAGGCACACTGCGCACTTAGCACATTGACCAAGACTCGCAAATGAGCCTACGTGAGTTGAAGGAAAAGGTCTAATGGAGCTGTGGACTCTCTGGTTTTCCATGCAGGCAGCAGATTGGGTGTGTGCCCTTCCTGTTTGCCATGGTGCCTTCTATGCATCCAAACACACGGCATTGGCCAGGCTCAGTGGCTCACACCTGTAATCCCAGCACTTTGGGAGGCCAAGGTGGGAGGATCCCTTGAGCCCAGGAGTTTCAGACCAGCCTGGGTAACATAGGGAGATTCTGTTTCTACAAAAAAGACAAAAATTGGCAGGGCATGGTGGCACATGCCTGTGGTCCTAGGTACTGAAGAGGCTGAGAAGAGAGGATCACCTGAGCCAGGGGAAGTCAAGGATACAGTGAACAGTGATTGTACCACTGCACGTGAGCCTGGGTGATGGAGAGAGACTCTGTCTCAAAAAACAAAAACAAAACCAAATTTGTACAAATATTATTAATATACAATATTTCATTCAAATATACAACAAAGAGGAATTGTCTCACTAAGATTTGTTTGAAACATCAGTGAAAGTCATCTATGGAGATACTACCAGTTCTAACTTGAAGACGCTGATGGGTCCCGTGGGGGATCTGGCTTCCTGGAGTTGTCTCTTTTCCACTAAAGGTATATCATACAACTTACATCAAGAAAAGGAAGCACTGGATGCATCTTTGGTTTTAATTTTTATGGCTCTGTTGTTGTCTCTCTATTAAGTACTAGATGATCCTGGGATTTAGAATCCCTTCTTGGTTTATATCAAGAAAACCATTTTCTTTATCCCAACATGGATCTTTTCTGACCATGCTTGATGACCCATTCTGGGCAACACTGATCTGTGCTGGAATACACCCTACGTCTTTTTGCAGGAATAATTGACTTAGTAGCAACCGCTATCGATGTTCCTAGTATTCATCTGTATCTAGATGACAGAAATCTTTACCCTTCCGGGTAAGCATTGAATAGAACAATCTGCTTTATGAGACATTGTGAGCTGGGCCACATCCATCACCGGTCATTTGGAAAGACTTGAACTTCAGGATTACTGGCTTCCACTGCTGATGACATGTGGCATACTGGGATGTTTTTTTTTCTCTTTAAGGAGCTTTTGATTCTGATTTTTTTTTCCTGCACATTTCTCTCTGTTCATCAGGAGGATGTGATTCTGGAAGTTTCTCCCGAATTGGCAGCTCTTTTAAAGATAGCCGTTGATCACTGCCGACAGGCCTGGGTGAGCAGCTTGTCTGGGCACCACACTGGACCACAAGATAATGAATTGGCCTCATCCTCAAGGCCAACTGCGTGGAACCATGGCGACGCTTTGCTGGCCTGTTTATAAACCAGTGAAGTGGCAAAAAGCTGGCACCAGAAAACAGGTGGTTGGCTGGTATTTGTTTTTTAAATGTGTCCAGAATTAATTGGCTTATATATCGGTTGGCAGTGGGTCTTGACGAGATGCTGTAAGATACAACATTGAAAAGCAACTCCCCACTGTGCCTTCTGAACACAGACGGCAAATATTTGTGTATTCAATGGATTTGCAGCTCATAATCTTCTATTAAACTGCATATCCCAATCCCATCTGGAAAGTTCAAAAGAAAACTATTTCATAATTATATGTTCAGCTGATTGTTCTTTGTTCTTATTGTTTCATAGATGGGACTTTTGTGACAATCATCAGCTTGTTTACAAATGTTTTTAATTAAAGCCGAGAGATGCTGGGAATCGGGTCTTGAAATAAACAGCTTGCCACTTAAAAGGCTATTCCTCAAATGTTTGACAGGACAAGAGTCATTTTGGTAAATTCTATTCTGCTGGGAGTGAGGAGAAGGAAGAAAGGAGGAAAGAAAAACAGAGAGGAATGGAAGCAGAGAGGGGAGAGCAGGACAGCCCAGGGACACAGAGGAGGTCCGGGAGGTGGGAGAAGGCCAGGGGCCTGCTGCAGTGGAGCCTCATCCCCACTCACTGCGGTGCCTTGACAATCACATAGATACAATCAGCTCAAGTTGGCAAGGCTGCAGCTTGTGTTTTCATCCAAATCCACAAACTGAAAGGAAATGACTTTCCGGCTCGTGGGCTGGGCCAGGGGATGCTGTTTACCAGTTTCTCTGTCTGGTGGCAGCTTTTTCTGGGTTCGGCTGGTCCAGACCCTGGCCTGTGCCCATGGGAACTCTGGATGGAAGAGGCTGCAGACACATCCAAGCATGATCTTGATGAAGATGCTGCACTCTTCTTGGCTGGGCCGGTGCTGTGGACAAGGGGAGCTCAACGTCTGCCCTGGAATCCATCCTTCTTCTGGACAGAGCCTTGCACAGTTGACCCCGTCATCTGCCAGCCTGGTAATACTCATCTGCTCAGCATTTGGTCAATTCTCCTCTCTCTGCATGAGCAGAGGGGTTGGTGGATAATTTAAATATTGCTTCTGTTTGGTTTCAGATGCAGCTAATGGTTCTACAGGGTAGTCTTCCAGGCAGACTGAGTTTCAGCTCATGTTAAAGCTGGCTCTACTCTCTGGCCTTGAAGAGAGGGACAAGGGCCAGAGATATGCAGGTAGAAGGCAAAAACCAGGCTCGGATGGCAGAGGGAAACTGAGAAGAGGCAGCGTGAGCAGGCGGTGAGGCAAGCTTTCCTGAGATGTCTTTATCAGCATGTGTGTCTTGCCCTCGCCAGTGACACAGCAGCTCCTGGGTCTCCCATCACTCTCCCTCATCTTGCTGGAGCACATTTTCACACACACCGTCAGAGAAGCATGTCAGGGTCCTCACCTCACCTTCCAGGAATGTGAACACCTTCTGCACCTCTGGTGCTGGGAAAGGTCCCAGGAGCACTGTTGGGGATCATCATAGACACAGCAGACAGTGAGTTTCCTTCACAGCCTGCCCTTAGCTGCAAATAGACATTGCACGTGTTCAAGATGGTGAACAGACAGTGGACAGGCAGGCTGAGCACAGAGCCTTGGCTCCGGGGAGCACTGCTCACTCCATCTCAGCAGCATCACCATCTCAGATCCCTTTAGGTTGTGGCGATATCGGGCCCTTATTTTCTGATCTCAAATATAAAGCATACATGCTGTATAAGCAGCAGACATTAGAGAAATATGGAGTAAAGAATGACCTTCCCCCAAAGTGAAAAGACCATGAAAAGCCTTCCCCTAAGTGATCTTGCTTCAGTGCATAGTTTCTCTCTCCACGGGACACACACATGCCACACGCACTTTTCTTTTTTCTGTTTTCTTTCTTTCATTTTTTTTTCATAGCCTCACTCTGTCACCCAGGCTGGAGTGCAGTGGTGTGATCTCAGCTCACTGCAACCTCCACCTCCCAGGTTCAAGCAATTCTCCTGCCTCAGCCTCCCGAGTAGCTAAGACTACAGGCGCATGCCACCATGGCCGGATAATTTTTTTAAAAAAATTTTTTAGTAGCAACGGGGTTTCACCATATTGGCCAGACTGGCCTCAAACTCCTGACCTCGTGATCCACCCTACTCAGCCTCTCAAAGTGCTGGGATTACAGGTGTGAGCCACCGCGCCCGGCCCACACTTTTCATTTCTATATAGTACACTGCGAAGTGGTTCATACTTAATCACAAGACACTGTGTGTAAGGGTCTGCATCCTTCTGGAAAGAATTTCCACCAGTTCATAGCCCATGGGAAGTATGGAGGCTGCCCCGGCCCACAACTGGGGGTGAGGCCGGCTGTGGGTTCCATGAGGCCAACCTGTATCCTGTGGGTGTTCTGCTCTGAGAAGGTCTCTCCTCAGCTGGTGGTCACAGGCCCCAGAGGCCAGTTGTGTTGTTATGTTTTCAAGGAAAGGAGCTGCCATGGAAGGATGAAAAAAGCAGAGTCCTTCCTTCCTGGGGAAGAAGAGCGAGGCATGGGGGGATACAGTCCAGGGCCGGGAGGGTGGTAGGAGTGGAGGGCTCAGGGAAAACGCCCACACTCTGTGCCTGAATAGGCAAGAAGCCTGGGGACATTGCAGCAGCTGGCAGAGTCTGGCCTGGTATAGCATCCCTGAGAGGACCTTATACCCATACTGGGTAGGGGGGCTGCAGGCAGGGGCTAGAGAACCCAGGTGCTGGAATCAGAAGGCAGTCTGGGACCTGGAGGAGAAGGAGGGCTCCAAATGCCCTCTGCAGAAGTTGGTGAGAGAAGCGCATGGACTGCTGCCCTTCAGGAGTGGTTTAGAGACAAAATGCCAATTTGCCAGGTCCCCGGAGACCCAGCCAGTGTGTACTGGAAAGCCATGGTCCTGTGTCCCCTAGAGTGATGGGAAATGAAGCTGCCACAGAACAGCCCTTAGAAGCTCCCTTGAAGAAGCTTCCCTGGGATGGCCTGGCTGGCCCTGGGCCTCAGAGCTGGGACTCAGGGGCAGCCACGCAGGCTGGGGCCCCAAGGAAGTTGAGGGTGGAGGAGCGGAGGGGAGTCGGGGAGTCTCTGCAGGGCGGGACCCATGGAGGGGGCAGAACCTGAAGCCGTGGAGGTGAGTCTGAGGGGGCCTCCCAGGCCAGGGGATCAGAGGCCCCTGCAGGCCCTGGAGAAAAGGGTGATGGACAGGAATGTGCATGCGTGTGATCCCCAGGTAAACTGGGGCAGCCAGGCCCACTGGCTGGATGCCCTGGCCGCAAGGACAGAGCAGTGCTGGGATTGATGGCAGCTTCATTCCTGCTACAGCTCCACACAGGTGGGGGTCTCCATTTTGCAGCTGACCAAGAGCCAGGGCAGCACGCGTTGCCCGTGTTTGAGCTCATGGCCAGGCAGAGGGCAGTTTCTGGGCCTCTCAGAGCAGAAGAGGGTGGAAGAGTCCCAGTGGCACTCATTGTCTCTCCTGCCCACATGCTGGGCTGTGCCTTCAGTCACCCATGGAGATTGATACCCCTGTGGGTAACCTTAAGCCAGCCCATAGGATGCTATTGTTTCCATAGCAACCAGCCTACTTCAGAGTGGAAAGGAGCAAGGCTGGGAAGATGAACAAAAGACACAGCAGAGCTGTGTGGGGCGCGGTTGCTATGGTGTGGCCTAAATATGCCCCCAGGCCCGTTCAAAGACACCTGCATCCTTCACAGATGCCTCCTGCCCTGGGCAGGGACCCAGGCCCCCAGGCACCCAGAATCACACTTGGAGCCCTTATCTGATGACTCAGCTGCTGCTCTTGGAGGACCCCGGGCTGTCCACCCAGTGACTCCTAGGCTGTACAAGTCATTTTTACAAGGCACTTTAATAAATGTTCTTACATAGAAAATTAGTCAAGGAGAGTGGGAGAAGCAAGGAAGAAGATAGGTAGAAAATGCAGTTTGTGGAGCACATTTCCAACTATAATGGAGAGTTGGGAAAGGGATGAGTGCCCCAGGCCAGGGGGGAGGGTCAGCCTTTCTGGGGTGCCTTGGGCTTGGGGTTCACCCACTGAAGACTCCTGTGTACAGGGCCCTCAACCCCTCCTGGTAAACGCCCTTTGCAGGTGCTCTTGGGCCTGGCTCCAGCCACCTGCCCTTCTGAGCTGCCCTGGGCCTGAGGGCTCTAATTCACTGACATGAAGGGAAAAATAGCTAAGAGACCACAGAGCACTTTCTTTCCTTCTGAAGTTACCAACGACGCACTCAAAGTCTTAAACCCAAGAGCAGATCCCTAGGGGCAGAAGATGTTATTTGTGAGAAAGACTCTTTTTTTTCTAGAATCAAGAGACATGTTCCTGAAATTCTTCCTTGCCCTAAGGCTTGGGTCATGGGTACTGAGGAAGGTTCAGGGTGGCCCTCTTGTCCAGGCCGCAGAGAGGCTGGTCCATCCCAGTCTCAGGCAACGGTGGTGTTTTACTCTGACAATTCGGGGCATCCATTGATCAAGGCATGCCTGTGAGGCTGGTGCTGGGCGTGGCTTTCCTGGTCCAGTTAGGAAGCCCCTGAAAAGGCTGATGATCTTGGCCTCAGAGGCGAAAGGTCTGACTTGGTTCGTCCTCACAGCAGCACCAGGCCAGACCAGATAATCCTTATATCTGAGCATTCAGATCAGATATCCCTGAACCCATGAGTGCCAGCCACAAAGGGCAGAACATTTGTTATAAATGTGAAAATGCTGCCATGTGCACAGGAGAACAGCCCCGGGATGCAGGGGTGTGCTCTGAAGCCATCTCTCACTGCTTCATCGGAGCCGTTCTGCCTAATCATTCACCAGTGGAGGGGGAGGAGAGACTTCGCTTTGCAAAAATCATGCCATAAGATTTCTTTACTGGGCAATCTTCTGCTTCTCAGACTATCAGAAACCTGAAGATGGCTGAAAAGCGAAGCTCAGGAATGTCTGAAATAATAAATTGATTGTTTTATCTCGCTTGATTCCATACTGCCATGAATCACATATTCTCCAGGTATCCCATAAGTGGCAAAATATGGCCACCCTTTCCCCAGTGGACTGCTAACACAGCCCGTCCATCATGGGCTGGGAGGGAGGGTGGATCAGCACCTGTCTGTAAACCCAGCTCCCGGATCCTGCCCTGCTCTGCTGGCCCAAGACACTCGGACTGCCGAGGAAGACCCTCCCTCCCCAAAACAAGATAGTTCAGTTGAGAAGGCAGCAGTCAATCCATCATTTCACAGAGAGAGACAAAAGGAGTTGACTGATGGATGTTTTCACATCTGATCTAGACACCTTGGTGTGGAGCGGAAGGCCTGCTGTGGGAAGGCACCCACAGCGCTCCCCAGGCACCTGCTTGTGCAGAGGAGAAGAGCTCCCAGTTGCCTGGGACGAAGGCGCTTCTGGTGAAATGCTCCAGTGTGCCTGCTGCGTGTCGGTTGTATCCACTCTGGCTTCTCTAAGATTCTTCGAAACGTATTTGTCACACGCCAGACACAGCAGCTTGATGTGCAATTAACGGCTTCAGAAGTAATGAGCGTGGGATGAGAGGAAAATTGAATTCCTGTCTGGGAGAGGTCAGTGGACTCGTCTTCTCCTGGGGAGGCCATGGAATGGACATCCTAAGTGGGATGGGCAGTGTCCCCTTATGAAAAATTGTCAGGCCTTAATTGTCTCCGGAGAAGCAGAAGGGGCCCTTTGGAGGAGGAGGGAAAGATAATCCTCTGTAGATCCCAGTGCAGGGTCCACTCCAGGAGCTCCGCTTTCCCTCAGGGCCCCACTGCAGGAGGGGAGCGGGGGCACTGCAGTGGGGGCAGTCTGGGGAGGTGCAGGTAGGGGCTGTGTGGGTGAAGTCTTGTAAGAAGTGGAAGGAAGGGGCTCTCAGGGTCACTCAAAGTGGCCTGTGCTCTGCTGCCCTCATGGGGAAGAGAGCCAGGAAAGACATGGAGGGTGGGGGAAGGCATGTCCCCCAAGATACTGGACCTTCCTCTTTGGACAACATTTACAAGCATTCAGAGGGGAAGGTTTGAAGAGCACAGGTGCTCAGAAAAAGGCCCAACAAAGCCAAATGGGAACACTGTGACCTCTTTACTTATCTTATCCAGGAAAAGCAGAAAAAATGTGTATGGGGCTCTGGGAGCGTTTATGCTGATGTGAGACCCATACACATAAATGGGTTCATGAGAATCGTGAATCCCCCAGTTCCTGCCCCCCAACAGGCTCCCCACCCCCCACCCTCCACCTTCCTCCTTAAAGGCCCACGCCCCTCCCTTTCATCCCATGAGCTCCATGTCTCTGAGACCCAGAGAAACTGTTGCCTTTTAAATCAACGTTTATTTGATGCTACTTGCCCCCATCCTAACCCACACCAAAGGGGCGATGCCACGTCTCTCTGTTCCCCACTATGGCAAGTCACTGAAGATGGCTTTCCGCGGTCACTACCTCCGCTTCCTCACCCCTCATTCTTGCCTCATTGGCTGCAATCCAGACTCATTTTGTCTTTGACATGACATGTGTCAAGCTCACCAGCACACCATGGGTTCCCAATGCAGTGAGCCTCAGCATCCAGCTCACCTTCTCAGCAATGGTCTTCATGGCTGACCTCTCCCTCACTGATCCACTTTCTGATCTTGGCTTCTGGGACATTACATAAACCCCATTGTTATTCTCACTTTCTTTTCTAACCAACCAGAATAGAAACTCTTACATTCACGAGGTGGCAGGCAGAGTACTCTGAAGCATCTTGCCTAAGTGGTGGGGAATGATTAGCCTTTGACCAAAGGCTGTTCTGGCCCCAACTGAGAAAGCTTAGAAGCAAGACCTGAAAGGATCCCACTGTTTCTATGTAACCAAAAATATTTTTGAGTCATGTTGAGTAACATGACTCAAAAATATCAGCACTCTATAAGGTTCATTTTACAATACGTAGCATACCACCAAGAATCATGAAGAAGGAAAAGAAACAGGAAAAAACAAACCATAATTGAGAAATAATTAGTCAACCAAAACTAACCCACAACTGACACATAAGATGGAATAGATAAAAATATTAAAACAGTTATTATAATTATGTTCCATGTTTGAAAAGCCAAAGGAAAGATTAAAAATATGAAATAGACTCATTGAACATATAAAAAGATTCAAGTCAGACTTCTAGAGATGAAAACTATAATGTCTGAGGTTCAAATCATGCTAGATATGATTGCTGGTAGATTGGGCATTGCTGAAGAAAAGATTTGTTAGCGTGTAGACCAAGCAACGACCCCAAATGAAGCATGCAGAGAATAAAAGAAAACCAAAAGATGAAAAGAGCATGAGTGAGCTGTGCTTGAGCAGTTTAATAAACAAGATATGTCGAATTGGATACCACAAATGCGAGAAGGAGAAGGGGTCAGAAATAATATTTTTAGAAATAGTCAAAACCTTCACAAAATTGATGTAAACTGTAACCCCTAAATCCAAGAAGCTGAATGGGTCCCAAGCAAAGCAAACGTGAAGAGAACCACACCCAAACACAGTGTAGGTACATTGTTCAAAATCAGTCATAAAGAGAAAATCTTCAAAACATTCAGAGAAGAACGCATATTGCATATGTAAGAGCAAAGATAATAGTGATAGAAAAATTCTTGTTGGAAATACTGTAAGCTGGAAAACAGAGAGCCAGCAACTTTAAAATGCTGCAATTAGGGAGATGGGGTGGGGAAACCTGTCAGCCAAGAATTCTATACCCAGTGAAAACAGTCAGATGCCAGAGATACTTAGAAGACACTGAGCATAGCTTGGGTCTGTCAGTCTGTCTGTATATCTATCTATCTATCTATCTATCTATCTATCTATCTATCTCTCTATCCATCCTTCTATCATCTATGTATCTACCTACTTACCTATCTACCTACCTTACTATTATTATTATTATGCCACGAGAACCCACTGAAAGCTCTAAAATAGGGATGTGATATATGACTTATGTTTGTAGTTCAGGTTTGTGAAGCTAAATTCTTTTAACTTTTTGTATGTCTTTTCACACGTCTTTATTGTTTCTTTATTTTAAAAGCATATGATTTTCTTGAGTATTCTGCTCAAAAGGGAGTCACAGTGTCAAACAATTTTGGGGGAAGTGCATTCTATACACTTTTCTTGAATGTTTATATGCTTAATAGCTCAGTGAAGTCTTGAAGTATAGAAAAGTCATCATCTAAATATATATATAAATATATATTTATATGTAATATATATACATAATTACATAAATATAATTATATAAGTTACATAACTATACATATATTATGTAAAATATATGTACCATATATATAAATATGTAATATATAATATATATTATATATAAATATGTAATATATAATATATATTATATATAAATATGTAATATATAATATATATTATATATAAATATGTAATATATAATATATTATATATAAATATGTAATATATAATATATATTATATACAAATATGTAATATATAATATATATTATATACAAATATGTAATATATAATATATATTATATATGAATATGTAATATATAATATATATTATATATGAATATGTAATATATAATATATATTATATATGAATATGTAATATATAATATATATTATATATGAATATGTAATATATAATATATATTGTATATGAATATGTAATATATAATATATATTATATATGAATATGTAATATATAATATATATTATATATGAATATGTAATATATAATATATAATATATAAATATGTAATATATAATATATATGTATATAATAAATATGTAATATATTATATATCATACATAATATGTAATATATTATATATCATATATAATATGTAATATATTATATATCATATATAATATGTAATACATTATATATCATATATAATATGTAATACATTATATATCATATATAATATGTAATATATTATATATCATATATAATATGCTACATATTATATATGATATATAATATGTAATATATTATATCATATATAATATGTAATATATTATATATCTCATATAATATGTAATATATTATATATCATATATAATATGTAATATATTATATATCATATATAATATGTAATATATTATATATCATATATAATATGTAATATATTATATATCATATATAATATGTAATATATTATATATCATATATAATATGTAATATATGAGATATATCATATAATATAATATATGAGATATATCATATATAATATGTAATATATGAGATATATCATATATAATATGTAATATATGAGATATATCATATATAATATGTAATATATGAGATATATCATATATAATATGTAATATATGAGATATATCATATATAATATGTAATATATGAGATATATCATATATAATATGTAATGTATGAGATATATCATATATAATATGTAATGTATGAGATATATCATATATAATATGTAATGTATGAGATATATCATATATAATATGTAATGTATGAGATATATCATATATAATATGTAATATATGAGATATATAATATGTAATATATGAGATATATATAATATGTAATATATGAGATATATAATATGTAATATATGAGATATATATAATATGTAATATATGAGATATATAATATGTAATATATGAGATATATATAATATGTAATATATGAGATATATTATATATAATATGTAATTTATAATATATATTATATAATATGTAATTTATAATACATATTATATATAATATGTAATTTATAATATATATTATATATAATATGTAATTTATAATATATATTATATATATTAATTTGTAATATATAATATATATTATATTAATATGTAACATATAATATATATTATATTAATATGTAACGTATAATATATATTATATTAATATGTAACGTATAATATATATTATATTAATATGTAATGTATAATATATGTTACATATTAATATGTAACATATATTATACATTACATATTAATATGTAATATATAAATTTACATATAAATTTATATATAAATGTAAATGTATTTATACATTATATATAATGTATATTTATATTATATATTTAATGTATATATATATTATATATTAAATATATAATATATTATATATTTAATGTATACATTAAATGTATAAATATATAATATATAATATATAAATATATAATATATAAACATATAATATATAATATATAAATATATATAATATATAAATATATAATATATAAATATATATTATATATATTTAAGATATAAATACATATTATTTATATGTAATATACAAATATATATTATTTATATGTAATATATAATATATATTTATATGTAATATATAAATATGTATTATTTATATGTAATATATATAAATATATAAATATCTATCTATATAGATATAGATATAGATATATATCTTTTTTGAGACAGAGTCTTGCTCTGTTGCCAAGGCTGGAGTGCAGTGATGTCATCTTGTGATCTTCACTCACTGTAACCTCTTCTTCCTGGGTTCAAGTGATTCTCCTGCCTCAGCCTCCTAAGTAGCTGGGATTACAGGCATGCACCACCATGCCCAGAAAATCTTTGTATTTTTAGTAGAGATGGAGTCTTATCATGTTGGCCAGGCTGGTCTTGAACTCCTGACCTCAGGTGATCTGACCACCTCAGTCTCCCAAAGTGCTAGGATTACAGGCGTGAGGTTCTCAGTGGGGTTCTTTCCTTCTCTCCAATATCACCTCCACTCACAACTTTACCCCTAACAACTTCACCACCAAGGAAATCTTTGCCATGTCTATGAGGTATTATTGATCACAGTTCATTTCTCCCTCTTCCTAATCACCCTTCTCTCCCCTTTACAGGTTATGATTCCTAATAAAATCTTTCAACCTAATCTCCACTTTAGCTCCCACTTCCAAAGAACCCAGTATGTGACACGATGCCTAATAAATAGCATCTACCAAAAATTACACAAAAATATTATGTTTACAGATAGAAAGTGTTCTTTTGGCTGGACGCAGTGGCTCACGCCTGTAATCCCAGCACTTTGGGAGGCTGAGACGGGTGGATCACGAGGTCAGGAGATTGAGACCACAGTGAAACCCCGTCTCTATTAAAAATACAAAAAAAAATTAGCTGGGCGCAGTGGCGGGCGCCTGTAGTCCCAGCTACTCAGGAGGCTGAGGCAGGAGAATGGCGTGAACCCGGGAGGTGGAGCTTGCAGTGAGTCGAGATCGCGCCACTGCACTCCAGCCTGGGCGACAGAGTGAAACTCCGTCTCAAAAAAGAAAAAAAAAAAGTATTCTTTTTTCAGTGAGCAGTAAGAGTGGTTGTCATCACTGGGTGCTATTTAACATTATGTTAGCGTTTCCAGAGAAAATAGTAAGATAATAAAAATAAATTAAATTATAAATCATGGAAAGGATGAAATAAAACTGTCAACATATCAGACATAAGAGATTCTGTAGAAAAAGTTTTCATGTGAATAGGAGAGTTCAATGAGATTACTAGAAACGAGATAAAACACAAAGATCAAAAGCTCTCTTAGACACAGAAACATCAATTGGAATCATACTGTATTTTTTTAAAGCTAGTGAAAAAACGGCAAAGGATATGTATAGAAAATCAATGTGAAGGGAAATCCAAAGACCCAGGAACGTGATATGATTCTCAAGCTCACTAGCAATCAGAGAAAAATAAAATTAAAACCAAAAGAATTAGACTGACTCAGACTGACAGATTCAAAATTCTGACTCTGACAGATTCAAAATTCAGACTCTGTCAAGTGGTGACTAAACTGTAAAGCACTGATGGTGACTGAGGCTTAAATTTGTGTAGCCAATTGAGCAAAATCTAATAAAATGAAAGATTCAAATATTCTCCAACCTACAATGTTACTCTTAGGTATATATTCACACACACAAAAAATCATATAGAGAGATACTTAGAGCATCATTGTATAGAGGAAAAGGGACAGAATTTCAGTGTTTATGAGCAAGCTGAAAGTGTATTTTCATGTGTTGAAATACCATGCATTATTTAAATAAACGAGCTGCATGTGTCAACCTGAAAAACTTAAAATTTAATGATTGGAGTTTGATTTCCAAAATGTCATGATAATGAGTAAAATGGACTCTTTCTTCCATGAAGCAACAATTTAACTGCTGAAAATTATAAAATAAAATAAAACAATGTCATTAATATATCTAGAGATTGTCCTAAGAGCATATGGTAAATGGAGAAACATCATTTGGTGAAAATCTAGTAAGTCTCGGTGAGAAGAATGAGAGGCAGTGGCATTTAGGTTGTGCTTGCATCTAACTCTTCCCTCTTTCCCCCAGTTAAGCGGGACTGAAGTTCCACTCTAAGTGTCTATAAACAAGAAGGCAGGGAGGAAAGAAGAGACATTACTACTGACCTTACAGCACCAGAAAAGATGATAATAATTTTTTTTTTAAAACTGTGTCAACAAATTAGATAACTTAGATGAAATGGACCCATTTCTGGAAGAATTATCAATTTTTTCACAAACTCTTCCAAGAAATAGAAAATCAAAACCACTTCCCAAGTGATTTTTTTTTTTTTTTTTTTTTGAGATGGAATCTTGCTCTGTCGCCCAGGCTGGAGTGCAGTGGAGCGATCTCGGCTCACTGCAAGCTCCGCCTCCCGGGTTCATGCCATTCTCCTGCCTCAGTCTCCTGAGTAGCTGGGACTACAGGCAACCGCCACCACACCTGGCTAATTTTTTTGTATTTTTAGTAGAGATAGGGTTTCACCATGTTTGTCAGGATGGTCCTGATATCCTGACCTCCTGATCCACCCACCTCGGCCTCCCAAAGTGCTGGGATTACAGGCATGAGCCACCGGGCCTGGCCCCAAGTGATTTTGTAAGGCCAGTATTACCCTGATACCAAAACCAGACAAACATTTGGCAAGAAATGAAAAATGCTGAACAATATGCCTTATGGATAGTGATGCAAAATCATCAATAAAATAATAGAAAACAAAATCCTGCAACACATAAAAAAGATAATACACCATACTAAGCTGAATTTATCCCTGGAATTCAAGGTAGGTTTAGCACCTGAAAATCAATCACTGTAATACTCCATACCAAAAGCATAAAGTATAAAATCCCTATGATCCCTTAAATAATGGATAAAATGAATTTCAGAAAATGTAGCACATATTCATTAAAAAAAATAGAAATAGAAGAGAATTTCCTCAGTATGATAAAGGGAATATACAAAAGAGCCACAGATAATGTCATAATTCATGGGGAAAGACTGAAGCTCCCTAAGGTCAGAAAGAAGACAGAAAAGCCTGCTCTTGCCACTTCTATTCTATTCTATTATATTGGAGTTTCCAGCCAGGGTAATAATGAAGGAAAACAAAATAAAAGTCATCCATATTAAAAGAAAGTAGTAAAATTAGCTCTATTTGCAGACAGTATGATGTATATTAAAAATTCCAAGAAACCCACAAATAAAATATATTAGAACTAAGAAACAAGTTTAGCAGCATTACAGAATATAAGATCAATATACAAAACTATTTGTATTTCTAGTTACTAACAACAGGCAATTAAGAATGAATTTAATAAAACAATTCAATTTATGACAGAATAAAAATAATAAAATATGAAAATAAATTTAGTAAAAAGTATAATGTTTGTACTTTGAATACTATAAAATATTTTTGAAATAAAGATCTAAATAATTGGAAGGACATCTTTTGTTCATGGATCAGAAAACTTAAAATTTGGCAATACTCACCAAATTGATCTGAAAAATAAAACATGATCTCTATCAAAATACAAGCTGGCTCTCTTTGGTAGCAATTATAAAACTTATTTCTATGGAAATGCAGGAGTCCCAGAATAACCTTTATAAGTATTCCACCAAACCATAAGCAACTAAAGAAAAAAATGCCAAATTGGACTTTATCAAAATTAAAAACTTCTGTGTTGAAAATGATACCATCAAGAAAGCAGAATGACAACCCATGGAATGGGAGAAAACTTGTATATCATATCTCTGGTAAGGGATTTATCTCCAAAATACGTAAAGAACTCTTAAAAGCAAATAATTTTAAAATATCGTAATTTTTAACATGGGCACATAATCTGGATAAATATCCTTTCAAACAAGACAAACAAATGGCCAAGAAGCAATTACAAGTTGCTTAGCAACATTAAACATTCTGAAAGTGCAAGTTCAAACCACACTTAATAACCATTAGGGCAGCTATAATCAGAAGGGCAGAGAGTAACCAGTGTTGGTGAAAACATGGAAAAACTGGAGTTCTCACCTATTGCTGGTGGGAATGGAAAAGTTACCACCACTTTCAAGAACATTTTGGCATTTTCTCAATATGTTCAACATAGTTATCATACAAGTCAGCAACCCTAGTAGGAGAGAAATGAAAACATATGTCCACATGAAAACTTGCACACAAATGTTTATGGCAGCATTATTCACGAAAGCCAGAAGGTAGAAACAACCCAAAGCAACCCAAATGATCATGAAGTGATGAGTGGGTCAACAGATACGGTGTAGTTATACAGCAGAATACTATTCAGCAGTGAAAAGGAATAAAGTAAGGAGGAGAAAGAGCCCCTGACTCACACCTCAACTAGGGTGAACCTTAAAAACATGCGACATTAAAGAAGAGAGTCACGGAAGATCACACATTGCATAGTGTCATTTATGTATGTAATGTGTTCAGAATTGAGACAAAACAGATGAATGGTTCCCTAGGGCTAGATGAGGTGGAAGGAATGGGGAGTGATTGCCTATAGGCCTGGGTTTCTTATGGGGGTGATGAAAATATAAAATTAGATTATGGTGATGATTGTGCAACTTTGAATATACTGAAAAAAACCCCACCACATTGTACACTTGAAGCGGGTGAACTGCCTCGTATGTGAATTACATCTCAATAAAGCTGTTTAGAAAATAAGAGGATGATTAAACGACCTGTGGAACAACACACTTAAAGCTTTAATGCAATACGACATGTATTTTGTGAGTACCCACCTTCACAATGAGAGTGTTCAAACATCTTTGGAAAAGAACCACAGGAACTTTCAGATGGGCCCACCCTGAGGTCGGGGAGTGGTTAAGGTGAGAACAAGAGCCAGAAAGGATGGTGGCATTGGCTGGATTTTTTCCTTCCATAAAAAGATTAAACAGGCAGGGTGCAGTGGCTCATGCCTGTAATCCCAGAAGTTTGGGAGGCCGAGGCGGGCAGATCACCCAGAGGTCGGGAGTTCGAGACCAGCCTGACCAACATGGAGAAACCCCGTCTCTACTAAAAATACAAAAATTAACTGGACGTGGTGGTGCATGCTTGTAATCCCAGCTACTCAGGAGGCTGAGGCAGGAGAATCACTTGAACCCAGGAGGTGGAGGTTGCAGTGAGCCGAGGTCGTGCCATTGCACTCCAGCCTAGGTAACAAGAGTGAAACTGCATCTCAAAAAAAAACAAAAAGATTAATCATAAATATTCGTTAACCTGGGTAGTCCTACGTGGCTATGAATCTTAGGTGCTTCTATGTTTGTTTCATCTTCCTATTCAGAGTTGCAGCCTCCGGCTCTTCCACACTCCTGGTCACCCTCCAGCTCTCCTTCTTTTCTCCCACTGCTGTCTTTTGACGTCGGCATTTACCCATTTGACGACTATTCCATCCCAGCCATTGGAAGGTGATTCCCACAAGGACAGTGATATGCTTCTCTTTTGTTCTCTTCCATAAAACTCTACTGCATAGAATGCTGTATTTATTGGCCACCTAAGTTAGGTTAGGTTAGGTGGCCAATAAATACAGGTGGGCATAATAAATAAAATTTGCAAACACAAAAATGCATTAGATAATATTCTATCATATTCCTGTACTGGACAATGTTAAATAGCATGGAAGTTACTGATTCCTGGGATACTGGGCAGAATTCACCAGTGAGAATGCCTGTGCCAAGAGCTTAAGCTGATGTCATTCTTTGATCTTAATCTCTTGAATTGAATGAAGAAATTGTTCAGTAATGTTTGAACCATCAAAGGTTAGATGTGTATTTTATTCTGGATAGAAACTGATTATCCCTTTGACTTCTCGTTAGAGGAAGTTTAGACTGTACTTTTCCCTAAACACACCATGAATGGCTTATTTACCTGATGAAAATGACTGCTGTGTGGTTAAGACACCACATTTGTTTGATCAATTTTATTTTATCTAGAAGTAAATATATAAATGCGATATTGCCACTTTATTTTTGGATAAACATTTTACCAAGATTCTATTTGCACAGGCATTTGATTCCCAGAGCGTTTACAAATATGGGTTGTGTGTGCCGCCAGCTTCCTCTGGTTGGCCAGCTGTAGGCAGCCCATAAGGCGGAATCGCCTCTCCTGAAATTGGAAGTGAACTTGGTACCTTGTGAGCACCACAATGGTGTCCATCTGTTCCTGCTTGTCCAATATGTGAAGCGCATCTCTCCGACACACCAGCAATGTGCCTCATGTCTCGTTTCAGAAAAAGATAAAAGACAGGACACAGATCTTCCAAAAAACACATGCCCAGGGTTCAGGTGGCTGAAGAATGAATGACTTTGGAGACAAAGAATGACTTTGTCATATAACGAAATAATTTTATGGGTAAATT